>NC_000008.11:6710271-7012556 GCF_000001405.40 Homo sapiens | reverse complement strand
CCACTGCACTCCAGCGTGGGTGACAGATCTACACTCTGCCTCAAAAAAAAAAAAAAAAAAAGAAAAGAAAAAAAAGAAAGAAAGAAAGAAAAGAAAAGAAAGACTTCTGGCTTCATAAAATGCCTGATCCAAGGACTCTAGGCATGAGTTACCTTGTTGTCTTTACCATTTTGTTTCCCGCTTTTTTCTCTTGATCTTAACTTGGGGTCTCTCCCCAGATGACAGCCGTGTGAATAATGGTCATCTTCCCTGGGACTTCATAGCTGATCTCCGGGAGAAAACCCCTACTTCTCTCTCCGTTGTTTCAGCCAGCTCTGGAGTTCCACACCCTCCTCTGAGTCTGTCACTGAGGGGAGAGGTTGAGACTCCACCTGGATCCCACACTACCCCAGCTCCCCACAGGAAAAATTCAAACTAAGAATGGGTGAGACGGGGTTCCTCAGTCTCTCCAAAGAGTCCACAATTCCATGCCCCCACCACAATGGGCTCTTTGTGACACTTTGGGATTCAATTGAGAAAGTTCTCTCCTATTTCATCAATATTTTAGAGAAGCTGAGATTTACACACACAAAGTACAAGTCCAATTTGTCACCAATACTGTGAAAATTGCCCTCTGTTCATCTAGGGCTCTATGAAAAGACACCACAAGACTTAATGGATTAAAACAACATGATCAGGTCTTCATTCACACTTTTGCAATTGGGAGGTGGCTCTCTCCACAGGCATCAGAGGAGAAGTGCTGCTGGGATCTGAAAACCTCAGGCCCAAGACACTTGTGAACAGGTGGCAGGGGGTGCTGGCTCAGCTGCAGCTCTGACAGGGCTCAGGGATGAGACCCTGTGAGGCACTGACGTCAGATCATGCTGGTTCATGAAGGAGGAGATTGGTGTGACACTTTGTATCCCACTCATAGCTAGCAGGATTTGCAACACTTAGACTTCCTCCAAGCATGGTATCCGGGCTTCAAAGACACAAGCAATCTGAGTGTATGTGGAGTGCTGGAAAAAAATACCATACACCAAGTGACTTAGAAACAACAGAAATATATGTCTTGGTGTTCTCGAGGCTGAGAAGTCCAAAACAAGGTGCCAACACACTTGGTGTCTGGTGAGGACCAGTTTTGTGATTCATAGACGGCACCTTCTCACTGAATCCCACTCGCTGCAGATGACATAATTTCATTCTCTTTTATGAATGTAGTATCCCATCATGTATATGTACCACATTTTCTTCATCCAGTCCAACACTGATGGCCATCTAGGTTGACTCCATGTCTTTGTTAGCATGAATGATGCTGCCATGAACATACGAGTACATGTGTCTTTTTGGCAGAATAATTTGTTTTCCTTTGGATATATACCCAGTAGTGAGATTCCTTGGTTGAATGCTGGTTCTATTTTAAGTTATTTGCGAAATCTCTAAACTGCTTTCCACTATGGCTGAACTCATTAACATTCCCCTCAACAGTGTATAAGCGTTCTCTTTCTCTGCAGTCTTGCCAATATCAGTATTTTTTAACTTTTCAATAACAGCCATTCTGACTAGTGTGAGCTGGTATCCCTTTGAGGTTTTATTTTGCATTTCTCTAATGATCAGTAATGTGGAGCATTTTTTCATGTTTCTTGGCCTCTTGTATGTCTTTTTTTGAGAAGTATCTGTTCATGCCCTGGCACGCATTTTAAAGGGCTCATTTCTTTTTTGCTTACTTATTTGTTTAAGTCCCTTGTAGAGGAAAATCACTTTGACCACGAGATCACCACCAACCAGCCTTTCCTTACTGCTACAAATACGGACCTCGCCATCTCCAGTACATGGTGCTGGCTCATGGCCAGTACCCAAACCCTTGACTTGCTGCTTCCCTGACCTCATGCTTTGCTGATTACACCAAAAATGACCTCATTAGAGTGGAATTTTGCTGAGATCACCATTTGCTTTCAGAATAAGCCCATTACTTTATGGTGCAAGGAACCCATAGAGCCTCAGTGAGATTGTAAAGCTGCCCTACAAGCTACGGAAAACTATAGACTTGGGAGAACTATGTGTAAGAATACCACGCCCGAATCTCACCAGCTCTCCAGTGATAACGCTCATGCAGTGCTGTGGAAATGCCTGTGGACTGGAGTGTGCTCTGTGTGCAGGAAGCAGGTCCAGGTTTCACTTCCGCAGGACATGGGACATTTCCAGAACCCGGAGATCTTCCTCTCGCTCATATACACCCCTTCATATTTAGTCCCTATAACCTCATCATTGCGACCCTACAGGCACCTACTAATGCCCTGGAAGCTAAAACTGTCACCAGAGCCTCAGTTTCCCCGAAGAGCCCAAATTTCTTCTTATGCTGGGGTGAGACTGGTGCTCACTTCCTCCAAAGCTGAAGTTCCTGGGCCTGCCACACATCAGGAATTCACTGCTTCCTCAGAGGGACAGGAGACCCCACTGCTCTGCCACAGCGACCGCCTCTAGCAAAGCTTGAGATGCCTCCTCTACCTTAAGGTTGAGGGAGATGCTTTAGTTATCACTCCACTGCCCCCAGGCCTCCACCGGCCGATGCCTGCTGCCTTCACACAGAGCTGCAGGGGGGGCCCTGAGCACCCAGCCTGTGGGACCAGCGCTGTGCACGACATTCCCATGGTGGCAGGGGCTGCCCGGCGTGCACACTGGGTTCAGCAACCTCACCACAGGTATTTATTGCCTCTCGAGCGACTGCATTCTTTTCTCATCTCCAGAAACCTTACCCCATCTACCTGACTAGGAGAAGGAGGAGGACGGTGGATAGTGGTACATTTTAAAATGTGCTCTAGTCTTCTTAGGAATTCTCCTCAAATAACACAGGAGGAACCACAGGAGTTTGATCCTGCATATTTCAAGCGACCACTGATCATCCCACTCATGCTATGTGCATGGAGACTCTTAAGCCTGCCCAGAATGGGCTTAAGAGCAAGGCATTGGAGCACAGAGCACCAGGTGATGCAAGCTAACACCAAACTCACTGCCACCTTGGCCGCCTCCCTGAGAGACTTTCAAGAGACATTAGGTCTCCAGCAGGAAACTCAGGAGTTCTTGGCCCCAGTGGTCCTAGACACTCGTTTGGCCTTAAACTGTCCATTGCCCAAGCAATGAGGCAATTGTCCACTCCAGGGAACCACATACTGTGTGCACATCCTTAACGAACCCAGCAAAACCTGCCCTGCCTGCTAACACAAGCCCACGTGGGATTCAGTCTCAACCAGGTGGTCTGCAACATCCCAGCCCACCAATCGGCTTTGGTGTCTTGTTATGGTTAGAGCTCAGGTACTGGGCAGGCTGGTTCAGGGGAAGATTCCTCATCCTCTCCTGTGCATGGGTGTCAAACTTGAACTTGTCTCTCTAACAGAGTGTGTCCTGTGATATGCAGGCCAGGCTCTCCTGGGGGCTTTAAATATTCCCTTGCTGCAACTAGCTCAGCATCAGCCACCAGCACAGGCATCTCGGGGTCCATTGTGTTAGGAGTCATGGAGAATCCATCGTTGGTTGCTGCCTGGGCCTGGGCAAGGTTGACAAAGGCAGATGAGGGGACCCTCCATGGACTCCTGTCCGAACCCCAACTTCCCATCAAATTTCTCAACTGTCCTTCCCACCAGAGTTATTTAATAAACCCAATGGAAAGTAACCCAGGTTATTAGGACACCTGATCCCAAATGACTCTTAAATAGGGAAGTCCTCTCCTGTTTGTGCACGGCTGCTCTTGCTACAGGAGACCCGGGACAGAGGACTGCTGTCTGCCCTCCCTCTTCACTCTGCCTACCTTGAGGATCTGTAAGTAACCCAAGACTTAAAACTTTCACATTGAGGTTTCAACATTGAACCTGTGCCCCCAGTCTGACCTCTGACTCCTGGGCCACCCCAGAGGGACCTTGTGGGTGAATCTCTTGCTGCGCATTTCTCTCTGAACCTCTGGTGGCTGCTGGGAGCTTTAGCTACCGGCTCAATTAATAGAGAACCTCAAGGAATTTCCTTCTAAATCTACGTGTCCTACTTGACACGTCCAATACAGACAACAATAGCTCCTTAGAACATCCTTTTATTTGGAGAGAAGCCTATCCTGCTCCTTGGCCTGTTTTTCAAACAGGTTACTTGTTATTTGCTTTTGAGTTGTTTGACTTCCTTATGTATTTAGATATTTGCCCCTTCTACCACCTAGGGTTTGCAATTATTGTCTTTCATTTTCTGGGTTGCTTTTTCACTCAGTTGATTATTTGTTTGTTGGTTTGTTTTTTGACGTGCAGATGCTTTAGAGGTCAGTGCAGCCCCATTTGTCTATTTTCCCGTTTATTGCCTGTGTCTTTGGTGTCATAGCAAAGATATCGTTATCGACACCAATGACAAAGCGTTATCTTCATATGTTCCTCTCGTCATTTTATGGTTTCAGGTCTATGTTTGGGTCTTCGATCATTTTGAGTTGATTTGTGTATATAGTATATGATAAAAAACCACATGTACATGAACATCAAATCCTAAGGTGGTATACAGGAGATATATACCGTTTTAAATTCTTATTCATATCTCAATAGAGCCAGAAACACATTTTTGGCTGTAGACGAACTTTTTGCCTTAATATCACTGTGTTCATGTCACCTATCGCCTGATAGGGTCATTGTCCTCTTCACACTGGCCCCTACAGGAGGCTACTCACCCCATGCCTTCATGAGAGTGGTCACGCCCTTGATGCCTGCAACAAATGACTCTTCACTTGATAGGAATTCACGCCTGCTGCCAGAGTGTAGACCTGTACAGAGTAGTGGGGCCATCTGCAGGAAAAGAGGCATTTGTATCCTGAGCTTATCGAACAAAAGCACTGCTGTTATCCTTTGGTAGAATAGTAAAAAGTCAATATATAATGAAGTGAGAAACAAGAAAAACATGCCAGGATCCTCGTCGTCACCATCCTCTCCAACCCAGCACAAACACTACACGTAGAGATTCAAACTAGAGTGAAAGCTGGGAGAGCAAAGGAAGAAAACAGGGACATTGAGACCAACGGGATCCCACACAGTCTCCAACGAAATGCACACCTCCTTTCTCTGAGAGGGTTCCAGGTTTCTTGTCTCCGAGCCTTCTCTCTGCAGACCTATATATCCAGGCTAACTCCTCTCTCCCGACTCGTCTGCTCCTGCTCTCCCTCCTCCAGGTCACCCCAGCCATGAGGACCTTTGCCCTCCTCACTGCCATGCTTCTCCTGGTGGCCCTGTAGGCTCAGGCAGAGCCACTTCAGGCAAGAGCTGATGAAGCTGCAGCCCAGGAGCAGCCTGGAGCAGATGATCAGGAAATGGCTCATGCCTTTACATGGCATGAAAGTGCCGCTCTTCCGCTTTCAGGTGAGACAGGCCGGCATGCAGAACTGCAGGGTCTAGTGGGATGGATGGGAGACAGAGTGTGGAATCGAGTCTCAATGGTCCATGTCACTTCGGGGGCTTCATTTAGCATCTCTGGGCCTTGGTTTTCTCATCTATAAATTGAATAGAGAGCCAAATAAATCTTTCTGTCTTTAAAGACTTGAGGCTGCTCTGCCTGGAGAGTAACCATTCTTTTATTCCTTTACTTCCTTAACAATCCTTTCACTTTAGAAAATCTATAAAATTGAAAAATAAAACTTGACGTCAAGATATGTCTGTGAAATTCAGTAGGTTTTAGATATGAAGAGACAGTCTGACTCGTTCTTTCTGGATTCACACAAGTAGACTTCATTACAAGGAGAATATTTTACTGTATCTGTAGAATAGTTTTTAAAAAGTAGAGCCAAGCCCAAGAGTGTGTTCAGCTGTGTGTGTGACGGGGCAGAAGCACAAAAATGAGCTCAAATGAGAATGAGTCTCAAATCCTGTGTGACCAGCACTGCTCTGTGTATTTATTCCTATTGACTGAGGCTGTTCATGCTGCTGGCCCCAATGCAGCCAACATCACTCATTACCTAGCACATGACTTATCCAAGATTCCCTTTACCATCACTGCTGACCTTCTGATCCATTTATGATGATTTCCCTGTGTCCTCAGACTCAGCGAGAGGCTTGAGGTGCATTTGCGGAAGAGGAATTTGCCGTTTGTTATAACGTCGCTTTGGGTCCTGCGCCTTTCGTGGTACACTCCACCGGATCTGCTGCCGCTGAGCTTGCAGAATCAAGAAACATAAGCTCAGAATTTACTTTGAGAGTTAAAAGAAATTCTTGTTACTCCTGTACCTTGTCCTCCATTTCCTTTTCTCATCCAAAATAAATACCTTGTTGCAAGATTTCTCTCTTTACATCTCTTTCACATTTGATGTGTCTTTGTGTCTCAAGACACTTGGGATGCACTTACCAGAATCCTAAGTTTTTAAACAAAATAAAATTTGAAATTCTAGGAATTTCAAGCAGGCGTTTGAGCTTCAGACTCAAATGGAAATGAAGGCCCAAATCATACCACCCATCTCCCCATCCACTGCTCTGTCTTTTCACTCTGCCTCATTTTCTCTGGATCCACTCTCAAAGAGCTCCCGTGTGCTGGGCAAATAATCAGTGTCAGCTTAAAGTTCACGCAGTCACAAAATCATTCCTCCTCAGGAGAAACCAGCATCATCTGTCCCAAAGAACTGGGGTTTTATTGAACGTGTCCAGGTCACACATTTGCCTTTTAAACCATTGGGTTACAGGAGATTCACTGAAACAACTTCAAGAGGGAAATGGGTTGTTAGCAAAGGCGGGATGCATGGAACAGAAAGCACAGCGGCCCACACTGGGATGTCCACATTAAAAGCACCCTCCAGCCAGGTCTACTAAGACCTGGATTTCACACCCATAAAGTTGTCTTCACACCCAGAAAACACACAAGCACAAATGCTCCACTACACTTTGCAAGACGCACTCTCCTCTGTTGCCTTAAAGCCGCTGAGAATCTGATTCTGCCTGGAAAATACAGCTTCAGAGGGGATAAGGGATGAGGCCGGGAAAGCACTTCACCAGGAAAAGGGTAGCCTTCTTGTTGCTGCAGGGTGCTGAGGCAGCTCAGGGGTCCAGGCACCCCACTGAGACACTGCATGGATGGGAAGCCCATGCAGATCCCAAGGAGGACAGAGTGGGTGCCAACCTCCAGTGCATTTCCCCTAGCTCACCCAGGGTTTCACCTTTCCTGCCTTTGTCTTCAGGGAAGTTGAGGCCAACGGCTCTCCCTATTGCAACGTTCTGACTCCTATTTCACCAGTCTTCAATAAGCGCTTCCTTCACATTTCTGCGACGTCTTGGTGAATTTTTTCTTGTACAATAAATGAAATAGTTTTCTTTGGCTATTTCTTTTCTGATTTTCTAAACTCGGCTTACAAGCAAAACCAGAAGGAAAGGGATCTGAAAAGTACTCATTCCATTTTATGAGTATCTGAAATTTTTCCTTTTTCACTAAGAAACAAACAACTCATGAAGAACCTAAGGGAAAGAGCCCACTCTCACATTTCCTCTCAGTCACCCTCCCAACCTCTCTGTGCTGGATCCTCCTGGCTGACAGCGACCCCCACTTTTGTTCCAGCCCTCCACCCCATGCTCCTGCCACCACCTGGAATTCCTGCATCTCTGAATATCAAGTATGAAGGTCCCTGTTGCTGACTCACCCGCTGTACTTCCAGCCTCTCCGGTAGCCATCCCTCCTTCCCTGCTGATCAGCATCGATAAGGCTGTTCTCCCACAGAAACGTGCCTGGGAATCACCCGGGAGTCTGTTCCCCAGGCTGCACCAGGAACACCTGTCATCTACCCTCGTTTCCTGTTCTTATGAACTGTACTGTCTTTAACTCAGATTCTCTGAGCTAGGTAATATTTTTATATAATTTTCAGGCATATTAGCTGAGTTTTGCATTCAAATTTAAGAAACCACAACAAACTGAGTGAACAATTTGACTGCCACACCTGATACTTATGAAAGAATTCTGGCTTCATAAAATCCCTGATTGAAGGACCCAAAGCATAAGAGTCCTTCTTGTCTTTACCTTTTATCACCCCCATTTTTCTCTTGATAACTTGGGCTCGCTCCCCAAGTGACAGCCACATGAATTGTGGTTATCTCCCCACAGCCTCCGTTGTTGATATCCGGGAGAAAACCCCTATTGATTTCTCCATTGTTTCAGTCAACTCCCGAGTCCCATGCCCTCCTCTGAGTCTGTCCCTCAGTGGAGAGATTGAGACTCCACCTGGATCCACTACCCCTCCTCCACACAGGAAAAATTCAAACTAAGAATGGATGAGACAGGGTTCCTCAGTCACTCCATAGAGTCCACAGTTTCATCCCCCACCATGATGGGCTCTTTGTGACGCTTTGGGAAGAAGTTGAGAAAATTCCCTCCTATTTTATCAATATTTCAGAGAAGTTGAGATTTACACACACAAAATATGTACAAATCCAATTCCTCAGCAATACTGTGAAAATGCCCTCTGTTCATCTAGGGCTGTGTGAAAAGACACCACAAAACTTAGGGAATTAAAACAGCACGATCAGGTCGTCATTCACACATTTGCAATTGGGACATAGCCCCCTCCATGGGCAACAGAGGACAGGTTCTGCTGGGAGCTGAAAACCTCAGGGCCAAGACGCTTGCGCACAGGTAGCGGGGAGTGCTGGGCTGGCTCAGTGGGAGCTCTGACAGGCTGAGGGATGAGATACTGTGATGCACTGAGGCCAGGTCATGCCAGCTCATGAGAGAAAAGATAGGTGTGACACTTTTTATCCCACTCATAGCTAGGAGGATTTGAACCAGAGAGATTTACAAACACTGCATATCAGAGTTTTGTTTTTCCTAGAAAGCTGGTTGCTCTGGGTTCTCTAGCTCTTCCTTGCAGGTGGGTTCAGTTCCTTTTTTTGCAATGCTTAGACTTCCTCCAAGCATTGTAGCTGGGCTTCAAAGGCACCAGCACTCTTAGTATATGTGGGATGCTGGGGGAAAGAAAATCATACACCAAGTGACTTATAAACAACAAAAATACATTTCTCAGTGTTCTGGAGGCTGAGATGTCCAAATCAAGGTGCCAACAGATTTGGTGTGTGGTGAGGACCAGCTTTTTGGTTCATAGATGCTACCTTCTCACTGCTTCCTCACCTGAGGGAATGAATGAAGGAGCTCTCTGGGGCTTCTTCCTCAGGGGCACTAATGCAACTCATGAGGACTCCATCCTCCTGAACATATCACTTCCCAGAAAGCCCCACCTTTTCATGCTGTCACCAGAGGAGGGATTTCAACATATGAATTTCAGAGGGACAAAAACATTCAGGCTGCAGCACCATCCAATACTCAGGAAGTGAAAGATACCAACTTCTTATGACCTTAGCCCAACAAACAGCACGGTGCTAAGTCAGGTGTGTTCAACTGGTCAAGATGTCGCCCAATCTAGATTCAACAGGAGCCATTTTCACCTCCATTTTTATGTGAAAAGAGTCAGGGATTTAGGGCCATATTTTAAAACAGCTCAAGGAAGCTATTTCCTTATGGTTTATTGTAAAATAAACCTGCTGCAATCCTCAACACCAGACACACAGACAGCTTGTGAGAGGCGGCTGGGAAAGGCAGACAAAGGGCAGGGACTTGGAGCTCCTACCTGTCCCAGCTGGATCTGCAGGCCCGGGAGTGACTGTGTGGCACAGGCAGCACCAGGACCCTCCCTGCAGGACAGTGGACAAAGGGCTGAGGGGAGGGACAGCGCGATGCACTCTGAGGAGCTGGGAGGTGGAGGGTCCTCCTCAGAGCTCACCTCTGCGTAGCCCCCGCTGCGCCCCATGGTAACACGCATGCTGTGTTCCATGACTACCCTTTCCTACCGGGTCAAAACCATAACCCCAGGGCCCCGCCCAAGGTCCACACACACTGTGTCTGCTGGGGCCACCAGACACCATAAACATGTGTGAGAATATGTGTGCTGCTCCTGGAAGCTTCTCTCCTCTCACACCTACAACCCCACCCACAGCTTCTCCAGAATGTTTACCCCAGCCTAATGATGTCAAGGTTTTTATTGAGTCTAGACTCGCTTCAATATTCCCTAAAATTCAAATGCGTGTGTCTGAAAAAAACAGCTTCAGCTGCATCTACATATAGTGTCCACAGTGTGGACACTGATTGTCTACACTGGCTGCAATCAGTGGAAAACATCAGGCTGGGGTTGGGGACTATGGATCAACATGGAAGTGAAAGTACTGTAAAAAATCTGTAGACATAACACCTTTTTTGTTTAAACCACAAAATTCTGCCAAGGTTCTGGTGCAGCCAAAAGAGAAAAGTGAAAAGGACCACAGGGAAGAATCTCTCTGTTCTAATTTGAGTTTGGAGTTTGAGAATCACCTGCCGAAGGATGGCGACAATGCCTAGGTGTGACCTCAGTACAGACTGAGACCCTGCTGGGGCTCTGGGCTGCTGAGTCCTGACCGCAGTCTATGGAGGAGGCAAAGATGGGAGCATGGCCATGAGGGAGACACAGAGCAACGTCCCAGCAGATGGTTCCCAGTCCTGCAGCCAAGAATGGCAGGGAAGGAGAGCACAAGACTGGGTTGGGGCAGAGAAGGCCACCCCTCCAGGGACAGGAGCCACCAGTGACTCTGAGCCAGCTGGAGGGTCTCTGTTCTCCCTCAGCTCCCCAAATCGCTCTGGGTGCTGCATGTAAAGCCACCGCCTGGGCCAGGACATATGGGCAGAGCTGCTGCACCCGCTCTCCCTCTTCCTGGACAGTGGCCACGTTTCTGGAGGACACACTCATGGCCCCTCCAGCACTGTTGTAAAGATTCTGGGCATCAATTTGTCATCAGTGGGCTGACAAAGTCCCCTTGCAGTTAAAAACCAAATCCTCACCACTAGTGTCCTAGCCACTTTGCAGCTGGCCCTCCATGTACTGGGACATCGTGTCTTTGGAGACAGCTATACCCCACTTGTCCATTCTGCTGAGGCCCACAAATGCCATCACCCAGAAGCCCTTCACATCCACTGGGGCCACAGCAGGATACAGTCTGTTGCTGGTCCAGCAGGTGATCTCTCTAGTCCATGCCCGGGTCCCGGGTTCTGAGTTTCATGGGGAGGCCCTCACTACCACCCATCATAAGTCTCAGAGCCTCTGGACAAAGCACACCTGTCCTAACTATGAGCTTCTGCACATGTAGTCTTCCAGGGACCGTAGCTCCTTATGCCCTGCGTGGAGCAGGTGTTCTCTTTACGTGGCATTTCTTCACTATCTCCTTTAGAACCACACCTATCATTGATTCAGATGGAGGCTCCCACCTCAGGACATCACAACACGAGGGTGGGTTAAGGGAGTCTCATTTAGTCCATCGTCCCCAAGCCACCAGCCTCCTCAAGCAGCACGGTGGCCTCCTAAAGTCATGGTTATTAATGTCTCTGGATGTGCTATGGACACCCAAGGCACCAAGGTCCTTCCAAGGGCCGTCACTTTTTTAACTCTCAATCCCATGGCCACCACTGCCTCATCACAATTGGGCTAGACGCACTTTGGTGCCTATCTTGGTGATCACAGAAGAGTTAGCTTCTTTTTTCCCTTACAGATAACATCATTTACATGTTCTCCAATAATGAGACCTCCCCATATCATCACAGGACATCCACCATCTCAACATCAAACATATACTGAACAATGGACTGTGGATGGATAGTAAACTACGATCTTCTGAGGATAACCCCCCAGGCCCACTGGCACCCAGCAGGACCACGAGGCTTTTGTTAGACCACACCTCTCCATTTCACATGCAGCTTCTGGCAAAAGCTCCCTTTTTTACCGGTTTTAAAGGTTAGCTAATATTTCCCACTTACTTCTCCTGGCAGGAAGTAGGGATTATTGCTCCAGAACCCACCGAGGGTGCAGTCAGAGGCAGTAACGAGGAGAAGAAGCCTTCAAACTAGAGACACCAACTACGTCAGGCAAAGACCATATGGAAGTGCCATCACCAAACGTGGCCATGGGGGAGAAAGGCTCCAAGGAAAAGTGGGTGCCAGCCAACCCCATCATCAGTGTCAATATAGAAGCACTGGGAAGAAAGCCCTGAGTGACAAGATGTCAGTGTTCTCTATGATTGGCCTTGCTTGGTATCTTATGTACAAATGGCTTGTGGGGTAGCTGTTTAACCCAGGCCTGGCAGCCTAGAGGGCTGCTGGAACAGGACAGCCCTAGTCAGAATTTGTACCCCAGACTGGAAAACTGGGGAATTCCCTGTAAGCCCTGTTACAGGGGCTGCACCCCAGATACAACCTGACCTGTGTCCAAGGCGGGCAACTCAACCCTTAGATATTGAATGGGTCCCATGGCACCAATGCTTAAACACCAGCAGCCCTCACAACCACAGATCGTGTTTTAAGGATGAGGAGGTAGTTCTCTGGATGCACAGGCTTCAATCCAAATGGGCTCATGACGCCGCAGCACACACCCAGACTGCAGCCTGAAGAGTTGGAGCATTGCATTCACAGAAAGCATCCAGACATGATCATGGGCTCAGGGATACACCTGTTCTCCGATGTGTACCAGTGAAGGATGGAAACTCCTATGCCTCCCAGAAAGCACCACTCAAGCTTTTGCTGAATGCTTCTCTGAAGGCCCACAAGGCCTGAGAGGCTGTGCAACACCAGCAGTAAAGTGAATGCCCAGACTCCCACCTCCTTTCTTGGGTGGCCATCTGGAAAGGCCACTCCCACCCTGATGGCTAATGCCTCAGACCAGTTCTTGGCCCAGATGATCCTAGACAATTGTTTAAGCTTAAACTGTTCATTGGCCAAGCAAACAGGTGATAGTCACCTCTGGGGAACCACATGCCGCGTGTACATCCAGTACTCAGGAGAACCCAAAAATGTCTGTTCCACATAGCAACAGAAGCCCAGGTAGCACTCATTCTCACCTGGGTGTTCTCCAACATCCCAGCTCAGCCAAATGGCTTTCATTGCTTTTTATGGTTAGACCCCAGGTCCTCGGGACACTGCTTTAGAAACACATTCCAAATCCTCCTCTGTGTGTAGGTGGCATTCCTATCCCAATCTCTTTGCAGGGTGTATACTATGATACGCAGCCAGGCTGTCCCAGAGGCTTTAAATATTCCCTTGGTGCAGGTAGTTCAGCTTAGCCACAGCCAATGCATCACAGGGTCAACTGTGTTAGGAGCCATTGAGAATCCATAGTTGGTTGCTGCCTGGGCCTGGCCAGGGCTGACCAAGGTAGATGAGAGGTTCCTCTGTGGAGTTCTACTTTAACCTCACCTTCCCACCAAATTTCTCAACTGTCCTTGCCACCACAATTATTTAATGGACCCAACAGAAAGTAACCCCGGAAATTAGGACACCTCATCCCAAAAGACCTTTAAATAGGGGAAGTCCACTTGTGCACGGCTGCTCCTTGCTATAGAAGACCTGGGACAGAGGACTGCTGTCTGCCCTCTCTGGTCACCCTGCCTAGCTAGAGGATCTGTAAGTACTACAAAACTTAAACTTTACACTGAGTTTTCATTATTGAAGCTATGCCTCCAATCTGACCTCTGACTGTGGGGCCACCCCAGAGGGAACCAGCGGGCGAATCCCTGCTAGGAACGTCTGTCCGGACCTCTGGTGACTGCTGGGGACGATGGCTTCCAGCTAACTTAATAGAGAAACTCAAGCAGTTTCCTTCTAAACACACATGTCCTGGTTGACATGTCCAGTAGAGACTATCACAGGTCTTTGGAACATTCTTTTGAGAGAAACCTATTTAGGTCCTTGGTCTGTTTTTCAATCAGGTTGTTTGATTTTTGCTATTGAGTTGTTGGAATTCCTTATGTATTCAGATATTTGCCCCTTCGGCCATGTAGGTTTTGCAAATATTTTCTCTCATTTTCTGGGTTATCTTTTCACTCGGTTGATTGTTTCCTTTGCTGTGCAGATGCTTTAGCGTTAAATGAAGCCACACTTGTCTATTTTCCCTTTTATTGCCTGTGCCTTTGGTGTCATAGCCAAGAAATCATTACCTACATCAATGTCAAAAGCTTTATCCTTCTATACACTTCTAGTAGTTTATGGTTTCAGTTGTTACATTTAGGTTTTCAATTCATTCTGAGTTGATGTTTCTACATGGTGTGAGATAAAGATTTAAATACATACATATATAAAATCATGAGGTAGTGTACACTATAAATATACAATTGTTAATTGTTACTCAAGTCTAAGTAGAGGTGGAAATAATAAACTTTCTTTTTTTTACTTAAACCACTCTGTGTCACTGAGCTGATTTCACCTTTAGCCTGATAAAATCATTGTCCTCTCCACCCTGATTCCTACAGGAGACTACTCACCCCATAACCTCAAAAACCTCTTCATGAGGATGGTAAGTCACCTGAATCCTGAAGTGAATTACTCGCTATTCCATTGGAACTCATATAGGACACCAGAATCTAGACCTCCAGAGAACAGCAGGACCCATCTTCAGAAAATAAGAAGCATTTGTTCCCTGAGCCTGTTGAATCAAAGTGCAATTTCTATTCTTTTTGGAATGTTAAAAAGTGAATCATAATATTTAAGCAGGTGAACCCACGAGTAACATAGCAGGGTCTTTCTTGTCATTATTAGCTCCAACCTAGCACAGACATTAAAGGTACAGATGTATACTAGCATGAAACTGGGAGAACAGGAGCATTCGAGCAACCTTGAGACCAATGGGCCTCTCTTATAAAATGCACACCTCCTCTCACTGAGATTGAGGAAGGTTTCTTGTCTCCGAGCCTTCTCCCAGTAGAGCTATAAATCCAGGCTGGCTCCTCCCTCCCCACACAGCTGCTCCTGCTCTCCCTCCTCCAGGTGACCCCAGCCATGAGGACCCTCGCCATCCTTGCTGCCATTCTCCTGGTGGCCCTGCAGGCCCAGGCTGAGCCACTCCAGGCAAGAGCTGATGAGGTTGCTGCAGCCCCGGAGCAGATTGCAGCGGACATCCCAGAAGTGGTTGTTTCCCTTGCATGGGACGAAAGCTTGGCTCCAAAGCATCCAGGTGAGAGAGGCAGGCATGCAGAGCTGCTAAGTCTAGAGGGAAGGACGGGAGAGAGGTTCCAGAGTTGGGTCTCAGCAGTCTATGTCACTGAGGTGGCTTCACTTAGAATCTCTGGGCATTGATTTTCTCATCTAGAAATTGAACAGAGAGCCAAATAAACATGAGAAACTTTATTTCTCCAAAGACTTGATTCCAAGAAACGTCTGTGAAATTCACTAAGTTTCAGATATGAAGAGACAGACTAGTTATTTCTGGATCTAAACAAGTAGACTTAGTTGTAAAGAGAACATTTTACTCTATCTACAGAAGAGCTTTTAAAAACTGCAGCCAAGCCTGAGGATATGTTCAGGTGTGTGTGTGATGGGGCAGGAATGCAAAAATGAGAGCAAAGGAGAATGAGTCTCAAATTCTGAGTGACAAGCACTGCTCTGCGTGTTTATTCCTATCGACTGAGGTTGTTCGTGCTAACGGCTGCAATGCAGCCAGCATCACCTGTCAGCTAGCATGTGACTTCCCCGAGATTCTTTTTCTTACCCACTGCTAACTCCATACTCAATTTCTCATGCTCTCCCTGTCCCAGGCTCAAGGAAAAACATGGCCTGCTATTGCAGAATACCAGCGTGCATTGCAGGAGAACGTCGCTATGGAACCTGCATCTACCAGGGAAGACTCTGGGCATTCTGCTGCTGAGCTTGCAGAAAAAGAAAAATGAGCTCAAAATTTGCTTTGAGAGCTACAGGGAATTGCTATTACTCCTGTACCTTCTGCTCAATTTCCTTTCCTCATCCCAAATAAATGCCTTGTTACAAGATTTCTGTGTTTCCACCTCTTTAATGTGTGATATGTGTCTGTGTCAAGACACTTGGGATACACGTACCAAAACGCAAAATCAAATTTTTGAACAATATAAAATTCCAAATTCTAGGAATTTCAAGCAGGAGTTTGGGCTTCAGATCCAAATTGAAAAGAAGGCCCATATGACACCACTGATTTCCCCACCCACTGCTCTGCCTTTTCACCCTGCCTCATTTTCTCTGGATCCACTCTCAAAGAGCTCGCGTGTGCTGGGCAAACAATCGGTGTCAGCTTACATTTCATGCAGTCACAAAATCATTACTTCTCCGGGAAAAAAAAACCATCCTCTGTGCTAAAGAATTGGAGTTTCATTGAACAATGTCAGATTGTACATTTTCCTTTTAAGACATAGGGTTACATGAGATCCACGGAAAAAACTTTCATTCAGAGGGAAATGGGTTGTTAGCAAAGGCGGGATACATGGAACAGAAAGCACAGCATCTCACATTGGCACGTCCTCATTAAGAGGACCCTCCAGCCACGTCTACTAAGACCTGGATTTCACAATCATAAAGTTGTCTTCACACCCAGAAAACACACACACACAAATGCTCCACCGCACTTTGCAACGCGCACCCTCTTGTGTTACCCTAAAGCTGCTGAGAACCTGATTCTGCCTGGAAAATACAGCTTCAGAGGGGATAAGGGACAAGGGAGGGAAAGCATTTCACCAGGAACATGGTAGCGTTCTTGTTGCTGCAGGGGGCTGAGGCAGCCCAGGGGCCCAGGTACCCACTGAGACACTGCATGGATATGGAAGCCCACCAAGAACCCTGGGAGGACAGAGTGGGTAATGATCCCAGACTTCTTCTTGTTTAGGTGATGAAGGACACAAATAGGGAATCACGGTGTGAAGCCCAGGAGCCTTCTTTGGCTTCCTGTGACTGCCACGGACTTGGAATCATGTGGTCCCCGAATTAACTTTCCATAGTATTCTGAACTATGAAATGGATCAAGATGGCTGCATCTTGGGGCATCTGCCAGAGGTCCACCTGACTTTCTCCCAAGCATCTGAGGTCTCAGCTAAAACTTCACTTGGTCACTGAGGTCTTTTCTGATCTCTCAACCTTAAATTGCAACAAGATCCCCCTGCTGACCTCCATTCTCCGATTTTCCTCATTGCTAACTATAGAATTGCAACCGTCTCACTCCCTGTACACTTCACTTACTAAACGTAACATTTGCCTCCTTACTCCAGAAGGGAAGCTGCATGTTTTGCTTATTGTTGTACCAGAGTGCATGGATGACTGTAACATAAAGTAGGGGGTTACTAAATTAATTCTGATTACATTAACTAATTGCATCTAATAGCACATAACAATATAAAATTATTTATTAATTGTTATTCCTAAATTCCATAGGAAAAAACTAAATTCAACAGAGGTAGAGCAGTCCATTTTCTAGACCCTATGACAGCACACCTTTAAAAAACAAAATAAATAAAAGTATTCAAGGCTGAAACATGAAAAAACATCATGGGTACTATTTGGCATCATGAAGCTTTAGGACCTTAGAAGAAGCAGGCCATTCCGGCTAAAGCAGGCAAAAAGATTCCATGTGAATCTTCAAGTACAACATCAATATGTTTAAAACATGGAATGACTAAAAGCAGAGGTAGAATGAAATGTTTGGTGGACAGAATGCTATCAGGGCAAGAGCTATGCAGGATGAGGGTGGACCTCCACTGAATTCAGAGGAATGGATGTTGCCAGAGAGAAGGACGGAGTAGAATTCATGCTGATGTGCTGAGAGGCATCCATCAACTCAAGGGAAAGGGGCAGATGAGGACGGAGCCTCCCTGCTCCTCTGTGTGGATAAAGGCACACTGGGAGCACCACATGTGGCTTCTGCTACTGCAGTCTAGGGTGGGCGATGACTGCTGCAAACTCTAGGGACGGAGAATTCAGGGAGAGGTGTGAGGGTCTCCAAACAACCAGGGCAACTTGCTTAGCCTCAAATGAGGCACAACACTGTTTACTGGGATGCACATACACTCTAGGATTAGTGATGACATGCAAGAACTTTTCTACCGGAAATGAGCCATTCATGCGGCAGGACAAGGAAATAAGGAATAAGTTAGATGCCTCATCCCTTTAAATGTAACTACTCAAGGGGACAGCAGCCCTGTCTCTGTAGGCAGGCAGGAGCCTAACTCCAATAAGCACAAACTAGCAAACGCAGATGGCCCAATCACACTGCAAGACTCCCACTACCAACCTCCAGTGCATTTCCGCTAGCTCACCCAGGCCTTAACCTTCCCGCTTTGGCTTCAGGAAAGTTGAGGCCAACGGCTCTCCCTGTTGCAACGTTCTGACTCCCATTTCAACAGTCTTCAATAAGTGCTTCCTTCACATTTTTAAAAGGTCTTGGTTAATTTTTACTTGTACAAAAAATGAAATAGGTTTCTTTTGCTGTTACTGTTCTGATTTTCTAAACTCGGCTTATAAGCAAAACCAGAAGGAAAGAGATCTGAAAAGAACTCATTCCATTTTAGGAATATCTGTATTTTTTCCGTGTTCACGAAAAAAACAAATAACTCATGAAGAAACTAAGGGAAAGAGCTCACTCTAACATTTCCTAGAAGTCAACCTCCCAACATCTCAATTCTGTGTCCTCCTGGATAACAGGGACTGCCACCTCGTTCCAGCCTTCCACCCCATGGCTACTCCCTAACTCCTGCACCACCTGGAATTCCTCCATCTCTGAACATCACTTATGAAATTCCTGTCCCTGACACACCCATTGTCCTCCAGCCTCTCACATAGCCGTCCCTCCTTCTCTGCTGATCAGCATCAATAAGGCTGTTCTCCCCCAGGGCTGTGCATGGGAATCATCCAGGAGTCTCTTCTCCAGGCTGCACCCAGGACACCTGCCATCCGCTCTCATTTCCTATTCTTATGCACTGCACCATTTTGCCTCAGCTTCTCTTATCTGGGTAATTTTTGTTGTATCTTTTTCAGGCATATTAGCGGAGTTGTGCACTCAAATTTAAGAAACCACAACAAGCTGAATTAACATTTTGAATGCCCCACCTGAACAGTGGGTCACACCTGTAATCCAAACACTTCGGGAAGCCAAGGAGGGTGGATCATGAGGTCAGGAGTTCAAGACCAGACAGCGCAACACGGTGAAAACTGTCTCTACTACTAAAAATAGAAAAATTAGCCGGGTGTGGTGGTGGGTGCCTGTAATCTCAGCTACTCAGGAGGCTGAGGCAGGAGAATCGCTTCAACCTGGGAGGTGGAGGTTGCAGTGAGCCAAGATCGCACCACTGCACTCCAGCGTGGGTGACAGATCTACACTCTGCCTCAAAAAAAAAAAAAAAAAAAGAAAAGAAAAAAAAGAAAGAAAGAAAGAAAAGAAAAGAAAGACTTCTGGCTTCATAAAATGCCTGATCCAAGGACTCTAGGCATGAGTTACCTTGTTGTCTTTACCATTTTGTTTCCCGCTTTTTTCTCTTGATCTTAACTTGGGGTCTCTCCCCAGATGACAGCCGTGTGAATAATGGTCATCTTCCCTGGGACTTCATAGCTGATCTCCGGGAGAAAACCCCTACTTCTCTCTCCGTTGTTTCAGCCAGCTCTGGAGTTCCACACCCTCCTCTGAGTCTGTCACTGAGGGGAGAGGTTGAGACTCCACCTGGATCCCACACTACCCCAGCTCCCCACAGGAAAAATTCAAACTAAGAATGGGTGAGACGGGGTTCCTCAGTCTCTCCAAAGAGTCCACAATTCCATGCCCCCACCACAATGGGCTCTTTGTGACACTTTGGGATTCAATTGAGAAAGTTCTCTCCTATTTCATCAATATTTTAGAGAAGCTGAGATTTACACACACAAAGTACAAGTCCAATTTGTCACCAATACTGTGAAAATTGCCCTCTGTTCATCTAGGGCTCTATGAAAAGACACCACAAGACTTAATGGATTAAAACAACATGATCAGGTCTTCATTCACACTTTTGCAATTGGGAGGTGGCTCTCTCCACAGGCATCAGAGGAGAAGTGCTGCTGGGATCTGAAAACCTCAGGCCCAAGACACTTGTGAACAGGTGGCAGGGGGTGCTGGCTCAGCTGCAGCTCTGACAGGGCTCAGGGATGAGACCCTGTGAGGCACTGACGTCAGATCATGCTGGTTCATGAAGGAGGAGATTGGTGTGACACTTTGTATCCCACTCATAGCTAGCAGGATTTGCAACACTTAGACTTCCTCCAAGCATGGTATCCGGGCTTCAAAGACACAAGCAATCTGAGTGTATGTGGAGTGCTGGAAAAAAATACCATACACCAAGTGACTTAGAAACAACAGAAATATATGTCTTGGTGTTCTCGAGGCTGAGAAGTCCAAAACAAGGTGCCAACACACTTGGTGTCTGGTGAGGACCAGTTTTGTGATTCATAGACGGCACCTTCTCACTGAATCCCACTCGCTGCAGATGACATAATTTCATTCTCTTTTATGAATGTAGTATCCCATCATGTATATGTACCACATTTTCTTCATCCAGTCCAACACTGATGGCCATCTAGGTTGACTCCATGTCTTTGTTAGCATGAATGATGCTGCCATGAACATACGAGTACATGTGTCTTTTTGGCAGAATAATTTGTTTTCCTTTGGATATATACCCAGTAGTGAGATTCCTTGGTTGAATGCTGGTTCTATTTTAAGTTATTTGCGAAATCTCTAAACTGCTTTCCACTATGGCTGAACTCATTAACATTCCCCTCAACAGTGTATAAGCGTTCTCTTTCTCTGCAGTCTTGCCAATATCAGTATTTTTTAACTTTTCAATAACAGCCATTCTGACTAGTGTGAGCTGGTATCCCTTTGAGGTTTTATTTTGCATTTCTCTAATGATCAGTAATGTGGAGCATTTTTTCATGTTTCTTGGCCTCTTGTATGTCTTTTTTTGAGAAGTATCTGTTCATGCCCTGGCACGCATTTTAAAGGGCTCATTTCTTTTTTGCTTACTTATTTGTTTAAGTCCCTTGTAGAGGAAAATCACTTTGACCACGAGATCACCACCAACCAGCCTTTCCTTACTGCTACAAATACGGACCTCGCCATCTCCAGTACATGGTGCTGGCTCATGGCCAGTACCCAAACCCTTGACTTGCTGCTTCCCTGACCTCATGCTTTGCTGATTACACCAAAAATGACCTCATTAGAGTGGAATTTTGCTGAGATCACCATTTGCTTTCAGAATAAGCCCATTACTTTATGGTGCAAGGAACCCATAGAGCCTCAGTGAGATTGTAAAGCTGCCCTACAAGCTACGGAAAACTATAGACTTGGGAGAACTATGTGTAAGAATACCACGCCCGAATCTCACCAGCTCTCCAGTGATAACGCTCATGCAGTGCTGTGGAAATGCCTGTGGACTGGAGTGTGCTCTGTGTGCAGGAAGCAGGTCCAGGTTTCACTTCCGCAGGACATGGGACATTTCCAGAACCCGGAGATCTTCCTCTCGCTCATATACACCCCTTCATATTTAGTCCCTATAACCTCATCATTGCGACCCTACAGGCACCTACTAATGCCCTGGAAGCTAAAACTGTCACCAGAGCCTCAGTTTCCCCGAAGAGCCCAAATTTCTTCTTATGCTGGGGTGAGACTGGTGCTCACTTCCTCCAAAGCTGAAGTTCCTGGGCCTGCCACACATCAGGAATTCACTGCTTCCTCAGAGGGACAGGAGACCCCACTGCTCTGCCACAGCGACCGCCTCTAGCAAAGCTTGAGATGCCTCTTCTACCTTAAGGTTGAGGGAGATGCTTTAGTTATCACTCCACTGCCCCCAGGCCTCCACCGGCCGATGCCTGCTGCCTTCACACAGAGCTGCAGGGGGGGCCCTGAGCACCCAGCCTGTGGGACCAGCGCTGTGCACGACATTCCCATGGTGGCAGGGGCTGCCCGGCGTGCACACTGGGTTCAGCAACCTCACCACAGGTATTTATTGCCTCTCGAGCGACTGCATTCTTTTCTCATCTCCAGAAACCTTACCCCATCTACCTGACTAGGAGAAGGAGGAGGACGGTGGATAGTGGTACATTTTAAAATGTGCTCTAGTCTTCTTAGGAATTCTCCTCAAATAACACAGGAGGAACCACAGGAGTTTGATCCTGCATATTTCAAGCGACCACTGATCATCCCACTCATGCTATGTGCATGGAGACTCTTAAGCCTGCCCAGAATGGGCTTAAGAGCAAGGCATTGGAGCACAGAGCACCAGGTGATGCAAGCTAACACCAAACTCACTGCCACCTTGGCCGCCTCCCTGAGAGACTTTCAAGAGACATTAGGTCTCCAGCAGGAAACTCAGGAGTTCTTGGCCCCAGTGGTCCTAGACACTCGTTTGGCCTTAAACTGTCCATTGCCCAAGCAATGAGGCAATTGTCCACTCCAGGGAACCACATACTATGTGCACATCCTTAACGAACCCAGCAAAACCTGCCCTGCCTGCTAACACAAGCCCACGTGGGATTCAGTCTCAACCAGGTGGTCTGCAACATCCCAGCCCACCAATCGGCTTTGGTGTCTTGTTATGGTTAGAGCTCAGGTACTGGGCAGGCTGGTTCAGGGGAAGATTCCTCATCCTCTCCTGTGCATGGGTGTCAAACTTGAACTTGTCTCTCTAACAGAGTGTGTCCTGTGATATGCAGGCCAGGCTCTCCTGGGGGCTTTAAATATTCCCTTGCTGCAACTAGCTCAGCATCAGCCACCAGCACAGGCATCTCGGGGTCCATTGTGTTAGGAGTCATGGAGAATCCATCGTTGGTTGCTGCCTGGGCCTGGGCAAGGTTGACAAAGGCAGATGAGGGGACCCTCCATGGACTCCTGTCCGAACCCCAGCTTCCCATCAAATTTCTCAACTGTCCTTCCCACCAGAGTTATTTAATAAACCCAATGGAAAGTAACCCAGGTTATTAGGACACCTGATCCCAAATGACTCTTAAATAGGGAAGTCCTCTCCTGTTTGTGCACGGCTGCTCTTGCTACAGGAGACCCGGGACAGAGGACTGCTGTCTGCCCTCCCTCTTCACTCTGCCTACCTTGAGGATCTGTAAGTAACCCAAGACTTAAAACTTTCACATTGAGGTTTCAACATTGAACCTGTGCCCCCAGTCTGACCTCTGACTCCTGGGCCACCCCAGAGGGACCTTGTGGGTGAATCTCTTGCTGCGCATTTCTCTCTGAACCTCTGGTGGCTGCTGGGAGCTTTAGCTACCGGCTCAATTAATAGAGAACCTCAAGGAATTTCCTTCTAAATCTACGTGTCCTACTTGACACGTCCAATACAGACAACAATAGCTCCTTAGAACATCCTTTTATTTGGAGAGAAGCCTATCCTGCTCCTTGGCCTGTTTTTCAAACAGGTTACTTGTTATTTGCTTTTGAGTTGTTTGACTTCCTTATGTATTTAGATATTTGCCCCTTCTACCACCTAGGGTTTGCAATTATTGTCTTTCATTTTCTGGGTTGCTTTTTCACTCAGTTGATTATTTGTTTGTTGGTTTGTTTTTTGACGTGCAGATGCTTTAGAGGTCAGTGCAGCCCCATTTGTCTATTTTCCCGTTTATTGCCTGTGTCTTTGGTGTCATAGCAAAGATATCGTTATCGACACCAATGACAAAGCGTTATCTTCATATGTTCCTCTCGTCATTTTATGGTTTCAGGTCTATGTTTGGGTCTTCGATCATTTTGAGTTGATTTGTGTATATAGTATATGATAAAAAACCACATGTACATGAACATCAAATCCTAAGGTGGTATACAGGAGATATATACCGTTTTAAATTCTTATTCATATCTCAATAGAGCCAGAAACACATTTTTGGCTGTAGACGAACTTTTTGCCTTAATATCACTGTGTTCATGTCACCTATCGCCTGATAGGGTCATTGTCCTCTTCACACTGGCCCCTACAGGAGGCTACTCACCCCATGCCTTCATGAGAGTGGTCACGCCCTTGATGCCTGCAACAAATGACTCTTCACTTGATAGGAATTCACGCCTGCTGCCAGAGTGTAGACCTGTACAGAGTAGTGGGGCCATCTGCAGGAAAAGAGGCATTTGTATCCTGAGCTTATCGAACAAAAGCACTGCTGTTATCCTTTGGTAGAATAGTAAAAAGTCAATATATAATGAAGTGAGAAACAAGAAAAACATGCCAGGATCCTCGTCGTCACCATCCTCTCCAACCCAGCACAAACACTACACGTAGAGATTCAAACTAGAGTGAAAGCTGGGAGAGCAAAGGAAGAAAACAGGGACATTGAGACCAACGGGATCCCACACAGTCTCCAACGAAATGCACACCTCCTTTCTCTGAGAGGGTTCCAGGTTTCTTGTCTCCGAGCCTTCTCTCTGCAGACCTATATATCCAGGCTAACTCCTCTCTCCCGACTCGTCTGCTCCTGCTCTCCCTCCTCCAGGTCACCCCAGCCATGAGGACCTTTGCCCTCCTCACTGCCATGCTTCTCCTGGTGGCCCTGTAGGCTCAGGCAGAGCCACTTCAGGCAAGAGCTGATGAAGCTGCAGCCCAGGAGCAGCCTGGAGCAGATGATCAGGAAATGGCTCATGCCTTTACATGGCATGAAAGTGCCGCTCTTCCGCTTTCAGGTGAGACAGGCCGGCATGCAGAACTGCAGGGTCTAGTGGGATGGATGGGAGACAGAGTGTGGAATCGAGTCTCAATGGTCCATGTCACTTCGGGGGCTTCATTTAGCATCTCTGGGCCTTGGTTTTCTCATCTATAAATTGAATAGAGAGCCAAATAAATCTTTCTGTCTTTAAAGACTTGAGGCTGCTCTGCCTGGAGAGTAACCATTCTTTTATTCCTTTACTTCCTTAACAATCCTTTCACTTTAGAAAATCTATAAAATTGAAAAATAAAACTTGACGTCAAGATATGTCTGTGAAATTCAGTAGGTTTTAGATATGAAGAGACAGTCTGACTCGTTCTTTCTGGATTCACACAAGTAGACTTCATTACAAGGAGAATATTTTACTGTATCTGTAGAATAGTTTTTAAAAAGTAGAGCCAAGCCCAAGAGTGTGTTCAGCTGTGTGTGTGACGGGGCAGAAGCACAAAAATGAGCTCAAATGAGAATGAGTCTCAAATCCTGTGTGACCAGCACTGCTCTGTGTATTTATTCCTATTGACTGAGGCTGTTCATGCTGCTGGCCCCAATGCAGCCAACATCACTCATTACCTAGCACATGACTTATCCAAGATTCCCTTTACCATCACTGCTGACCTTCTGATCCATTTATGATGATTTCCCTGTGTCCTCAGACTCAGCGAGAGGCTTGAGGTGCATTTGCGGAAGAGGAATTTGCCGTTTGTTATAACGTCGCTTTGGGTCCTGCGCCTTTCGTGGTACACTCCACCGGATCTGCTGCCGCTGAGCTTGCAGAATCAAGAAACATAAGCTCAGAATTTACTTTGAGAGTTAAAAGAAATTCTTGTTACTCCTGTACCTTGTCCTCCATTTCCTTTTCTCATCCAAAATAAATACCTTGTTGCAAGATTTCTCTCTTTACATCTCTTTCACATTTGATGTGTCTTTGTGTCTCAAGACACTTGGGATGCACTTACCAGAATCCTAAGTTTTTAAACAAAATAAAATTTGAAATTCTAGGAATTTCAAGCAGGCGTTTGAGCTTCAGACTCAAATGGAAATGAAGGCCCAAATCATACCACCCATCTCCCCATCCACTGCTCTGTCTTTTCACTCTGCCTCATTTTCTCTGGATCCACTCTCAAAGAGCTCCCGTGTGCTGGGCAAATAATCAGTGTCAGCTTAAAGTTCACGCAGTCACAAAATCATTCCTCCTCAGGAGAAACCAGCATCATCTGTCCCAAAGAACTGGGGTTTTATTGAACGTGTCCAGGTCACACATTTGCCTTTTAAACCATTGGGTTACAGGAGATTCACTGAAACAACTTCAAGAGGGAAATGGGTTGTTAGCAAAGGCGGGATGCATGGAACAGAAAGCACAGCGGCCCACACTGGGATGTCCACATTAAAAGCACCCTCCAGCCAGGTCTACTAAGACCTGGATTTCACACCCATAAAGTTGTCTTCACACCCAGAAAACACACAAGCACAAATGCTCCACTACACTTTGCAAGACGCACTCTCCTCTGTTGCCTTAAAGCCGCTGAGAATCTGATTCTGCCTGGAAAATACAGCTTCAGAGGGGATAAGGGATGAGGCCGGGAAAGCACTTCACCAGGAAAAGGGTAGCCTTCTTGTTGCTGCAGGGTGCTGAGGCAGCTCAGGGGTCCAGGCACCCCACTGAGACACTGCATGGATGGGGAAGCCCATGCAGATCCCAAGGAGGACAGAGTGGGTGCCAACCTCCAGTGCATTTCCCCTAGCTCACCCAGGGTTTCACCTTTCCTGCCTTTGTCTTCAGGGAAGTTGAGGCCAACGGCTCTCCCTATTGCAACGTTCTGACTCCTATTTCACCAGTCTTCAATAAGCGCTTCCTTCACATTTCTGCGACGTCTTGGTGAATTTTTTCTTGTACAATAAATGAAATAGTTTTCTTTGGCTATTTCTTTTCTGATTTTCTAAACTCGGCTTACAAGCAAAACCAGAAGGAAAGGGATCTGAAAAGTACTCATTCCATTTTATGAGTATCTGAAATTTTTCCTTTTTCACTAAGAAACAAACAACTCATGAAGAACCTAAGGGAAAGAGCCCACTCTCACATTTCCTCTCAGTCACCCTCCCAACCTCTCTGTGCTGGATCCTCCTGGCTGACAGCGACCCCCACTTTTGTTCCAGCCCTCCACCCCATGCTCCTGCCACCACCTGGAATTCCTGCATCTCTGAATATCAAGTATGAAGGTCCCTGTTGCTGACTCACCCGCTGTACTTCCAGCCTCTCCGGTAGCCATCCCTCCTTCCCTGCTGATCAGCATCGATAAGGCTGTTCTCCCACAGAAACGTGCCTGGGAATCACCCGGGAGTCTGTTCCCCAGGCTGCACCAGGAACACCTGTCATCTACCCTCGTTTCCTGTTCTTATGAACTGTACTGTCTTTAACTCAGATTCTCTGAGCTAGGTAATATTTTTATATAATTTTCAGGCATATTAGCTGAGTTTTGCATTCAAATTTAAGAAACCACAACAAACTGAGTGAACAATTTGACTGCCACACCTGATACTTATGAAAGAATTCTGGCTTCATAAAATCCCTGATTGAAGGACCCAAAGCATAAGAGTCCTTCTTGTCTTTACCTTTTATCACCCCCATTTTTCTCTTGATAACTTGGGCTCGCTCCCCAAGTGACAGCCACATGAATTGTGGTTATCTCCCCACAGCCTCCGTTGTTGATATCCGGGAGAAAACCCCTATTGATTTCTCCATTGTTTCAGTCAACTCCCGAGTCCCATGCCCTCCTCTGAGTCTGTCCCTCAGTGGAGAGATTGAGACTCCACCTGGATCCACTACCCCTCCTCCACACAGGAAAAATTCAAACTAAGAATGGATGAGACAGGGTTCCTCAGTCACTCCATAGAGTCCACAGTTTCATCCCCCACCATGATGGGCTCTTTGTGACGCTTTGGGAAGAAGTTGAGAAAATTCCCTCCTATTTTATCAATATTTCAGAGAAGTTGAGATTTACACACACAAAATATGTACAAATCCAATTCCTCAGCAATACTGTGAAAATGCCCTCTGTTCATCTAGGGCTGTGTGAAAAGACACCACAAAACTTAGGGAATTAAAACAGCACGATCAGGTCGTCATTCACACATTTGCAATTGGGACATAGCCCCCCTCCATGGGCAACAGAGGACAGGTTCTGCTGGGAGCTGAAAACCTCAGGGCCAAGACGCTTGCGCACAGGTAGCGGGGAGTGCTGGGCTGGCTCAGTGGGAGCTCTGACAGGCTGAGGGATGAGATACTGTGATGCACTGAGGCCAGGTCATGCCAGCTCATGAGAGAAAAGATAGGTGTGACACTTTTTATCCCACTCATAGCTAGGAGGATTTGAACCAGAGAGATTTACAAACACTGCATATCAGAGTTTTGTTTTTCCTAGAAAGCTGGTTGCTCTGGGTTCTCTAGCTCTTCCTTGCAGGTGGGTTCAGTTCCTTTTTTTGCAATGCTTAGACTTCCTCCAAGCATTGTAGCTGGGCTTCAAAGGCACCAGCACTCTTAGTATATGTGGGATGCTGGGGGAAAGAAAATCATACACCAAGTGACTTATAAACAACAAAAATACATTTCTCAGTGTTCTGGAGGCTGAGATGTCCAAATCAAGGTGCCAACAGATTTGGTGTGTGGTGAGGACCAGCTTTTTGGTTCATAGATGCTACCTTCTCACTGCTTCCTCACCTGAGGGAATGAATGAAGGAGCTCTCTGGGGCTTCTTCCTCAGGGGCACTAATGCAACTCATGAGGACTCCATCCTCCTGAACATATCACTTCCCAGAAAGCCCCACCTTTTCATGCTGTCACCAGAGGAGGGATTTCAACATATGAATTTCAGAGGGACAGAAACATTCAGGCTGCAGCACCATCCAATACTCAGGAAGTGAAAGATACCAACTTCTTATGACCTTAGCCCAACAAACAGCACGGTGCTAAGTCAGGTGTGTTCAACTGGTCAAGATGTCGCCCAATCTAGATTCAACAGGAGCCATTTTCACCTCCATTTTTATGTGAAAAGAGTCAGGGATTTAGGGCCATATTTTAAAACAGCTCAAGGAAGCTATTTCCTTATGGTTTATTGTAAAATAAACCTGCTGCAATCCTCAACACCAGACACACAGACAGCTTGTGAGAGGCGGCTGGGAAAGGCAGACAAAGGGCAGGGACTTGGAGCTCCTACCTGTCCCAGCTGGATCTGCAGGCCCGGGAGTGACTGTGTGGCACAGGCAGCACCAGGACCCTCCCTGCAGGACAGTGGACAAAGGGCTGAGGGGAGGGACAGCGCGATGCACTCTGAGGAGCTGGGAGGTGGAGGGTCCTCCTCAGAGCTCACCTCTGCGTAGCCCCCGCTGCGCCCCATGGTAACACGCATGCTGTGTTCCATGACTACCCTTTCCTACCGGGTCAAAACCATAACCCCAGGGCCCCGCCCAAGGTCCACACACACTGTGTCTGCTGAGGCCACCAGACACCATAAACATGTGTGAGAATATGTGTGCTGCTCCTGGAAGCTTCTCTCCTCTCACACCTACAACCCCACCCACAGCTTCTCCAGAATGTTTACCCCAGCCTAATGATGTCAAGGTTTTTATTGAGTCTAGACTCGCTTCAATATTCCCTAAAATTCAAATGCGTGTGTCTGAAAAAAACAGCTTCAGCTGCATCTACATATAGTGTCCACAGTGTGGACACTGATTGTCTACACTGGCTGCAATCAGTGGAAAACATCAGGCTGGGGTTGGGGACTATGGATCAACATGGAAGTGAAAGTACTGTAAAAAATCTGTAGGCATAACACCTTTTTTGTTTAAACCACAAAATTCTGCCAAGGTTCTGGTGCAGCCAAAAGAGAAAAGTGAAAAGGACCACAGGGAAGAATCTCTCTGTTCTAATTTGAGTTTGGAGTTTGAGAATCACCTGCCGAAGGATGGCGACAATGCCTAGGTGTGACCTCAGTACAGACTGAGACCCTGCTGGGGCTCTGGGCTGCTGAGTCCTGACCGCAGTCTATGGAGGAGGCAAGGATGGGAGCATGGCCATGAGGGAGACACAGAGCAACGTCCCAGCAGATGGTTCCCAGTCCTGCAGCCAAGAATGGCAGGGAAGGAGAGCACAAGACTGGGTTGGGGCAGAGAAGGCCACCCCTCCAGGGACAGGAGCCACCAGTGACTCTGAGCCAGCTGGAGGGTCTCTGTTCTCCCTCAGCTCCCCAAATCGCTCTGGGTGCTGCATGTAAAGCCACCGCCTGGGCCAGGACATATGTCTGTGGCAGAGCTGCTGCACCCGCTCTCCCTCTTCCTGGACAGTGGCCACGTTTCTGGAGGACACACTCATGGCCCCTCCAGCACTGTTGTAAAGATTCTGGGCATCAATTTGTCATCAGTGGGCTGACAAAGTCCCCTTGCAGTTAAAAACCAAATCCTCACCACTAGTGTCCTAGCCACTTTGCAGCTGGCCCTCCATGTACTGGGACATCGTGTCTTTGGAGACAGCTATACCCCACTTGTCCATTCTGCTGAGGCCCACAAATGCCATCACCCAGAAGCCCTTCACATCCACTGGGGCCACAGCAGGATACAGTCTGTTGCTGGTCCAGCAGGTGATCTCTCTAGTCCATGCCCGGGTCCCGGGTTCTGAGTTTCATGGGGAGGCCCTCACTACCACCCATCATAAGTCTCAGAGCCTCTGGACAAAGCACACCTGTCCTAACTATGAGCTTCTGCACATGTAGTCTTCCAGGGACCGTAGCTCCTTATGCCCTGCGTGGAGCAGGTGTTCTCTTTACGTGGCATTTCTTCACTATCTCCTTTAGAACCACACCTATCATTGATTCAGATGGAGGCTCCCACCTCAGGACATCACAACATGAGGGTGGGTTAAGGGAGTCTCATTTAGTCCATCGTCCCCAAGCCACCAGCCTCCTCAAGCAGCACGGTGGCCTCCTAAAGTCATGGTTATTAATGTCTCTGGATGTGCTATGGACACCCAAGGCACCAAGGTCCTTCCAAGGGCCGTCACTTTTTTAACTCTCAATCCCATGGCCACCACTGCCTCATCACAATTGGGCTAGACGCACTTTGGTGCCTATCTTGGTGATCACAGAAGAGTTAGCTTCTTTTTTCCCTTACAGATAACATCATTTACATGTTCTCCAATAATGAGACCTCCCCATATCATCACAGGACATCCACCATCTCAACATCAAACATATACTGAACAATGGACTGTGGATGGATAGTAAACTACGATCTTCTGAGGATAACCCCCCAGGCCCACTGGCACCCAGCAGGACCACGAGGCTTTTGTTAGACCACACCTCTCCATTTCACATGCAGCTTCTGGCAAAAGCTCCCTTTTTTACCGGTTTTAAAGGTTAGCTAATATTTCCCACTTACTTCTCCTGGCAGGAAGTAGGGATTATTGCTCCAGAACCCACCGAGGGTGCAGTCAGAGGCAGTAACGAGGAGAAGAAGCCTTCAAACTAGAGACACCAACTACGTCAGGCAAAGACCATATGGAAGTGCCATCACCAAACGTGGCCATGGGGGAGAAAGGCTCCAAGGAAAAGTGGGTGCCAGCCAACCCCATCATCAGTGTCAATATAGAAGCACTGGGAAGAAAGCCCTGAGTGACAAGATGTCAGTGTTCTCTATGATTGGCCTTGCTTGGTATCTTATGTACAAATGGCTTGTGGGGTAGCTGTTTAACCCAGGCCTGGCAGCCTAGAGGGCTGCTGGAACAGGACAGCCCTAGTCAGAATTTGTACCCCAGACTGGAAAACTGGGGAATTCCCTGTAAGCCCTGTTACAGGGGCTGCACCCCAGATACAACCTGACCTGTGTCCAAGGCGGGCAACTCAACCCTTAGATATTGAATGGGTCCCATGGCACCAATGCTTAAACACCAGCAGCCCTCACAACCACAGATCGTGTTTTAAGGATGAGGAGGTAGTTCTCTGGATGCACAGGCTTCAATCCAAATGGGCTCATGACGCCGCAGCACACACCCAGACTGCAGCCTGAAGAGTTGGAGCATTGCATTCACAGAAAGCATCCAGACATGATCATGGGCTCAGGGATACACCTGTTCTCCGATGTGTACCAGTGAAGGATGGAAACTCCTATGCCTCCCAGAAAGCACCACTCAAGCTTTTGCTGAATGCTTCTCTGAAGGCCCACAAGGCCTGAGAGGCTGTGCAACACCAGCAGTAAAGTGAATGCCCAGACTCCCACCTCCTTTCTTGGGTGGCCATCTGGAAAGGCCACTCCCACCCTGATGGCTAATGCCTCAGACCAGTTCTTGGCCCAGATGATCCTAGACAATTGTTTAAGCTTAAACTGTTCATTGGCCAAGCAAACAGGTGATAGTCACCTCTGGGGAACCACATGCCGCGTGTACATCCAGTACTCAGGAGAACCCAAAAATGTCTGTTCCACATAGCAACAGAAGCCCAGGTAGCACTCAGTCTCACCTGGGTGTTCTCCAACATCCCAGCTCAGCCAAATGGCTTTCATTAGTTTTTATGGTTAGACCCCAGGTCCTCGGGACACTGCTTTAGAAACACATTCCAAATCCTCCTCTGTGTGCAGGTGGCATTCCTATCCCAATCTCTTTGCAGGGCGTATACTGTGATACGCAGCCAGGCTGTCCCAGAGGCCTTAAATATTCCCTTGGTGCAGGTAGTTCAGCTTAGCCACAGCCAATGCATCACAGGGTCAACTGTGTTAGGAGCCATTGAGAATCCATAGTTGGTTGCTGCCTGGGCCTGGCCAGGGCTGACCAAGGTAGATGAGAGGTTCCTCTGTGGAGTTCTACTTTAACCTCACCTTCCCACCAAATTTCTCAACTGTCCTTGCCACCACAATTATTTAATGGACCCAACAGAAAGTAACCCCGGAAATTAGGACACCTCATCCCAAAAGACCTTTAAATAGGGGAAGTCCACTTGTGCACGGCTGCTCCTTGCTATAGAAGACCTGGGACAGAGGACTGCTGTCTGCCCTCTCTGGTCACCCTGCCTAGCTAGAGGATCTGTAAGTACTACAAAACTTAAACTTTACACTGAGTTTTCATTATTGAAGCTATGCCTCCAATCTGACCTCTGACTGTGGGGCCACCCCAGAGGGAACCAGCGGGCGAATCCCTGCTAGGAACGTCTGTCCGGACCTCTGGTGACTGCTGGGGACGATGGCTTCCAGCTAACTTAATAGAGAAACTCAAGCAGTTTCCTTCTAAACACACATGTCACATGTCCTGGTTGACATGTCCAGTAGAGACTATCACAGGTCTTTGGAACATTCTTTTGAGAGAAACCTATTTAGGTCCTTGGTCTGTTTTTCAATCAGGTTGTTTGATTTTTGCTATTGAGTTGTTGGAATTCCTTATGTATTCAGATATTTGCCCCTTCGGCCATGTAGGTTTTGCAAATATTTTCTCTCATTTTCTGGGTTATCTTTTCACTCGGTTGATTGTTTCCTTTGCTGTGCAGATGCTTTAGCGTTAAATGAAGCCACACTTGTCTATTTTCCCTTTTATTGCCTGTGCCTTTGGTGTCATAGCCAAGAAATCATTACCTACATCAATGTCAAAAGCTTTATCCTTCTATACACTTCTAGTAGTTTATGGTTTCAGTTGTTACATTTAGGTTTTCAATTCATTCTGAGTTGATGTTTCTACATGGTGTGAGATAAAGATTTAAATACATACATATATAAAATCATGAGGTAGTGTACACTATAAATATACAATTGTTAATTGTTACTCAAGTCTAAGTAGAGGTGGAAATAATAAACTTTCTTTTTTTTACTTAAACCACTCTGTGTCACTGAGCTGATTTCACCTTTAGCCTGATAAAATCATTGTCCTCTCCACCCTGATTCCTACAGGAGACTACTCACCCCATAACCTCAAAAACCTCTTCATGAGGATGGTAAGTCACCTGAATCCTGAAGTGAATTACTCGCTATTCCATTGGAACTCATATAGGACACCAGAATCTAGACCTCCAGAGAACAGCAGGACCCATCTTCAGAAAATAAGAAGCATTTGTTCCCTGAGCCTGTTGAATCAAAGTGCAATTTCTATTCTTTTTGGAATGTTAAAAAGTGAATCATAATATTTAAGCAGGTGAACCCACGAGTAACATAGCAGGGTCTTTCTTGTCATTATTAGCTCCAACCTAGCACAGACATTAAAGGTACAGATGTATACTAGCATGAAACTGGGAGAACAGGAGCATTCGAGCAACCTTGAGACCAATGGGCCTCTCTTATAAAATGCACACCTCCTCTCACTGAGATTGAGGAAGGTTTCTTGTCTCCGAGCCTTCTCCCAGTAGAGCTATAAATCCAGGCTGGCTCCTCCCTCCCCACACAGCTGCTCCTGCTCTCCCTCCTCCAGGTGACCCCAGCCATGAGGACCCTCGCCATCCTTGCTGCCATTCTCCTGGTGGCCCTGCAGGCCCAGGCTGAGCCACTCCAGGCAAGAGCTGATGAGGTTGCTGCAGCCCCGGAGCAGATTGCAGCGGACATCCCAGAAGTGGTTGTTTCCCTTGCATGGGACGAAAGCTTGGCTCCAAAGCATCCAGGTGAGAGAGGCAGGCATGCAGAGCTGCTAAGTCTAGAGGGAAGGACGGGAGAGAGGTTCCAGAGTTGGGTCTCAGCAGTCTATGTCACTGAGGTGGCTTCACTTAGAATCTCTGGGCATTGATTTTCTCATCTAGAAATTGAACAGAGAGCCAAATAAACATGAGAAACTTTATTTCTCCAAAGACTTGATTCCAAGAAACGTCTGTGAAATTCACTAAGTTTCAGATATGAAGAGACAGACTAGTTATTTCTGGATCTAAACAAGTAGACTTAGTTGTAAAGAGAACATTTTACTCTATCTACAGAAGAGCTTTTAAAAACTGCAGCCAAGCCTGAGGATATGTTCAGGTGTGTGTGTGATGGGGCAGGAATGCAAAAATGAGAGCAAAGGAGAATGAGTCTCAAATTCTGAGTGACAAGCACTGCTCTGCGTGTTTATTCCTATCGACTGAGGTTGTTCGTGCTAACGGCTGCAATGCAGCCAGCATCACCTGTCAGCTAGCATGTGACTTCCCCGAGATTCTTTTTCTTACCCACTGCTAACTCCATACTCAATTTCTCATGCTCTCCCTGTCCCAGGCTCAAGGAAAAACATGGCCTGCTATTGCAGAATACCAGCGTGCATTGCAGGAGAACGTCGCTATGGAACCTGCATCTACCAGGGAAGACTCTGGGCATTCTGCTGCTGAGCTTGCAGAAAAAGAAAAATGAGCTCAAAATTTGCTTTGAGAGCTACAGGGAATTGCTATTACTCCTGTACCTTCTGCTCAATTTCCTTTCCTCATCCCAAATAAATGCCTTGTTACAAGATTTCTGTGTTTCCACCTCTTTAATGTGTGATATGTGTCTGTGTCAAGACACTTGGGATACACGTACCAAAACGCAAAATCAAATTTTTGAACAATATAAAATTCCAAATTCTAGGAATTTCAAGCAGGAGTTTGGGCTTCAGATCCAAATTGAAAAGAAGGCCCATATGACACCACTGATTTCCCCACCCACTGCTCTGCCTTTTCACCCTGCCTCATTTTCTCTGGATCCACTCTCAAAGAGCTCGCGTGTGCTGGGCAAACAATCGGTGTCAGCTTACATTTCATGCAGTCACAAAATCATTACTTCTCCGGGAAAAAAAAACCATCCTCTGTGCTAAAGAATTGGAGTTTCATTGAACAATGTCAGATTGTACATTTTCCTTTTAAGACATAGGGTTACATGAGATCCACGGAAAAAACTTTCATTCAGAGGGAAATGGGTTGTTAGCAAAGGCGGGATACATGGAACAGAAAGCACAGCATCTCACATTGGCACGTCCTCATTAAGAGGACCCTCCAGCCACGTCTACTAAGACCTGGATTTCACAATCATAAAGTTGTCTTCACACCCAGAAAACACACACACACAAATGCTCCACCGCACTTTGCAACGCGCACCCTCTTGTGTTACCCTAAAGCTGCTGAGAACCTGATTCTGCCTGGAAAATACAGCTTCAGAGGGGATAAGGGACAAGGGAGGGAAAGCATTTCACCAGGAACATGGTAGCGTTCTTGTTGCTGCAGGGGGCTGAGGCAGCCCAGGGGCCCAGGTACCCACTGAGACACTGCATGGATATGGAAGCCCACCAAGAACCCTGGGAGGACAGAGTGGGTAATGATCCCAGACTTCTTCTTGTTTAGGTGATGAAGGACACAAATAGGGAATCACGGTGTGAAGCCCAGGAGCCTTCTTTGGCTTCCTGTGACTGCCATGGACTTGGAATCATGTGGTCCCCGAATTAACTTTCCATAGTATTCTGAACTATGAAATGGATCAAGATGGCTGCATCTTGGGGCATCTGCCAGAGGTCCACCTGACTTTCTCCCAAGCATCTGAGGTCTCAGCTAAAACTTCACTTGGTCACTGAGGTCTTTTCTGATCTCTCAACCTTAAATTGCAACAAGATCCCCCTGCTGACCTCCATTCTCCGATTTTCCTCATTGCTAACTATAGAATTGCAACCGTCTCACTCCCTGTACACTTCACTTACTAAACGTAACATTTGCCTCCTTACTCCAGAAGGGAAGCTGCATGTTTTGCTTATTGTTGTACCAGAGTGCATGGATGACTGTAACATAAAGTAGGGGGTTACTAAATTAATTCTGATTACATTAACTAATTGCATCTAATAGCACATAACAATATAAAATTATTTATTAATTGTTATTCCTAAATTCCATAGGAAAAAACTAAATTCAACAGAGGTAGAGCAGTCCATTTTCTAGACCCTATGACAGCACACCTTTAAAAAACAAAATAAATAAAAGTATTCAAGGCTGAAACATGAAAAAACATCATGGGTACTATTTGGCATCATGAAGCTTTAGGACCTTAGAAGAAGCAGGCCATTCCGGCTAAAGCAGGCAAAAAGATTCCATGTGAATCTTCAAGTACAACATCAATATGTTTAAAACATGGAATGACTAAAAGAAGAGGTAGAATGAAATGTTTGGTGGACAGAATGCTATCAGGGCAAGAGCTATGCAGGATGAGGGTGGACCTCCACTGAATTCAGAGGAATGGATGTTGCCAGAGAGAAGGACGGAGTAGAATTCAGGCTGATGTGCTGAGAAGCATCCATCAATCCAAGGGAAAGGGCCAGATGAGAACGGAGCCTCCCTGCTCCTCTGTGTGGATAAAGGCACACTGGGAGCACCACATGTGGCTTCTGCTACTGCAGTCTAGGGTGGGCGATGACTGCTGCAAACTCTAGGGACGGAGAATTCAGGGAGAGGTGTGAGGGTCTCCAAACAACCAGGGCAACTTACTCAGCCTCAAATGAGGCACAACACTGTTTACTGGGATGCACATACACTCTAGGATTAGTGATGACATGCAAGAACTTTTCTACCGGAAATGAGCCATTCATGCGGCAGGACAAGGAAATAAGGAATAAGTTAGATGCCTCATCCCTTTAAATGTAACTACTCAAGGGGACAGCAGCCCTGTCTCTGTAGGCAGGCAGGAGCCTAACTCCAATAAGCACAAACTAGCAAACGCAGATGGCCCAATCACACTGCAAGACTCCCACTACCAACCTCCAGTGCATTTCCGCTAGCTCACCCAGGCCTTAACCTTCCCGCTTTGGCTTCAGGAAAGTTGAGGCCAACGGCTCTCCCTGTTGCAACGTTCTGACTCCCATTTCAACAGTCTTCAATAAGTGCTTCCTTCACATTTTTAAAAGGTCTTGGTTAATTTTTACTTGTACAAAAAATGAAATAGGTTTCTTTTGCTGTTACTGTTCTGATTTTCTAAACTCGGCTTATAAGCAAAACCAGAAGGAAAGAGATCTGAAAAGAACTCATTCCATTTTAGGAATATCTGTATTTTTTCCGTGTTCACGAAAAAAACAAATAACTCATGAAGAAACTAAGGGAAAGAGCTCACTCTAACATTTCCTAGAAGTCAACCTCCCAACATCTCAATTCTGTGTCCTCCTGGATAACAGGGACTGCCACCTCGTTCCAGCCTTCCACCCCATGGCTACTCCCTAACTCCTGCACCACCTGGAATTCCTCCATCTCTGAACATCACTTATGAAATTCCTGTCCCTGACACACCCATTGTCCTCCAGCCTCTCACATAGCCGTCCCTCCTTCTCTGCTGATCAGCATCAATAAGGCTGTTCTCCCCCAGGGCTGTGCATGGGAATCATCCAGGAGTCTCTTCTCCAGGCTGCACCCAGGACACCTGCCATCCGCTCTCATTTCCTATTCTTATGCACTGCACCATTTTGCCTCAGCTTCTCTTATCTGGGTAATTTTTGTTGTATCTTTTTCAGGCATATTAGCGGAGTTGTGCACTCAAATTTAAGAAACCACAACAAGCTGAATTAACATTTTGAATGCCCCACCTGAACAGTGGGTCACACCTGTAATCCAAACACTTCGGGAAGCCAAGGAGGGTGGATCATGAGGTCAGGAGTTCAAGACCAGACAGCGCAACACGGTGAAAACTGTCTCTACTACTAAAAATAGAAAAATTAGCCGGGTGTGGTGGTGGGTGCCTGTAATCTCAGCTACTCAGGAGGCTGAGGCAGGAGAATCGCTTCAACCTGGGAGGTGGAGGTTGCAGTGAGCCAAGATCGCGCCACTGCACTCCAGCGTGGGTGACAGATCTACACTCTGCCTCAAAAAAAAAAAAGAAAAGAAAAGAAAAAAAAGAAAGAAAGAAAGAAAGAAAGAAAGAAAGAAAGAAAGAAAGAAAGAAAGAAAGAAAAGAAAAGAAAGGCTTCTGGCTTCATAAAATGCCTGATCCAAGGACTCTAGGCATGAGTTACCTTGTTGTCTTTACCATTTTGTTTCCCGCTTTTTTCTCTTGATCTTAACTTGGGGTCTCTCCCCAGATGACAGTCGTGTGAATAATGGTCATCCTCCCTGGGACTTCATAGCTGATCTCCGGGAGAAAACCCCTACTTCTCTCTCCGTTGTTTCAGCCAGCTCTGGAGTTCCGCACCCTCTTCTGAGTCTGTCACTGAGGGGAGAGGTTGAGACTCCACCTGGATCCCACACTACCCCAGCTCCCCACAGGAAAAATTCAAACTAAGAATGGGTGAGACCGGGTTCCTCAGTCACTCCAAAGAGTCCACAATTCCATGCCCCCACCACAATGGGCTCTTTGTGACACTTTGGGATTCAATTGAGAAAGTTCTCTCCTATTTCATCAATATTTTAGAGAAGCTGAGATTTACACACACACACAAAGTACAAGTCCAATTTGTCACCAATACTGTGAAAATTGCCCTCTGTTCATCTAGGGCTCTATGAAAAGACACCACAAGACTTAATGGATTAAAACAACATGATCAGGTCTTCATTCACACATTTGCAATTGGGAGGTGGCTCTCTCCACAGGCATCAGAGGAGAAGTGCTGCTGGGATCTGAAAACCTCAGGCCCAAGACACTTGTGAACAGGTGGCAGGGGGTGCTGGCTCAGCTGCAGCTCTGACAGGGCTCAGGGGTGAGACCCTGTGAGGCACTGACGTCAGATCATGCCGGTTCATGAAGGAGGAGATTGGTGTGACACTTTGTATCCCACTCATAGCTAGCAGGATTTGCAACACTTAGACTTCCTCCAAGCATGGTATCCGGGCTTCAAAGACACAAGCAATCTGAGTGTATGTGGAGTGCTGGAAAAAAATACCATACACCAAGTGACTTAGAAACAACAGAAATATATGTCTTGGTGTTCTCGAGGCTGAGAAGTCCAAAACAAGGTGCCAACACACTTGGTGTCTGGTGAGGACCAGTTTTGTGATTCATAGACGGCACCTTCTCACTGAATCCAACTCGCTGCAGATGACATAATTTCATTCTCTTTTATGAATGTAGTATCCCATCATGTATATGTACCACATTTTCTTCATCCAGTCCAACACTGATGGCCATCTAGGTTGACTCCATGTCTTTGTTAGCATGAATGATGCTGCCATGAACATACGAGTACATGTGTCTTTTTGGCAGAATAATTTGTTTTCCTTTGGATATATACCCAGTAGTGAGATTCCTTGGTTGAATGCTGGTTCTATTTTAAGTTATTTGCGAAATCTCTAAACTGCTTTCCACTATGGCTGAACTCATTAACATTCCCCTCAACAGTGTATAAGCGTTCTCTTTCTCTGCAGTCTTGCCAATATCAGTATTTTTTAACTTTTCAATAACAGCCATTCTGACTAGTGTGAGCTGGTATCCCTTTGAGGTTTTATTTTGCATTTCTCTAATGATCAGTAATGTGGAGCATTTTTTCATGTTTCTTGGCCTCTTGTATGTCTTTTTTTTGAGAAGTATCTGTTCATGCCCTGGCACGCATTTTAAAGGGGTCATTTCTTTTTTGCTTACTTATTTGTTTAAGTCCCTTGTAGAGGAAAATCACTTTGACCACGAGATCACCACCAACCAGCCTTTCCTTACTGCTACAAACACGGACCTTGCCATCTCCAGTACACGGTGCTGGCTCATGGCCAGTACCCAAACCCTTGACTTGCTGCTTCCCTGACCTCATGCTTTGCTGATTACCCCAAAAATGACCTCATTAGAGTGGAATTTTGCTGAGATCACCATTTGCTTTCAGAATAAGCCCATTACTTTATGGTGCAAGGAACCCATAGAGCCTCAGTGAGATTGTAAAGCTGCCCTACAAGCTACGGAAAACTATGGACTTGGGAGAACTGTGTGTAAGAATACCACGCCCGAATCTCACCAGCTCTCCAGTGATAACGCTCATGCAGTGCTGCGGAAATGCCTGTGGACTGGAGTGTGCTCTGTGTGCAGGAAGCAGGTCCAGGTTTCACTTCCGCAGGACATGGGACATTTCCAGAACCCAGAGATCTTCCTCTCGCTCATATACACCCCTTCATATTTAGTCCCTATAACCTCATCATTGCGACCCTACAGGCACCTACTAATGCCCTGGAAGCTAAAACTGTCACCAGAGCCTCAGTTTCCCCAAAGAGCCCAAATTTCTTCTTATGCTGGGGTGAGACTGGTGCTCACTTCCTCCAAAGCTGAAGTTCCTGGGCCTGCCACACATCAGGAATTCACTGCTTCCTCAGAGGGACAGGAGACCCCACTGCTCTGCCACAGTGACCGCCCCTAGCAAGGCTTGAGATGCCTCCTCTACCTTAAGGTTGAGGGAGATGCTTTAGTTCTCACTCCACTGCCCCCAGGCCTCCACCGGCCGATGCCTGCTGCCTGCACACAGAGCTGCAGGGGAGGCCCTGAGCACCCAGCCTGTGGGACCAGCGCTGTGCATGACCTTCCCATGGCAGCAGGGGCTGTCTGGCCTGTACACTGGGTTCAGCAACCTCACCATAGGTATTTACTGCCTCTCGAGTGACTGCTTTCTTTTCTCATTTCCAGAAACCTTATCACATCTACCTCACTATGAGAAGGAGGAGGAGGGTGGATAGTGGTACATTTTAAAATGTGCTCTAGTTTTCCTAGGACTTCTCCTGAAATAACACAGGAGGGACCACAGGAGCTCAATCCTGCATATCTCGAGTGACCAGTGATCTTCCCACTCACGCCGTGTGTATGGAGGCTCTTAAGCCTGCCCAGAATTGACTTAAGAGCAAGGTATTTGAGAACACAGCACCAGGTGATGTAAGCTAACACCCATCTTGCTTCCACCTTGGCCGCCTCCCTGAGAGACTTCCAAAAGACATTAGATCTCAAGCAGGAAACTCAGGAGTCCTTGGCGCCAGTGGTCCTAGACACTCGTTTAGCCTTAAACTGTCCATTGCCCAAGCAACGAGGCAATTGTCCGCTCCCGGGAACCACATGCTGTGTGCACATCCTTAACAAACCCAACAAAACCTGCCCTGCCTGGTAACACAAGCCGACGTGGGATTCAGTCTCAACCAGGTGGTCTGCAACATCCCAACCCAGCCAATCGGCTTTGATGTGTTGTTACGGTTAGAGCACAGGTACTTGGGAGGCTGGTTCAGGCAAGATTCCTCATCCTCTCCTGTGCATGGGTGTCTGTCGTAACTTGTCTCCCTAACAGAGTGTATCCTGTGATATGCAGGCCAGGCTCTCCTGGGGGCTTTAAGTATTCCCTGGGTGCAATTACCTCAGCCTGAGCCATCAGCACAGGCATCTCGGGGTCCATTGTCTTAGGAGTCATGGAATCTATCATTGGTTGCTGCCTGGGCCTGGCCAGGGCTGACCGAGTTAGATGCGGGGTTCTCTGTGGACTCATGTCTACACCACAGCGTCCCTCCAAATTTCTCAACTGCCCTTGCCACCAGAGTTATTTAATGTACCCAACAGAAAGTAACCCAGGATATTAGGATACCTGATCCCAAATCACCCTTAAATAGGGAAGTCCCCTCCTGTTTGTGCACGGCTGCTCTTGCTACAGGAGACCAGGGACAGAGGACTGCTGTCTGCCCTCTCTGGTCACTCTGCCTAACTTCAGGAGCTGTAATTAACACAGACCTTAAACTCTCACATTGAGGTTTCAACATTGAGCCTGTGCCCCCAGTCTGACCTGTGACTCCTGGACCACCCCAGAGGGACCTAGTGGGTGAATCCCCTGCTGTGCATTTCTCTCTGAACCTCTGGTGGTTGCCTGGGGCATTGGCTACCAGCTAAGTTAATAGAGAAACTCAGGAAATTTCCTTCGAAATACGCGTGTCCTACTTGACGTGTCTAACAGAGACAATAGTAGCGCCTTGAAACATTATTTTATTTTGAGAGGAGCCTATCCTGCTCCTTGGCCTGTTTTTCAATCAGGTTATTTGTTATTTGCTATTGAGTTGTTTGACTTACTTATGTATTTGGATATTTACCCCTTCTACCACTTAGGGTTTGCAAATATTTTCTCTCATGTTCTGGGTCACTTTTTCACTCAGTTGTTTGTCTTTTTGATTTTTGCCATTCAGATGCTTTAATGTTCAATGCAGCCCCACTTGTCTATTTTTCTTTTCATTGCCTGTGTCTTTGCTGCCATAGCAAAGATATCATTACCAACATCAACGTCAAAGCATTATCTTCATATGTTCCTCTCATCATTTTATGGTTTCAGGTCTATGTTTGGGTCTTCAAAACATTTTGAGTTGATTTGTGTACCTAGTATATGATAAAAAACCACATGTATATGAACATCAAATCCTAACGCAGTATACAGTAGATCTGTACCATTTTTAATTCTTATTCATATCTCAGTAGAGCTGGAAAAATTTCTTTTGGATGTAGATGAACTTTTTACCTCGATGTCACTGTGTTCATTTCACCTATCACGTGATAGGGTCATGGTCCTCTTCACACTGGCTCCTACAAGAGACTACTAACCCCATGACTTCATGAGGGTGGTCACGCCCTTGATGCCTGCAACAAATGACTCTTCACTTGATAGGAATTTATGCCTGCTGCCAGAGTGTAGACCTCCAGGAAGTAGTGGGGCCATCTGCAGAAAATGACACATTTGCTCCCTGAACTTACTGAACAAAAGCACTGCTGTTATCTTTTGGTTATTAAAAAGTAAATATGGAATGAAGTGAGAAACAGGAAAAACATGCCAGGATCCTCATCTTCACCATCTTCTCCAAACACCTGATCCATCTACTCACACTTTCTAGTGTGAATAGAGATTCACACTACAATAAAAGCTGAGAGATCAAAGGAGGAAAAGAGGGACACTGAGACCAAAGGGATCCCACACAATCCCCGATGAAATGCACACCTCCTCTCACTGAGAAGTTTCAAAGTTTCTGGTCTCTGAGCCTTCTCTCTGCAGACCTATAAACCCAGGCTAACTCCTCTCTCCCCACACATCTGCTCCTGCTCTCCCTCCTCCAAGTCTCTGTAGCCATGAGGACCCTTGCCCTCCTCACTGCCACCGTTCTCTTTGTGGCCCTGCAGGCTCAGGCGGAGCCACTTCGGGCAAGAGCTGATGAAGCTGCAGCCCAGGAGTAGCCTGGAGCAGATGATCAGGAAGTGTCTGTTTCCTTTACATGGGATGAAAGCGCTGCACTTCCACTTTCAGGTGAGACAGGCCGGCATGCAGAGAGCTGCACAGTCTAGAGGGTTGGACGGGAGAGAGAGTCTGGAATCGAGTCTCAATGGTCCATGTCACTTAGGTGGCTTCATTTAGCATCTCTGGTCCTTGGTATTCTCATCTATAAATTGAAGAGAGAGCCCAATAAATCTAACAGGTTTTCTGTCTTTAAAGACTTAAGGCTGCTCTGCATGGAGAGCAGCCATTATTTTACTCTTTTACTTTCTTAATAATCCTTTCACTTTAGAAAAAATAAATAAAAAGGAAAGACTTGATTCCAAGATATGCCTGTGAAACTCAGTAGGTTTAAGATATGAAGAGACAGTCTGACTACTTCTTTCTGGATCTAAACAAGTAGATTTCATTATAAGGAGAATATTTTACTGTATCTATAGAATGGTTTTTTAAAAGTAGAGCCAAGCCTAAGAGTGTGTTCAGGTGTGTGTGTGATGGGGCAGAAGCACAAAAATGAGAGCAAATGAGAATGAGTCTCAAATCCTGTGTGACCAGCACTGCTCTGTGTATTTATTCCTATTGACTGAGGTTGTTCATGCTACCGGCCCTAATGCAGACAACATCACTCATCAGCTGGCACGTGACTTCTCCAAGATTCCCTTTACAACCCACTGTTGACCTTGGTGATCCATTTCTGATGCTGTCCCTGTGTCCCCAGGCTCAGGGAGAGGCTTGAGGTGCATTTGCAGACGAGGAATTTGCCATTTCTTTCAACGTCGCTTTGGGTCCTGTGCCCTTCCTGGTAGATTATACCGGATCTGCTGCTGCTGAGCTTGCAGAATCAAGAAAAATAAGCTCATTATTTACTTTGAGAGTAAAAGAAATTCTTGTTATTCCTGTACCTTGTCCTTAATTTCATTTTCTCATCCTAAATAAATACCTTATCGCAAGATTTCTGTCTTTACATCTCTTTCACATTTGATGTGTCTTTGTGTCTCAAGACACTTGGCATGCACCTACCAGAATCCTAAGTTTTTAAACAAAACAAAATTCCAAATTCTAGGAATTTCAAGCAGGAGTTTTGGCTTCAGACTCTAATTGAAAAGAAGGCCCATATGACACCACCAATCTCCCCATCCACTGCTCTGTCTTTTCACTCTGTCTCATTTTCTCTGGATCCACTCAAAGAGCTCCCTCCCGTGTACTGGGCAAACAATCGGTGTCAGCTTAAAGTTCATGCAGTCACAAAATCATTACTTCTCCGGGAAAACCACCATCCTCTGTGCTAAAGAATTGGAGTTTCATTGAACAATGTCAGATTGTACATTTTCCTTTTAAGACATAGGGTTACATGAGATCCACGGAAAAAACTTTCTGTAAGAGGGAAATGTGTTGTTAGCAAAGGTGGGATGCATGGAACAGAAAGCACAGCAGCTTACACTGGCATGTCCTCATTAAGAGCACCCTCCAGCCATGTCTACTAAGACCTGGATTTCACATCCATAAACTCTTCTTCACACCCAGAAAATGCACACACACAAATGCTCCACTGCACTTTGCAACAGGCACTCTCTTGTGTTGCCTTAAAGCTTCTGAGAACTGAATCTGCCTGGAAAATACAGCTTCATAGGGGATAAGTGATGAGGGAGGGAAAGCATTTCACCGGGAAAATCGTAGCCTTCTTGTTGTTGCAGGGTGCTGAGGCAGCTCAGAGGTCCAGGCACCCCACTGAGACACTGCATGGATGGGGAAGCCACCAACACCAACCACAAATGCCCAGACCCCAGGAGGAAGGAGTAGGCATTCCCCACGTCCACCTCATGCAGATTCTGAGCAGGTCTCGGCCCCAGACTGAGGCTCTGCCTGTCTGAAGTGGCAGCTCAGGGATCCAGGCACCCCACTGAGATGCTGCATGGCTGGGGAACTCAATACAGATCTTAGGGACTATAGATGAGCCTATGACTGACACATAAATGGTCCCAGCTCTACCTCTTCTTTAGAGAAGGAAGGACACACATTAAGATTGAGAATGCAATGGCCAGACAACATTCCTTGGGTTCCTATAACTGCCACTGACTTGAAGTCACATGGTGCTTGCTTTAACTCTGCATACTGCTCCTAACTGTCCGCTGGGCTGGGCTGACTCCCTCACACGGCTTTTGCACTTCACCCAGAAGTCCACCTTTCTTGCACCCCAGATCCTGGAGTCTCTGCTAAAACTTCCCTTTGTCACTGAGGGCTTTGCTGATTTCTCAATTTTAAATTGCAACTAGTTCCCCCTGGAAACCTCAATCCCCTTCTTCTCTTATTTTAAACTGTAGAGTTTCACACCATCTTACATTCTGTACATTTCACCTGCTTTCTGTAATGTTTGCCTCCCTACTCTAGAAGGTGAGCTGCAAGTTTTACTCATTGTTGGGCCACAGTACACAGACGACTCCCTAATAAATAGTAGAGGATCAGCAAATTCATTATGATTACATTAATTAGTCATATCTAACATCACATATTATTACAAAATTACATTGTTATTACAAAACTTCGTAGAATAAACCTGACACCTATGGGGATAAAGCACCCATGTGCCTAGTCCATGTGACAGCATTGCTTTAAAAATCAATAAAAATCATTTAAACCAACAGGAGAATATCATGAGTAGAAAATGGCTTTGTGAAGCATCACTACCTTCTAATGAAGAACTAGCCATTTTGGCCTGTAGTGGCAAGACAAGAGTTTATGATATATCTTTAACTGAAACATACAAGATATTGAAAAATTCAATACATTAAAAAGAAGAGGTAGAGCAGTATTCTAGGTAAAGAAAATGGCATTGGGACAAGAAGTATGAAGGGTCAGATAGACCTCCAGTGAATTTAGAGGAATTGCTTTTGCAACAGAGAAGAGTAGAGCAGAATTCCGGCCGACATGGTGAGAAGTATCCATCAATCCAAGGGAAGGGGGCAGATGAGGACGGAGCATCCCATCGTCCTCAACTGGGGCACCACATGTGGCTTCTGCTACTGCAGTCCAGGGTGGCCAATGAAAGCAGCAAACTCTAGGGACGGAGAATGCAGGGAGAGATGTGAGGGTCTCCAGACAACCAGGGTAATTTTCGCAGCCTCAAATAAGACCACGAAATGATTATTGAAAACACAAACTCTGTATGTACACTGAAGACCTACTAGGCATTTTAAAGAATCCACTCATGTGATCGAACGATAAAGAATAAGTCAGAGGTGGGCCATGTTTTCACAATGTGATTATCCCAAGACATAGCATCCCTGTCTCATTGTAGGGCTTCCCCTGTGAGGCTCTGAATCCCTACAGGGCATGGAAGCACAAAGAAAAGTGTGCTTGGCAGTTTCATTTCCACTCACCCCCTTCTATTCTTAAGCCCTCATCCTTAAGATGTGAAGCTGTGTCTAGAAAATCTCCAGGAATCTTCTCATCCACAATTTCCAGTCTAAACTCACTTGCCATTCCCCATGTTTACAACCTTCCTTCAGTGAGCACAGTCTACACAGCGTCCTACTGAACGTCTTCATACATTTCCTCTACACACTGTTCTCCACACTTGGAACTTAATCTCTCACCTCTCTCCTTGCCCCAGTCCTGTCCTGCTTCAAGAAGGACATGAAGCCTCTACTGCTCCACAGTGTCACTTGACTTTAGTTAGGCACTTACTGGGGACACGTTTTTTGGCACCAATGACAGTTGTAAGACAATTTTTCCATGGGTGGGGGGGCTGAGGGATTGTTTCTGGATGAAACTATTCTACCTCGTATCATCAGGCATTAGTTAGATTCTGATAAGGAGCACACAGCCTAGATCCCTCGAGTGCACAGTTCACAATAGGGTCCACATTCCTATAAGAATCGAATGTCACCGTTAATCTGACAGGAGGTAGAGCTCAGGCGGTAATGTTCGCTCACCTCCTTCTGTGTGCCCCGGTTCCTAACAGGCCATGGACCGGTACTGGTCCTCAGCACAGGGGTTGGGAACCCATGCCATAAGCAGATGAAGGGATTTGGAAAAAGGGGCCTGGGATTCCAACCTAGCTTTGACGATGCTGGACCTTTATCCTTGGAGGCAACACTTTAATCCTATGGATCAAACTATAGTATTCTGTAAAATGAGAACACTAATATGTTCTTCCCATTTATGATGGGTTGAAGGCAGCATTGTCTGACATCATAAAAGTGCTATTAATTGGATAACTCCTATAGGCCAGACAGTATTCTCAAAACACAAAAAGATTTAATATACTAATATTAGCTAATATGAATTGATTACTAAGAAATATCCATCCATTATAATAACTAATACTCACATTAATCCTACTAACTCTCAATTACCATTAAATATTTTTTCCAGAAATATACATTAAGGAGAAAATGAACATTAGACAGATTATTTACCTTAATCAAAGTCAAAAATTATTGAGCAACAAGACCGATGCCAAATTCCATATACTTCATTCATACCCTATACTCTCTATCCTCTGAATTCTGCAGTGCTGGCTTCTGTAAGCTGCTGGGTTATTTGTGTTCTGAGCCTAGAACCTGACAGCTGCTGATGCTCAAGGGATATTTGCTGACTGAGAGTCTTACATGAGCATCACAGGCTCTCCTCAGCTCAAGCCTTTGTAAAGCCCCTCCTTTGGGATTTCATGTGAAGCATCTGGGATCTGATATTTTGGTCCACATCCTTTAAGTAGCTGAAGTCAAGTTTATTACCAGACGCCACCAGTCAGAATTCCCATTGATCATCATTACTGAGTAAAGAGACTTATTTCTCTCAGAAAATGGTAGCTAGGAGTACTGTTGACCTCTCCACAGACTGGAGATAATGATATGGCCAGCTGGATGCACCCATCAGGGTCTACAGGTGCATGAGATTGTAGCAAGAACAGGTCCGCAAGACTGCAATTCATCTTGGGGTCCAGCCCCTCCTGTGCAGAAGCAGGATCTGAATGTCTCTGAGGAGGGAAGAGACATGGGCTTCCTGTGTGTATAAGTCAGTCAGGTGCAAGATCAGAGATAAGGGCCTTCAGAAATGGAATTCTGTGCTTACAATGAAATGTGTGTACTTTGGGGAAGACTGAGGCACAGCACAGTGGGACAGAAGAGGTGAAACAGACCACACAGAGCACCTTTGTTGCTACAATGTCGCTTTGATGTTTCTCTGATCTAGCAGCTTCATCTACGGCCATGTTTCCTACACACTTGTTGGGCCTCTGTATGTGCCATTCATATGTCCAGTTGGTATGGATCCTGATAGCCCTACCTGGGACAGCACAGCCTCCTCAGGGAGGGTGGCAGCAGATGGAAAGGCAACCCTGACTCATAGCACAGAGCATGAACGAACACATGCAAGACTGAGTTTTACAAGGTTAAGTGGGAAAGACACAAAACTCAGAAAGCAACAAATAAATTTTAAATCTACATAAAAATAACTACACATCAAAAGAAACCCTATAGAGAATGACAAACTCTAAAAATATTTCTAATACCCATGACAAAGTGTTAATTTCAAACTATATAAACAGATGCTACCAGTCAATAAAAATAAATAGGCCAAGAAGGTTTAAAAAAAAAAAAGCACTTCAGTGAAAATAAATACAAGTGCTTCTTGGGCATTAAATCCTCTTGAGCCTAATTTACATGAAAAATGCAAACCAAGACTCCACTGTGATATCAAATTTTGCTTATCACTTTAGAAAAGATTTAAAAAGCTCTATAATGCAAGTACCAGCTGCTTTCAGCCACAAAGACCAGGAAACCCAAATAAACAGTGGATTTCAAAGGCCAGATCATGTTTCTCCTAAGTCGTGACACAACCAGAGGTGGGCAAACAGGAGTGGGTGCAGTATCTCAACCATGGCCTCAAGAACCAAACAGTCTTGTATCTTTCTGCTCCTCCATCCATATGGAGGAATTGTCTTCTTCATGGTAAAAAGACAGCTGTTTCTGCAAGTCCAAGTGCTTCCACGATCCAAGAAGAAAAAAGGAAGACCACATAAAACAATAATGGAAAATTATAACAGGAAAACAGAAATTTATTTCATTATTTTAAAGACTACCCCTCTTAGGGATTATCTTTTATTGCTCAGAACAGAGCTGTCACTGAGCTGCAAGAGAGTCTAAGACGTCAAGTATTCCTAGAGGAACATATTGCTGCCCTAAACATAGGCAGGAAGAAAAGGCAATGACAATTGGTAAAAATTAGGTTGGTGCAAAAGTAATTGCAGTTTCGGATCATGAATTTTAAATCATTATAACTAGGCTCCAACACAGCTTTGTTAATCAAAATAGAAACCATTACAATCAACACATTTTTGCCAACAAGAAATAAGTTTGTTTATTCCTGTGGCATAAAAATCCGTGCTTCTGGATTCAATGAACTCTTGGAAAACATTTTCTGCATCCCGCTGGTTGTGGAAGCATTTTCCTTGCAAAAAAAGTTGTCCAGATGCTGAAAGAAGTGGTAGTCGGTTGGCGAGAGGTCAGGTGAATATGGCAGATGAGGTAAAGCTTCGTAGCCCAATTTGTTCAGCTTTTGAAGCATTAGTTGTGTGACATGCTGTTGGGTGTTGCATTGATAAGAATTGGGCCCTTTCTGTTCAGCAATGCCGGCTGCAGGCATTGTAGTTTTTGTAGTTTTTGATGCATATCATGGATTTGCTGAGCATATTTCTCAGATGTAATGGTTTCTCGGGGATTCAGAAAGCTGAATCAGTAGTGGATCAGACAGGCAGCAGACTACCAAACAGTGACCATGACCTTTTTATGGCGCAAGTTTGGCTTTGGGAAGTACTTTGGAACTTCTTCTTGGTCCAACCATTGAGCTGGTCTCCGCTGGTTATCATATGAAATCCACTTTTTGTTGCACATCACAATCTGATCAAGAAATGGTTCGTTGTTGTTTCGTAGAATAAGAGAAGACGACACTTCAAAGCGACGTTTTTTTTATTTTCTGTCAGCTCGTGAGGCACCCACTTATTTAGCTTTTTCACCTTTCCAATTTGCTTCAAATGCTGCACAACTGCAGAATGGTTGATGTCGAATTCTTTGGCAACTTTTTATGTAGTTGTAAGCAGATCAGCTTCAATGATTGTTCTCAATTGGTTGTCGTCAACTTCCAATGGCAGGCCACTATGCTCCTCATCTTCAAGGGTCTCGTCTCCTTTGCAGAACTTCCAGAACCACCACTGCACTGTAAGTTGGCTAGTGCAGTGGGCCAAAATGCAATGTCCTGGACCAAAGGCATTGTTGATGTTGAGAGTTGTCTCCACTGCCTTACGACTTATTTTGAATTCAACTAAGAAAATTGCTGGAATTTGCTTTTTGTCTAACATCATTTCCATAGTGTAAAATAAATATAAAATAGACAGAAACTAATAAGTCATTAGCAAAAAAAAAATAAAGTGAGCAATGTGCATTAAAATGGTCTATAATATAACCACATTTATTTAAGAATGTATTCCAATATCAAACGGCAAATTTCAACAATGCAAAAACTGGAACTACGTTTGCACAAAACAGGGCCTTCTAAAAGAAATTCCACTGGGCTCAGTGATGGTTGGAGTGATTTTTGTTTTTAGTGTATTGAACAATCTTTAGTGAGGACAATGTAACAATAAACTCAAAATATTTAAGACATGTTCTTTAACCCAGAATTCTACTTCTAAAGACATATTCAAAAGATATTGTCACTTATGGGCAAACTGATGTCTATAAAATTATATTCATTGCTGTTTAAAATTGTCATGGCAAAGCTTAGAAATATACAAATTATGACAACTTGACAATATTTTCCCAGTATAAAAATAGTAAAGTGATGGCATGTGCGAACGCTGGAAAAGTATAGGGAATAATTGTAACGTTGAAGCTCGATGTGTTTGATATACAAAGTGTACAAGACACAGCATTAGAGGGAAAAAGCAAGTGTGGAAGAATGTGTAAAATTGGGAAGTGGTGGTTTCCAAGAGCAGAGCTGCAGGGCTGGGGGAACAGACGGGAGCCTATTACCCTTTCTACCTGTTGTTCCGTCTGCATGATTTAAGATTTTATAATTAAAACAATCACAAAGATCCTAGAAGAGGGCTATAGGCATGTCAATTGTTTCGATATTTCTTAAAGTACAGATATGTTAATGATAGAAATTTTACCTGATCTGTCCAAATGACATTTGTTTCTTAAAATTAACCCACCATTTGGCTTTAGTTTTACTTATTCTTGACCTAGTATCCTAATGAGCTCATTTCACCTGTAGCCTGATTAAGTCTTTTTGTCCTCACACCAGCCCCAGGAGGAGGCTACACACCCTATAACCTCTTCATGAGGGTGGAAATGTCCCTGAATTCTCCACTGCTTTAATTTTCTATGCCACTGGGTTCAGATCTGGGGCTCCAGACAGTGGCAGGGCCCATCTTCAGAAAATAAGAGGCATTTGTTCCCCAACTTAATGAATGAAATCACGGTTTCTTTACATTTTTCAATATCAAAAAGAAAATATTCAAGTAGATTGTAAACAGAAAAATAAATAAGGGTACTCAGCCTCACTATCAGCTTGGATCCAGTCCAGACACTAAACATAAAGCCTCAAGCTATGATGAAAGCTGGGAAAACACCAGAACACAAAAGGGACCTGGAGGGCAAGGGTAGCCCTGCCACAACCAATCACAAGCTCCACCTCCTGTCACTGCAGCATCTGTCTCAGGCCTTCTCCCAGTAGAGCTATAAATCCAGGCTTGCTCCTCACTCCCCACACATCCCCTCCTGCTATCCCTCCTCCAGATGACCCCAGCCATGAGGACCCTCACCCTCCTCACTGCCATTCTCCTGGTGCCCCTCCAGGCCCTGTCTGAGCCACTCCAGGCAAGAGCTGACTAGGCTGCAGCCCAGGAACAGCTTGGGGCAGACGACCAGGACTTTACCATCTCCTTCACTGGGGACACAAGCTCAGGTTTTAGAGCTTCAGGTGAGAGCCGCCAGCATTGCAGAGCTAGGAGTCTAGAGAGGAAAACCAGGCACCTCTAGAATCAGACCCAACAGCTGGCTCTTTCTCTTAGGTGATCACCTCCCTAGGCCTCAATTTCCTCATGTGTAGACTAAAAGGAAAGAACCAGATGATACTCCAGGGATGACTTTTCTCCGAAGATTTTTGAGTCTATGACAATTCTGAGAAGCACACTTATTTTATGCTCTGCAGAAACATACTGGGCCATCTTCCCTGCATCATTGATGAGAGCCCACTCTTGAAGAAACATGTTTCACTTTGTCTATTAGAAGAGTTTTAGAAACTAGCAAGAGGCCTATGAGTGTGATCAGATGCCTTGGTGATGGAGCAGGACTACAAAAAGGTGAGCAAATGAGAATGCGTCTCTAATCCTGCCTGTGAGCAGCACTGCTGTGTACATTGATTCCTACTGATTCAGCTGATCTTGCTGCTGCTCTGATGTGGCCACTGTGATTAACGCAATCAGCCCAGCAGGTAACTGCACGGGGATTCTGTCTACCACCCACATCTGACCCCAGTCCTAATGCCTGATGCTCTCTGTATCCCCAGGCCCAAGAACCCTCTTGAGATGCTCTTGCAGAATAAGAGATTATCATCTTCAAGAACGCAACTATGGAACCTGCACCTCCGGTGAGATTCACTACAAATTCTGCTTCCTCTGAGCTTGTGGAACAGAAGAAAGTAAGTTCATAACTAGCTTTCAGACATAGAAGATAACTTTCATTACTACTGTACTTGGTCTCCAGCTTCCTTTCCTCATCTCTCGTAAAGTCCTTGTAGCAAGTTTTGTGTTTGCACCTCTTTAATGTTTGATATGTGTCTTAGTCAAGACCATGGGATGCAAGTACCAGAACACTAAATTCTACATGTTAAACAAAAGCCAGTTCCAATTCTAGGAATATTGGAGATGAACAAAGGCTTCAGACACACATTGTTAGGAAAGCTCAAATGATGCTGCTCATCTCCCCATCTACTGCTCTGCCTTTTCACTCTGCCTCATTTTGATTGGATTCATGCAAAGATAATGCTTACGTGTTCCATAAACCATCATTGTCAGCTTCAAGCTTATACAGCCATAACACTGCTACTCCTCAGGAAAAGCCAGCACGTTCTTTCCAGAAGTGTTTGAGTTTCCCTGAGCAGTTCTGGATCGTACATCTGCTTTTTAGACCTGACATGGAATCAGCTCCATGGGAAAAAAAGAATTCAATTAAAGTGGAACTGGCTGTTACAAAGACGTGATGAGTAGAACAGAAAGCACAGAGGCACCCCTCTGGGATGTCCTCATTAAGAGTATTTTCCAGCCATATCCACCAGAATCTAGATTTCATACACACAAAGTTGTCTGCACACATAGAAAATGCGCACACACAATTGCTCCACTGCACTGGGTGACAGGCACTCTCTTGGGTTACCTTAAAGCTGCAGAAAATCTGGTTCTGCCTGGAAAATACTGCTTCTAAGGCATCAGGAAAAATGAAGAGAGGGACGAGAGTTCTCCAAGTAACCTGAGTCCCTGCTGGTGCTGCAGGGCGCTGAGGTTCTAATTCCCAAAGCATCCTGCACTTCAGTGAGTGAGCAAGAAACCAGGTCTGGGGAAAAGGGAATGAACCAGGAGAGCCCTCTGAGATGCTCAGAGCATTTGTCGGGAAGGCCACAGCGCCCCCTGCTGTCCTGCCTCCAGCTGCAGCCTCCCCACCAGGCACAGCACACGTGGGGTCTACCTTCCTGAGCCTGTCTTCCTCCTCCCTTCAAGAGGACAGGGTCACTGCCTAACCCTGGTGTACCTGAGGCCAGGCTGACATCTTGCTGGGATGAGACGTGACCCTTCCACCTGTCTGTTCTCTCTTTCGCTCCCCTGATTCCCACAGACCCTAGAATCCTTGTCCAATAGGTCCTGCAGATGTCCTTTCAGGACATGACCCCCCGGCCCAGAGGGGGAGTCCAGTGTGAGCCCCTCATATTTACTCTGGATCGTGTAGTTGCAGTCAGTGATTTCAAAACACATGTTTGGGAAAAAAAAAAAAAACTATATTCAAACCATGCCTACTCTTAGCAGGTGGTCACTGTTAAGAGGTCCTAAGGAGTTTGACTGGGATAGAAAAATTACAGGCTTCAAAGAAAGGAAGGTGTCTCAAGTGGGTTATTCACCATTTCTGACTAAATCGTCTCATGGCCCAGACACTGCCGTGACCACCAACACTAACGACAAATGCCCAGAGCCCAGGAGAAGAATGCAGGTGTTTTTACGCACACCCCATGCAGATTCTGAGCAGATCGTGGCTCCAGACTGAGGCTCTGCCTATCTGAAGAGGCAGCTCAGGAGTCCAGGCACCCCTCTGAGACACCGCACAGCTGGGGAACTCAATACAGGTCCCAGGGAAGACACAGTAAGTCTGTGTGTGACAGAGAAATGGTCTGAGCTCTTCCTCTTGTTGAGACAGTGACGGAAACATATTGGGATTCACCGTTTGAAGTGCAGGAGCCTTCCTTAGTTTCTAAGAACTGCCACTGATTCAAAATCATGCGATCATAAGTTACTTTCCATATTGTTCCAAACTGCCATGGGGGCCGAGCTGACTCCATCTCGGGGCATCTGCACTGCACCCCGAAGGGCACCAGCTGGTTGCCCAGACCTGAAGTCTCAGCTAAAATTTCACCTTGTCACTGAGGTCTTTCTCGATTTCTCAATTTTAAATTGCAACAAGTTCCCCTAGTGGCCTCCATCCCTCTTGTTCTCTTTATTCCTAACTGTGGAATTGTAACTATCTCACCTTCTGTACGTTTCACTTACCATCTGTAACATTTCTCTCCCTACAATAGAAGGTGAGCAGCATGTTTTGCTTATCGTTATACCACAGTGCGTAGATAACTGCCTAATACATAGTAGGGGATCAACAAATTCATTATGGATAAATTAATTATAACCAATATCATGTAATTATATAGAATTCTATTATCATCACTAAACTATATAGGAAAAAACTGAAACCTACTGAGGTAAGGCAGTCCATGTGTCTAGTGCCTGTGATAGCAAACCTTTAAGAAACAAATCAAAAACACTGAAGTCTGAAATGTAGAACAATATCCTGGGTAAAATGTGGCTTCATGAAGCATTAGGACTTCAGGAGAAAGACAGAGATCATTTTGTCTTAGAGTGGCAATAAAGGATTTCATGGTGAAACATGAGATATTGAAAATGTGAATTTTCAGTGGTTAATTTCATGGTGAAACATGAGATATTGAAAATGTGAATAGATTAGAAGAAGGTGTAGAGCAGCATCTGCAGTGGAGAGAATGGCATCCTGGCCCTCAAACCAAAGTGGCGCCCCCGAACTTTAGACACTGGAGGCTGTGGCCACTTTAGAGGGTACCCTAGGCCACTGGTGCCTCTCACCAGATCTCCAACCAAGCAAGGGATGCTCAACTGCAGATGCCGTGCCGTGGTTAACACAGGCTGTGGCCGGCACTCCCTTGTTCCTGGGCCATCAACCTTTCAGCACATTGACTTCACTGGGCCCCTACCACACAGCCAGCACCTTTGCGTGCAGAAGCAGACACACAACCCTGCACTTCCATCAACTCTTCCAACCCAAGACCCTTGGTGTAGCAGGTGCTCTCTTGCTGTGACATTTGCTCTGTGACATTTCCCTCTCGGAAACCACCCAATATCATTGATCAAGACCTAGGCTCCCACTTCAAGGCAGTGGTGGTGACATAGGAATGGGCATCACAGCATGAGGGTTTAGGGGACTCTCACTTGGCCCATTGCCCCCAAGCCACCAGCCTCCCCAAGCAGCACAGTGGCCTCCTAAAGTCATTCTTATTGAAGTTGTGGCATGAAACCCCAAGGGGACCAAGCCCCTTCTGAGAGTCCTAACTTTCTTAACTCTCTACCCTGTGGCCACCAGTGCCTCATTATAATTAGGCCAGGCCCACCATGGTGAACACTTTGGTAATCACAGAAGAGTAAGGTTCATTTTCCCTTACAGATAACATCATTCACATTTGCTCCAATAATGATAACTCCTCATACTGTGATAAGAGGTCCATTGTCTCAACATCATACATTTACTGGAAAACAGATTGTGGATGGATAGTAAGCTGTGAGTCCCTAAGGACTGGCAGCCCAGGCCCACTGGTACCCAGCAGGGCCACAGTGATTCTGCTATACCACACCTCCCATCTTGACGTGCAGCTTCCAGCAGAAGCTCCAGTTCTTACTACTTTGAAATTTAGCTAATGTCTCCCACTCACCCCTTCCTGGAGGTAGTAGGGATTATTGCTCCAAGACCCAAAAAGGGCACAGAATGAGTCACTAAACAAACAGAAGCCTTCAGACTAGTGGACATAGACTACATTAGCTGATGATCACATGGAAGTATCATTCCCAAATGTAGCCTGTGTCAATGGTGGAGAAAGACTCTGAAGAAACATTGGTGAAAGCTCACACCATAATCGATGTCAATATCAAAGCCCTGAGTGATAAAATCTCAGTGCTCTTTATGGTTGGTCTTGCTTGGTATCTTATGTTCCCATGGCTTGTGGAGCTACTGTCAGACTCAGGATCCAAAGTCCAAAAGCTGCTAGAACAGGACTGCCCTGGTCAGAACTTGTGTCCCACACTGGAAAGCTGGGAAGTGCTGGAATCCCATGCTAGGGGGGCTGTGCCTCAAATGCCACCTGACCTCCGTCCAAGGCAGGCAACTCAATTCTTAGATATTGAGTGGGTCCATTGGCATTGAGCTTAAACACCAGCAGCCTTCACAATCACAAATAACATTTTAAAGACCGGCAGGTGGCTCACGCCTGTATTCCCAGCACTTTGGGAGGCCAAGGTTGGCGGATCACCTGAGGTCAGGAGTTCAAGACCAGCCTGACCAACATGGAGAAACCCAATCTCTACTAAAAATACAAAATAAGCCGGGCATGGTGGTGTATGCCTGTAATCTCAGCTACTCAGTATGCTGAAGCAGCAGAATCGCTTGAACCCAGGAGGCAGAGATGGCGGCGACCCAAGATCGCGCCATTGCACTCCAGCCTGGGCAACAAGAGTGAAACTCCGTCTAAAAAAAAAAAAAAAAAAAAAAAAACCAGCAGGTGGCCCTGCCAATGCCAGGTGTGAATTCAAACCGGCTAACAATGCCACAGCACAAACCCAGACTGCAGCTTGCACATTGGAACCTCACATGCAAAGACAGCTTCCAAAATGATCACAGGCTCCAGGATATGCATGTGCTCTGATGTATAAGAGTTGTGGATGGAAACGTCCTATACCACTAAGGAAAACACGGCTCAAGCTTTCGCTGAATGCTTCCCTGAAGACCCACAGGGCTAACAGCCTGTGCAACAGCAGCAGTAAAGCGAATGCCCAGACCCCCACTTCCCGTCGTGGGTGGCCACCTGGGAAGGCCATCCCCATGGGAATGGCCATGGCTTCAGACAACATCGCCCCTGCCCAAGGGGTCGTCAAGGGAGGCAATGGCCTTGCTGGAATTGGAGACACCAAGGAAACTTGCCTTGACTGTGGGGTCACCAGCAAAGCAGCCTCTCCTTACTAGTACAGGATACTCCTTACTCCTTACTGCTGCACTCCCTATCCCAGCACATGACGCTGGTTTATGGCACATACCCCGACCCTTGCCATACCGCTTCCTTAGCTCAGGCTTTGTTGAGTACTCTGCAGATAACCCAATACGATGGTATTTTGTGAGATCACCATTTGCCTTCAGAGTAACCCCATTAGCTATATCTCCAACAGCAAAAAACCAAAGGACTAGGCCAGATCGTGGAGCTGCCCTACAAGTTAGGCAAAAAATATGGGCTTCTGAGACCTGTGTGTAACAACTCCACACCCAAATCTAACCAGCTCTCCCAATAATAGTTCTCTCATGTGTTACTGAGAAAATGCCTGTGGATTGGAGTGTTCTGTGTGCAGGAGGCTGGTCCAGGTTTGACTTCTGCAGGTCACTGGATGTTCCCACAACCACTGGACCTTCCCCACATACACGCCCACCCCTGCAGATTTTCTGTCTATACCCACATCCACTGGGCCCTCACAGGGCACCTACTAATGCCCTAGAACCTAAAACCATCTCCTGGTCCCAGTTCCTCAAAGAGCTCTAATTTGTTCCTCTGCTGGGATGAAACCACGGCCACTTCCTCAAATGGTGAAATTCCTGGGCCTGCTAGAGATCAGAAACTCACTGCTTCCTCAGAGTGACAGCGACCCCAGTGCTCTAGAACAGCAATCACACCTAGAGACCTGAGATGCCTCATACCACCTTAAGATTACTGAAAACACTTTAACTCTTACTCCTAGAAAATTCTTTAGCCTTAAAGTATCTAACTGCCAAGCAAGGAGATAACTATCTCCTCTAGGGCACCACGTGCTACGTGTACTTGCTTAACTCAGGAGAGTCCAGCAAAACCTGAGCTGCTTAGCAAGACAAGCCGAAGTGGTATTCAGTCTCACCCAGGTGTTCACCAACATCTACGGGCTTGGCTGAATGGCTTTGATGTGTTTTTACGGTTAGACCCCACGGCCTGCAGAGGCTGATAGAGAACAAAATCCTAAACCCTCCTCAGTGTGTAGGTTGGTGCTTTTTTCCTAGTCTCCTTACAGAGTGTATACTACGCTATGCACGCTGGCCTTTCCTGGTGGCTTTAAATATTCCCTCGGTCCAGGTAGTTCAGCCTCAGCCACGAGCATAGGCATTGTGGGCTCAATTGTCTTAGGAGTCATGGAGAATCCATAGGTGGTTGCTGTCTGGGTCTGGCCAGGGCTGACCAAGGTAGGTGAGGGGTCCCTCTGTCGATGCCTGTTTGAACCCAAGCTTCACACCAAGTTTTTCAACTGTCCTTGTCACCAGAGTTATTTAATGTACCCAACAGAAAATAACCCTGGAAATTAGGACACCTGATCCCCAAAGACCTTTAAATAGGGGAAGTCCTCTCTGGGATGTGCACAGATGCTCTTGCTACATAAGACCTGGAACACAGGACTGCTGTCTGCCCTCTCTGCTCACCCTGCCTAGCTTGAGGATCTGTAAGTAACACAAAATTTAAACTTTCACATTGAGGTTTCAACATTGAGGCTGTGCCCCCAATCTGAACTGTGACTCCCAGGCCACCCCAGAGGGGCCCAGCAGGTGAATCCCCTGCTGTGAACATCTGTCTGAACCTCTGGTGGCTGCTGGGGGCATTGGCTACCAGCTAAGTTAACAGAGAAACTCAAGCAGTTTCCTTCTAAACACACGTGTCCTAATTGACATGTCCAGTAGACATGATCATAGCTCTTTAGAACATTCTTTTGAGAGAAGTCTATTCAGGTCATTGGTCTGTTTTCCAATCAGATTATTTGTTTTTTGCTATTGAGTTGTTTGATTTCCTTATGTCTTCAGATATTTACCCTTTCTATCATGTAGGGTTTGCAAATATTTTCTCTCATTTTCTGGCTTGCCTTTTCACTCAGTTGATTGTTTGGTTGTTTTCTGACGTGCAGATCCTTTAGCATTCAGTGCATCTCCACTTGTGTCTTTTCCCCTTTATTGCCTGTGTCGTTGGTGTCATAGCCAAGAAATCATTACCCACATCAACGTCAAAGCTTTATCTTCATCTGTTCCTCTCATCATTTTATGGTTTCGGGTCTATGTTTAGGTCTTCTAATCATTTGGACTTGATTTTTCTACATGGTATAAGATAAAGGTCCAAATATATACATATATCAACTCATAAGGTAGTATACATTACACATATATAATTTTTGTCACTCACACCTAAATAGAGATGGAAATCATAGACATTTTTAGCCTTAGACAACTCTTTATGTCACTGAGCTTGTTTTACCTGTAGCCTGATGAGGTCATTGTCCTCTCCACCCTGGCCCCTACAGCAGATTCCTCACCGCGTAACCTCAAAAACCCCTTCATGAGGGTGGTAATGCCTTCAAAGCCTGCAATGAATTAATTCTCTACTCCACTGGGTCCAGGTCTAGACTTCCAGAGAACAGTAGAGCCCATCTTCAGAAAGTAAGAGGCCTTTATTCCCTGAATTCACTGAATGAAAGCACATCATCATGGCAGGGTCCTCATCATCACCATCAGCTCCAACCCAGCCAAGACACTCAACATAGAGATGCATGCTAGAATGAAAGCTGGGAGAGCAGAGAAGGAAAGGAGGAACATTGAAGCCAATGGATATCCACACCCTCTCCAACGAATCTCCACCTCCTCTCACTGAGAAGGTTCAAGAAGGTTTGTCTCTGAGCCTTCTCCCAGCTATAAATCTAGGCAGACTCCTCCCTCCCCACACATCCGCTCCTGCTCTCTCTCCTCCAGGTGACCCCAGCCATAAGGAGCCTTGCCCTCCTTGCTGCCATTCTCCTGGTGGCCCTGCAGGCTCGGGCGGAGCCACTCCAGGCAATTGCTGATGAGGCTACAGCCCAGGAGCAGCCTGGAGCAGATGATCAGGAAGTGGTTGATTCCTTTGCATGGGATGAAAGAGCTCCTCTTCAGGTTTCAGGTAAGACAAGCCGGCATGCAGAGCTGCAGTGTCTAGAGGGACAGACAGGAGACAGAGTCTGGAATCGAGTCTCAATGGTCCATGTCACTTAGGTGGCTCCACTTAGCATCTCTAAGCCTTGATTTTCTCATCTATAAATTGAGTAGAGAGCCAAAGAAATCTAAGAGATTTTCTTCTCCCAAAACTTCATTCCAAGATATGTCTGTGAAATTCACTATGTTTAAAATACAGAGAGACATACTAACTAGTTCGTTCTGGATCTAAACAAGTAGACTTAATTATTAGGAGAATATTTTTCTCTGTCGATAGAGAATCTCTTTTAAAGACTCGGGATGGGCCTAACAGTGTGTTCAGGTGTGTATGTGATGGGGCCGGAGCACAAAAATGAAAGCAAATGAGAGTGAGTCTCAAATCCTGTGACACCAGCACTCCACTGTGTTTTTATTCCTATTGACTGAGGCTGTTTGTGCTACCGGCCCTAATACAGCCAACGTCACCTATCACTCAGCATGTGACTTCTCCAAGATTCCCTTTACCACCCACTGCTGACCTTGGTGCTCAATTTTGGATGCTGTCTCTGTGTCTGTAGGCTCAAGGAGGGGCTTGACCTGCACCTGCAGATGAGATTCCTACAGTCCTGGAGAACACCGTAGAGGGACTTGCAGTGCTCCTGGAGTACGCTACCCATACTGCTTCAGCTGAGCTTCCGGAAGAGAGAAAAACGAGCTCATAATTTGTCTTCAGAGCTACAGAGAATTGCTGTTACTCCTATACCCTGTCCTCAGTTTCCTTTCCTCATCCCAAATAAATGTCTTCTAACAAGACTTTTGTGTTTACACCTCTTTAACGTGTGGTATGTGTCTGTGTCAACACATTTGGGATACATGTACGTGAAACCTAAATCAAATTTTTGAACAAACTATAATTCATAATTCTAGGAATTTCAAGCAGGAATTTGAGCTTCAAACCTAAGTTGAAATGAAGGTCCAGTGTCACCACCAATCTCACTGTTCACTGTTCTGGCTTTTCACTCGGCCTCATTTTCTTCGGATCCATTGTGTGCTGGGCAAACACTCAGTGTCAGCTTAAAGTTTATGCAGTCACAAAATCGTTACTTCTCCAGGAAAATCAGTATCCTCTGTGCTAAAGAATGGGAGTTTTATTGAACATCTTCAGGTCACACATTTGCCTTTTAAGACGTAGGGTTACAGGAGATCCACTGAAACAACTTAAATTAAGAGAGAAATGGGTTGTTAGCAAAGGTGGGATGCATGGAACAGAAAGCACAGCAGCCCACACCGAGATATCCTCATTAAGAGCACCCTACAGCCACGTCTACTAAGACCTGGATTTCACACCCACAAAGTTGTCTTCACACCCAGAAAACACACACACACACAAATGCTCCACTGCACTTTGCAACACGCACTCTCTTGAGTTGCCTTAAAGCCACTGAGACCCTGATTCTGTTTGGAAAATACAGCTTCGCAGGGGAAAAGAGAAGAGAGGAAATAAATTTCATCAGGAGCTTGGCGGCCCTGTTGTTGTTGCAGGGCACTGAGGCTCTGATACTCAAAACATCCTGCACATCAGTGAGTGAGCAAGAAACCAGGCCTGGGGAAAGGGAATGAACCAGGAGAGCCCTCTGAGATGCTCAGAGCATTTGTCGGGAAGGCCACAGCGCCCCCTGATGTCCTGCCTCCAACTGCAGCCTCCCCACCAGGCACAGCACACGAGGGGTCTGCGCCTTCCTGATCCTGTCTTCCTCCTCCCCTCCGAGAGGACAGGGTCACTGCGTAACCCCGGTGTCCCTGAGGGCCAGACTGACATCTTGCTGGGGCGTGACATGACCTTTCCTCCTGTCTGTCCTCCCTTTCCCTCCCCTGATTCCCACTGACCCTTGAATCCTTGTCCAATATGTCCTACAAATGGCCTTTCAGGACATGACCATTTTCAGGAGTCCAGCATGAGCCCCTCGTATTTACTCTGGATCTGGTAGTTGCAGTTGGCCAATTTAAAACACGTTTGAAAAAGAAACTATATTCAAGCCATGGCTACTCGTAGCGGGTGGTCACTGGTAAGATGATGCAAGGAGTTTGAGTGGGACAGAGATTACAGGCTTCAAAGAAAGGAAGGTGTCTCTAGTGGGTTATTCACCATTCCAGGCTAAGACCTCTCATGGCCCAGACACTGCTGTGACCACCAACACCAACCACAAATGCCCAGAGCCCAGGAGAAGGGAGCAGGTGTTGCCCACATCCACCCCATGCAGATTCTAAGCAGCTGTCAGCCCCAGACTGAGGCTCTGCCTGTCTGAAGAGGCAGTTCAGGGGTCCACACACCCCACTGAGATGCTGCACAGCTGGGGAACCCAATACAGATCCCAGGGAGGACACAGTGGGTCTGATAGACACAATGGTCCCAGCTCTCCCCGTTGTTTAGACAGTGACGGTGATGGACCCAATAGGATTCAGGGTGTGAAGGCTGTGCACCCTTCTTTGGTTTCTGGTTCACTACCGCTGATTCAAAGTCCTCTGGTCATGAACTAACTCTGTATGTGCTCCTAAACTGTCATGTGGGCCAGGCTGACTCCATCTCAGGGCATCTGCACTTCACCAAAAATTCTGCATGGCTTGCTCCCCAGCTCTGGGGTCTCAGCTGAAATTTCACTTTGTCACTGTGTTCTTCCTCAATTTCTCAATTTTAAATTGCAACAAGTTCCCCCTGGTGACCTCTATCCCACTGGTTCTCTTTATTGCTAACTCTAGAATTATAACCATCTCACCTTCTGTACACTTCACTGACTCTCTGTAACATTTGCCTTCTTATGCTAGAAGGGAAACTGCATGTTTGGCTCATCGTACCACAGTGCATAGATGATTGCCTAACACATCATAGGGGATCAATACATTCATTATGAATAAACTAATTAATAATCTCTAACATCACGTATCATTACAAAATCACATTGTTATTACAAAACTGTCGAATAAACCTGAAAACTACACAGTTAAGACTGTCCTTGTTTCTAGTTCCTGTAATAGCATACCTTTAAGAATCAAATTCAAAACATTAAAGGCAGAAATACAGAAAAATATCTTGGGCAATATGTGGCTTAATGAAGCATTAGGACTTTAGAAGAAAAAAGAGATTATTTTGGCTTGCAGTGGCAGTAAAAAATTGTATGGTTAAGCATAAAGATATTTAAAACCTGGAGACACTTAACAAAGGAGTAGAGCAGCATGTTCAATGGAGAGAATAGCATCAGGGCAAGAGATATGCAAGAGGAGGTCAATCTCCACTGAAATGAGAGAAATTACTGTTGCAACAGAGAAGGATGGAGTAGAATTCGGGCCTATTTGCTTAGAAGCATCCATCAATCCAAGGGAAAGGGGCAGATGAGGACAGAGCCTCCCTGCTCCTCTGTGTGGATAAAGGCACACTGGGAGCACCACATGTGGCTTCTGCTACTGCAGTCTATGGTGAGCAATGACAGCTGCAAACTCTAGGGACAGAGAATGCAGGGAGAGATGTGAGGGTCTCCAAACAACCTGAGCAACTCGCTCAGCCTTGGATGAGATCCAGAACTGTTCCCCGGGATGCAGATAGAGTCTAGGTTCACTGATGATGTATAAGAGATTTTCTACCTTGAGCCACTCGTATGGTAGGACAACAAAAGAGTAAGTCAGATGCCTCATCCCTATAAATGTAATTATGCAAGGGTAGAGCAGCCATGTCTCTGTAGGAGGATAAAAGCCTAACTCCAATAAGCACAAATTAGCCAACACAGATGGCCCAATCACACCGGTCAACTTCCCTCCTAACGACCTCCAGAACTATCCCCCTAACTCCGAGCAGGGCTTACATTCTTCTGCCTTTGGCTTTAGGAGAGTGTAGGACAACCGTTTTCCCTATTGCAACATTTTGACTTTTTTGCAACAGTCTTCAATAAATGCTTCCTTGCATTTCTGAAACGTATGGGTGAAATTGTATTTTACAATAAAAGACATAGGCTATTTTTTCTGTTTCTCTGTTTGATTTTTCTGAACTCTGCTTACAAGAAAAAGCAGAATGTAATGGATGGGAAAATGATTTGTTCCCTTTTCTGAATATGTGTATTTTTTTTCTTTGCTGCTGAAAGCCAAATAACTCATTAAGAATCCTGGAAAAAGAGTTCACTCTGCTATTACCTGGCAGGTCACCCTCCCAATCTCTCACTATTTTTACCTTTGAATGACAGTGACCCTCAACAATCTTTTTTCCAATAATCTTTGTTTCACCCACTGGACACCCACTAATTCCTGCCAGCACCTGGAATTCCTCTAGCTCTGAACATCAACCAAGAAGCTCCCCAACCCTGATCTCATCAACTGTACTTCCAGCCTCTCATGTAGCTGTCCCTCCCTCACTGCTGATAAGCATCAATAAGGCTGTTCTCGGCTGGGCACAATGGCTCATGCCTGTAATCCCAGCACTTTGGGAGGCCAAGGCGGGTGGATCACCTGAGGTCAAGAGTTCAAGACAAGACTGGCCAAAATGGTAAAACCTCATCTCTACTAAATATACATATATATATATATATATATATATATATATATATATATATATATATATATATATATGCAAAAATTATCCAGGCATGGTGGCAGGAGCCTGTACTCCCAGCTACTTGGGAGGCTGAGGTACAAGAATGGCTTGAACCAAGGAGACAGAGGTTGCAGCGAGCCGAGATCACACCATTGCACTTTAGCCTGGGCGACAGAGCAAGACTCTGTCAAAAAAAAAAAAAAAAGGCTGTTCTCCCACGGGGATGTGCATCAAATAATTTACCTGGGAGCCTGATGCCTAGGCTGCACCCGGCACACCTGTCCTCTGCTCTCATCTCCTGTCCTTGTGCACTGCACCGTGTTTCCATCAGGTTCTCTGAGTTTGGTAGTTGTGATGTTTTTCAGTCATCTTAGTTGGGTCTTGAATTCGAGTGTCAGAAAGCATGATGAGCTAAGTTAACATTTTGACTACTATATCTTGGAATATTCCACAGATTACCTCAAGGCCTCTAGTCAACAGCGCAGCCATTGTGGAGAGGACACCAGCCCATGGGCCAGGTGGACAGAGACCCAAGGTAGCCACCGAAACAAGACACAAAGACCTCACGCCCAGCTTAACCCCTGCATGCCTCCCATGTGAAGTCCCCCTTTTTAAACTCTTGTCTTCTCCCCAAAAACTTGAAGTGGTTGCTTTGATGTGAATCCAGCCATTTCCCCCTTAGTAGTTTTGGTTAATAAAGTCGCTCTCTTTCTACCCCACCTCCGTCCAGTTATCACTGCTGCACGTGGCGAGCAGCGGGACCTGTGTTCAGTGACATGTCCTCACTTGGTGGAAGGAATGACGTAGTGCTCTGGGGTCGCCTCTACAAGGGCACAAATCCCATTCATGAGGACCGTGCCCTCCTGATCTCATCACTGGGTAAAAGCCCAAACCTCTTGATGCTATCACCTTGGGGTTTAAGATGTAAACATATGGATTTCATAGGGACAAAAATATTCAGGCCACAACACCATCCCATACTGAAGAAGTGAAAGATACCAGTTAATTAGTATCTGATCCCAGAAGAGAACATAGCACTAAGTCAGGATTATTTTACTTGTCAAAATATCACCCAGACTAGATTCAAGAGGAGAGGAGATAAACATTCCTTTCTTTGGGAAGAGCCACGGATGCAGGATGTAGGGCCCATATTTTTAAAGCTGTTCAATGGACTTATTCTCTCATAGTATATTGTAAAATGCAACAACACCAGACACACAGACAGCCTGATAGGTGCTGGGAAAGACGGACAAAGGGCAGGGACTCGGAGCTCCTGCCTGTCCCAGCTGGATCTACAGGTCCAGGAGTTGCTGTGTGGCACAGGCAGCACCAGGACCCTCCCTGCAGGACAGTGGACAAAGGGCTGAGGGGAGGGGCAGGGTGGTGCACTCTGAAGAGCTGGGAGGTGGCCGGTCCTCAGAGCTCACCCCCACACAGCCCCCACCCTGCCCCATGCTAACGTGCACACTGGGTTCCACGACTGCCCTTCCCTACCAGGACGAAATCACGTACCAGAACCCCGCGCAAGGTCCACACACCCTGGGTCTGCTGGGGCCCCTGGACACCCTCAGCATGTGTGGGAATATCCTTGCTGCTCCTGGAGTTCTCTCTCCTCTCACACCCACACCTGCACCCCCACCCACAGCTTCACCAGAACGTGGTGTCAAGGTTCTGACGGTGTCCAGGCTGATGGTGTCGAGGCTCTTATTAAGTGTCCAGACTCGTTTAAATATTCCCTGGAAATTCAAGACGATGTGGATGAGAGAAGAGTTTCAGCCACGTCTACTGTGCCTGGGAGTCGATACTGGTGAAAAGAATGGGAAACTCAGGCTGGGGAGATCATGGATGGACACGGAAGCGAAAGTGTTGCAAAGATTTTTAGACAAAACAGCTTTTTTTGTTTTTTGCTTAAACCTTAGAGTTCTGCCAAGGTTCTGGTGCAGCCCAGAAAGAAAAGTGAAAGAGACCACAAGAGATGAATCCCTCTCTTCTAATTTGGGTTGGAGTTTGAGAGTCACGTGGGCGAGAAGGAGGTAAAGCACAGGTGCAACCTCAGCACAGACTGAGAACCTGACGGGCCCTGGGCTGCTGAGTCCGCCCCTGCCACAGAGTAGCGCCCCCCAGCCTACAGTTACCACCCCTCCAGCCATGCATGGGAGGGAATGACCTCAGGACAATGGGTTGGGGATGGAAAAGGCAGCACCAGCAGCCACCACTGACTCGAGCAACCTGCAGGGCATGTGTTCTCTTTGACCTCCTGAAACCACTCCGGGTGCTGCTGGTGAGGCCACCACATGGGCCAGGCCACACTCCTGCTGCAGGGCTGCTACACCTGCTCTCCCTTTTCCTGGACCCATCCAGGTTTCTGCAGCACTCACCCAGCCCCTCCTGGCCTCTGCTCTGATGTTCTCTCCACAATGAGGCTGCCATGGTGACACTATTGAGCAGCACCCTGCCCCCAACACCGTGTCACCTGGGCACTCCAGGTCACCTCAATGTTATCCTTTTATTCTGTATAATAACCACTGGCTGCATAGTGTATCATACCCATCATAACTTTGCCTATTGTTTGTCTCCTCCACTAAAATATAAGACGGAAACAGTGCTTGCCACTCTGTGGCGCTGGAATCCAAGTAGAGCAGCCACCAGATTGTCCTCCAGGACCATTAAGGCCCTGATTCCAGATACAGTCAAGTTAACAGAGGGCATACAAAGGCCCAGGGCACAACATTTCACAGCAGGAGACTTGGCCAATGCATTCTGCCCATTCCCATCACAGACGGGTCGCAGTCTGTGTTTGCTTTGACTTTGGAAGGGACCCAGTGCACATTTACCAAATTGCACTCAGGCTGTCTCAGTAAGCCAGCTACTGCCCATAACTCGTGCCCCCGGGACTTCCTGTGATTCAGTGTGAACCCCTGTACCTTGTGGCATTACATTGATAGCATTTTCCTCAGAAGCCCCTAGAAGAAGGAAGTGAAAACCATGCTGGTCATTTTAGTGGCTTCCTCCAAGACCATGGCTGGGCCACAACCCACACAAAGTTCAGGCCCCGCACTGCTGTAAAGATTCTAGAGATAACCTGGTCCTCAGTGGGCCACCAAATTCACCTTGCAGTTAAAACCAAAGTCTTCACCATTAGGGTGCCAGCCACTTTGTGGCAGGCCCTGCGCATACTGGGACATTCCGCCTGCACCTACACCTCACTTGTCCATTCTGCAGAGGCCCACAGACACTGTCACCCAGAAGCCCTCCATGTCTTAACTGGGGCCACAGCAGGATACAGCATGCAGCTGGCTCAGCAGGTGGTCTCTCAGGCCATGCCCAGGTCCCGGGTTCTGAGTTTCATATAGAGGCCCTCAGTACCACCAATCATGACTCCCAGAGCCTCTGGAGAAAGCACGTCCATCCTGGCTATGGGCTTCTGCAGGCATAAACTTCCTGGCAGCTGCAGCTCATTATCCCCCGTTAAAAAGCTGGCTACCACTACACACAATGCCCGTATAGACATAGGCACTACAGGACAGGTTCCGGTGCTGCTGTGTCCCCAGACTCCAGCCATGCCCCATGTCTGACTCCTCCTGACAGAGGCTCAGCCATTCATGTCTCCCTGGGAAAATGGGAACAGCACTTGTAGGACAAGGCAAACCTGGCACTTAAGTCCTTTCAAGTGACAGGAAGCTGAGGCCATGGTTTCCCTGTTATTCAGCTCCTGCCTACAAGCAGAGAGAAATAGCAGCAGCGACCCTATTGCCCGAACAATTGGTGACCTGATGAGGCCATGGGAAGAGTTGGACATGGGGAGTCCACATACCTCAGGGAAGGCAGCACTGCCCTGCAGGCCGGGAGCCCACTGGCCGGCAACCACCTCCCACATTTATCACAGCAGGGCCTGCATAGGAGGGGAGGGTATGCTGAGCCCAGCCATACAGCTGGTGGTGCCGGTTGCAGGGGAGGTTGCTGTGGCCATAACCCCCACTCGGGGACAGTTTTTACAGATTCCTGGGCTGTGCCCAACATATTGTGAGTGCCCTGGATCCAATGCCTCTGGAATGGCCTCTGTGGCGTGGACCTGTTTGGGTCAAATTAGGGGACACTCCAGTCCTCCTATAGGTGATTCATGCCTCATGCATTCAGAACAAACATGCCCAGGCTACTTTCCACCACTCGAAGGGTGAGGCATCCACAGTGAGACGACTGCCATCTTTGGCCTCCAGACTGAGCCTGCTGACAGCCCCTGATGTCCTGTCCCCAGGAGGTTAGCGGTCAGATGCACCTCCCAGGGCTTGGGTGAGATCCTCTTATTTTTACAGACTCCAGAATCTCAAGTTCTGTATTCCTCAGGTGCTGACAGAGTGGAGTCCTACAGCCCCAGATCATGAGAGCTACAGCCACATTAGAGGGCAACCCACACCACAGCTGTCTCCCACCATAGCTTCAGGCAAGCAAAACTGTGGCCAGCAATCCCTTGTTCCTGGGCCATCACCCTTTCAGCTGGTGGCAAATGGACTTCACTGGGCCTCTCCCATCACAGCCACCACCTTCTGCTGTGCAGGAGCAGACACACATCCACCGCACTTCCATTGACTCTTCCAACCCAAGGCTCTTGGTAGAGAAAGGTGCTCTCTTTCTGTGACATTTGCTCTATTACCTCTTGTGAACCACCAGATATCACTGATGCAGATCAGGGCTCCCACTTCAGGGTGGTGCTGGGCAACTCAGCATGGGGGTTAGGGGACCCTCACTTAGCCACTGGCCTCCTCAAGCAACACAGTGGCCTCCTAAAGTCATGCTTATTAAAGTTGTGGCATGAGCACAGACTAAGTCAAATTAGGAAAGGCTCCAGTCCCCCTACAAGTGGTTCATCAAGGGAACCAAGCTCCTTTGAGAGCCTTAACTATCTTAATTCTCAACACCATGGCCACCAGCTCTTCTACAATTGGACCAGACCAACCATGGCACCCACCCTGGTGATCACAGAAGAGTTGAGCTCTTTTTCCCTTATGGATACCATCACCCACATTTTCTGCAATAATGAGACCCCCTCATACCATCACAAGATGTCCACTGTCTCAGCATCAAACATTTACTAAAGACTCGATCGAGGATGGACAGTGATAGGGTTTGGCTGTGTTCCCACCCAAATGTCATCTTGAATTCCTATGTGTTGGAGGGACCTGGTGGGAGGTAATTGAATCATGGAGGCAGGTCTTTCCCATGCTGTTCTCATGGTAGTGAATAAGTTTCACAAGATCTGATGGTTTTATATAGGGAGTTTCCCTGCAGAAGCTCTCTCTTTGCCTGCTGCCACCCACGTAAGACTTGACTTGCTCCTTTTGTCTTCTACCATGATTGTGAGGCCTCCCCAGCCATGTGGAACTGTGAGTCCATGAAATCTCTTTCCTGCATAAATCACCCAGTCTCGGGTAGGTCTTTATGAGCAGCATGAAAATGGACTAATACAGATAGTGAGCTGTGATCCTCTGGGGACTGATGGTCCAGGCAGCTGCCACAGAGCAGCCCTAAGATGCTTCTGCTACACCAGACCTCACCTCTTGACATACAGCCTCCAGCAGAAGCTCCAGTTCTTCCTGCTTTGAAAGGTAGCTAATATCTCCCACTCACTCCTCCCTGAAGGAAGTGGGGATTGTTTCTCTGCAGCCCAAAGAGGGTACAGTCTGGGTCACTAAATGAGGAGAAAAAGCCATCAAACTAGAGGACGCCAACTACATCAGACAAAGACCACATGGAACTACCATCACCATGTCCTGTGTCGATTGCAGAAAAATGCTCTGAAGAAATGTTGGTGAAAGCCCACCCCATAATCAATATCGACGTAAAAGTACCTTGAGGAAATCCCTGAGTTATAAGCTGTCAGTGCTCTCTATCTTTGGCCTTGCTGGGTATCTTATGTATGTAAATGTTGTACGGCTGCTCTTAGGCCTGGGGCCTGGCATCCCAGAGAGCTGCTGGAACAGGACAGCCACTGTGAGAAATTGAACCCCAGGCTGGAAAACTGTGGCATGTTGAGGCAATGTGCTAGAGGGGCAAAACCCCAAATGCCACCTGACCTGGATCCAAGCCAGGAAACCCGATCCTTAGATATTGAATGGGACCCATGGCACTAAAGCTTAAACACCAGCAACCCCCACAATCAGAGGCAGGTGGCCCTCCCCATGACCAGGCATGAATACAAACCAGCTAATGATGCCTCAGCACAAACTCAGTCTGTGGCCGGAAAGGTTGGAGCCTCACATGCAGAGAAAGCATTCAAACACGTTCATGGGCTTAGGGATACTTCTGTGCTCCAAAGTATGTGAGTTGTGGATGGAAATGTCCTATCCCCCGACCAAGGAAAGCACCACTCAAGCTTTCACTAAACGCTTCCATGGAGTCCCACAGAGGCCAGAGGCCTGTGCAACACCAGCCCATACCCTCTCTCTTCTTGAGTGACCAGCTGGAAAGGCCACCCCTACCCGAAAGGCCATCACCTCAGAAGACAGTGCTCTGATCCAAGGGTTTGTCCTGGGAAACAGTGGCCTCACCAGAACCAGAGACACCAAGGAATCTCATCTTGACTGTGGGGTCATCCCCAAACCAGACTCACCTTACTCTCCTTCCTGCCGCAAGGTATGGATCTCACCACCCCCGGGACATGGAGTTGGCTCACGTCCAGTACCTGGACCCGTGCTTTCTTAGCTCATGCTTTCCTGAGGACCCTGCAGATGACCCCTTAGAATGGTATTTTGCTGGGATCCCCATTTGTCTTCAGTGTAACCCATTAGTTAAACCGCCTACTGCAAGGAAACCACAAGGCTTGGATCAGATCAGGAGGCTGCCCTACAAGTTATGCCAAAAAATATGGACTTGGAAGACCTGTCTGTTATAATATCACACCCAAATCTAACCAGCTCTGCCAATAACAGCTCTCTCCTATGTTACTAGGAAAATGCCTATGGATTGGAGTGTGTTCTGTGTGCAGGAGGCTGGTCCAGGTTTCACTTCTGCAGGACACTGGACATCCCCACAACCACCAGACCTTCCCCACGTGCACACACACCCCTTCTCATTTTGCCTCTACATCCATATCCACTGGGCCCTTCAGGCACCTACTAATGCCCTAGAACCTAAAACCATCATCTGGGGCCCAGTTCCCCAAATAGCCCTAATTTCTTCCTCTGCTGGAATGAGTCCAGTGCCCACTTCCTCCAAAGGTGAAATTGCTGGGCCTGCAACAGATCAGGAACTCACTGCTTCCTCATAGGGGCAGCCGACTTCACTGCTCTGGAACAGCGACCACCCCTAGCGAGGCTTGAGATGCCTCTTCCCTCCTTAAGACTGAGAGCGCCGCTGCCCCCAGTCCTCCATAGCCCAGTGCCTGCTGCCTTCACGCAGAGCTGCAGGGGAGGCCCTGAGCACCCAGCCTGCTGGACCAGCGCTGTGCACGGCCCTCCCATGGCGGCAGGGGCTGCCTGGACTGCATACTGGGTTCAGCAACCTCACTATAGGTATTCATTCCCTCAGGAACAACTGCATTCTTTTCTCATTTCCAGAAACCTCATCCCGTTTACCTCACTACAAGGAGGAGGATGGTGGAGAGTGGTACATTTTAAAATGTGCACTAGTCTCCCTGGGACTCCCCTTCAAATAACCCAGGAGGGACCACACAAGGGAAAGCTTATGCATCCCCCCCACCCAGTGACCATCTTCCTAACTCTGGGTGTAGGGAGACTCGTAAGCCTACGGGATTGGTTTGGGAACAGGGTATTTGAGCTCACAACACAAGGTGATGCAAGCTAACACCAATCTCGCTGCAGCTTTGGCCACCATCCTAAGGGACTTCTGACAGACATTAGGTGTCACGCAATCATTTGATGAGTCCTTGGCCTGGATGACCTAGACAGTCATTTAGGCTTGAACTATCTAAGGCCAAGCAAAAAGGTGACTGTCCCCTCTAGGGAACCACATGCTATATGCACATCCTTTACTCGGGAGCCTGCAACCTGCCCTATCCAGCAACACAAGCCCAGGCGGTATTCAGTCTCATCCAGGTATTCTCCAACCTTACTTGTCTGAATGGCTTGGATTTGTTTTTATGGTTAGACCCCAGGGCCTGGGGAGGTCAGTTCAGACCACATTCCAAATCCTCATCTGTGTGTGGGTGGCATTTTGATCCTAGTCTCCTCGCAAGGTGTATACAACAATATGCAGGCCAGGCTCTCCTGGTGGCTTTAAATATTCCCTCGGTCCAGGTAGTTCAGCCTCAGCCACCAGCATAGGTATCATGGGGTCAATTGTCTTAGGAGTCATGAGGAATCCATAGTTGATTGCTGCCTGGGCCTGGCCAGGGCTGACCAAAGTAGACGAGGGGTCGGTACCTCCGTGGACTCCTGCTTGAACTCCAGCTTTCTGCCAAATTTCTCAACTGCCCTTGTTAACAGTTATTTAAAGTACCCAATAGAAAGTAACCCTGAAAAATTAGGACACCTGATACCAAAAGACCCTTAAATAAGGAAGTCCTCTCCTCTGTGTGCATGGCTGCTCTTGCTACATAAGACCTGGAACACAGGACTGCTGTCTGCCCTCTCTGCTCGCCCTGCCTAGCTTGAGGATCTGTAAGTAACACAAAACTTAAACTTTCACATTGAGGTTTCAATATTGAAGCTGTGTCCCCAGTCTGACCTCTCACTGTGGGGCCACCCCAGAGGGACCCAGCGGGTGAAGCCCCTGCTGTGAACTTCTATCTGGGTGTCTGGCGGCTGCTGGGGGTAATGGCTACTAGCTAAGTCAATAGAGAAACTCAAAAAGTTTCCTTCCAAACACACGTGTCCTACTTGACATGTCCAATAAAGACGATCACAGCTTCTTAAAACATTATTTTATTGTGAGAGAAGCCTCTGCAGGTCCTAGGTCTGTTTTTCAATCAGGTTGTTTGTTTTTTGCTATTGAGTTGTTTGACTTCCTTATGTATTCAGATATTTACCCCTTCTACCACGTAGGCTTTGCAAACATTTTCTCTCATTTTCTGGGTTGCCGTTTCCCTCAGTTGATTGTTTCCTTTGCTATGAAGATGCTTTAGCGTTCAATGCAGCCCCGCTTGTCTATTTTCCCATTTGTTTATTGCCTGTGCCTTTGGTGTCATAGCCAAGAAATCATTACTCACGTCAATGTCCAAAGCTTTATCTTTGTATGTGCTTCTCGTAGTTGTATGGTTTCAGGTCTTTTCAAGTCTATGTTGAGTCTTCAATCCATGTTGAGCTGATTTTTTACATGCTGTGAGAGAAAGGACCACGTGTATGCACCTAGCAACTCATGAACCTTACACAACTCTTTATCTCTCTCACTGAGCTCATTTCACCTGTACCCTGATAAGGTCATTGTCCTCTTCACTCTGGCCCCTACAGGAGACTACTCACCCCATTACCTCAGTCGCCCCTTCATGAGGGTATAATGACCTAGAAGCCTGCAATGAGTTACTCTCTACTCCACCGGAATACAGGTCTGGCACCAGTGTTTAGACCTGAAGAGAATAGTAGGGCCCATTATCAGGAAATAAGAGGCATTTGCTCTCTTAAATTATTGAATGAAAGCACTGTTTCCATTCTTTTTAGAATATTAAAGATTTAACCAGGAAATATTAGGTATTTCCTGAAAACAGGAAAAAATGCCAGGGTCCTCATCATCACCATCAACTTCAACCTAGCACAGACACTAAACATAGAGCTTCCTGTGAAGAAAGCTGGGAGAGCAGAGGAGCATTCCAGGGATGTCAAGGCCAATAGGAGTCGGCATCCTCTCTAACAAAATGCACACCTCCTCTCACTCAGAAGGCCAAAGGTTTCTTATCTCTGTGCCTTCTCCCAGCAAAGCTATAAATCCAAGCTGGCTTCTCCCTCCCCACACAGCTGCTCCTGCTCTCCCTCCTCCAGGTCACCCCAGCCATGAGGATTATCGCCCTCCTCGCTGCTATTCTCTTGGTAGCCCTCCAGGTCCGGGCAGGCCCACTCCAGGCAAGAGGTGATGAGGCTCCAGGCCAGGAGCAGCGTGGGCCAGAAGACCAGGACATATCTATTTCCTTTGCATGGGATAAAAGCTCTGCTCTTCAGGTTTCAGGTGAGAGAGGCCAGCATAAAAAAGCTACCGAGTCTAGAGAGACGGATGGGAGATGGGCTCTGGAATCACATCTCAATGGTGGATGTCACTTAGGTGGCTTTACTTACCATCTCTGGGCCTCGATTTTCTTATCTCCAAACTGAATAGAGAGACAAACAAATGTAAGTAGTCTTCTTTCTCCAAAGACTTGATTCCAAGGTATGTCTATAAAATTCGCTAGGGTTAAGATACGGAGAGACAGATTGACCAGTTCTTTCTGGATCTAAACAAGTAGATATTATAGGGAAAATATTTCATTCTGCCAACAAAGGAAATTTTAAAAACTGGAGATGGGCTTAAGAGTATGTTCAGGTGTGTGTCTGATGGGGCAAAAGCACACAAATCAGAGCAAAAGAGAATGAGTCTCAAATCCTGTATGAGCAGCATTGCTCTGTGTATTTATTCCTATTGACTAAGGTTGTTTGTGCTACCGGCACTAATGCAGCCAGCATCACCGGTCAGCCAGCATGTGACTTCTCCAAGATTCCCTTTACCACCCACCGCTGACCTTGGTGCTTAATTTCTCATGCTTCCTCTGTGTTCCCAGGCTCAACAAGGGGCATGGTCTGCTCTTGCAGATTAGTATTCTGCCGGCGAACAGAACTTCGTGTTGGGAACTGCCTCATTGGTGGTGTGAGTTTCACATACTGCTGCACGCGTGTCGATTAACGTTCTGCTGTCCAAGAGAATGTCATGCTGGGAACGCCATCATCGGTGGTGTTAGCTTCACATGCTTCTGCAGCTGAGCTTGCAGAATAGAGAAAAATGAGCTCATAATTTGCTTTGAGAGCTACAGGAAATGGTTGTTTCTCCTATACTTTGTCCTTAACATCTTTCTTGATCCTAAATATATATCTCGTAACAAGATGTCTTTGTTTACACCTCTTTAAAATTTGATATGTGTCTGTGTCAAGACACTAGAAAGCAACTGCCAGAATCCTACATGAATATTTTGGAACAAATTAAAGTTTCAAAATCTAGAATTTTTAAGGAGGAGCCATGGCTTCAGACACAAACTGAAACGAAGGCACAAATGATGCCACTGATCTCACCATCCACTGCTCTGTCTTTTCATTCTGCCTCATTTTGAATGGATTCACTCTCAAAGACAACTCTCATATACTAGGCAAAAGAATCAACGTCAGCTTCCAGTTTAGCTACTCACAACCTCACTACTTCTCGGGAAAAACCACCATCCTCTGCGTCAAAATATTGGAGTTTTATTGAACATGTCCAGGTCACACATTTGCCTTTTAAGACATAGGGTTATAGGAGATCCACTGAAACAACTTTAATTAAGAGGGAAATGGGTTGTTAGCAAAGGCGGGGTGCATGGAACACAAAACACAGCAGCCCACAATGGGATGTCCTCATTAAGAGCACCCTTCAGCCACGTCTATGAAGACCTGGATTTCACACCCATAAAGTCGTCTTCACACCCAGAAAACGCACACACACAAATGCTCCACTACACTTTGCAACGCGCACTCTCTTGGGTTGCCTTAAAGCTGCTGAGAACCTGATTCTGCTGGGAAAATACAGCTTCACCAGAAACCTTACATTCCTGTTGTTGCTGCAGGCTGCGGCTCTGATAACCACAACATCCTGCACATCAGTGAGTGAGCAAGAAACCAGGTCTAGGGAAAGGGAATGAACCAGGAGCGCTCTCTGAGATGCTCAGAGCATTTCCCGGAAAGGCCACAGCGTCCCCTGCTGTCCTACCTTCAACTGCAGCCTCCCCATCAGGCACAGCACACGTGGGGTCTGTACCTTCCTGAGCTTGTCTTCCTCCTCCCCTCCAAGAGAACAGGGTCACTGCCTAACCCGGGTGTCCCTGAGGGCCAGGCTGACATCTTGCTGGGGTGTGATGTGACCTCTCTTCCTGTCTCTCCTCTCTGTCCCTACCCTAGAAACCCACTGTACCTTTAACAATAGTTGAGGATGTCTTGTCAACGGCCTATGAGGACATGATCACAAAGCTCCAGGGACAAGTCCAGCTTGGCCCACAGATTTCTTATATTTTGGATCTAGCAGTTCCAGTTTATGAATCCACTACACATGCTTGGAAAAATACCTTCTCTGTTCAAGCCATGGCTCCTCTTATCTGGAGGGTCATTCATAGAATGCCCCCACAACTTCCAAGAGTGACAGAGAAACTACAGTTTGCAAATAAAGGGACAGTGATTCTAGTAGGATTATTCCCCATTCTTGACCAAAACAATCTGATGGGCCAAGACACAGCTGTGACCACCAACACCAACCACCCACAATGCCCAGAGCCCAGGAGAAGGAAGCAGGTGTTCTCCACATCTACCCATGCAGATTCTGAGCAGGTCTCAGCCCCAGACTGAGGCTCTGCCTGTCTGAAGAGGCAGCTCAGGGGTCCAGGCACCCCACTGAGACACTTCACAGCTGGGGAACCCAATACAGGTCCCAGGGAAGACACAGTGGGTCTGTGATTGACAAAGAAATGGTCCAAGGTCTTCCCCTTGTATTGAAGGTGAAGGTGACATTTTGGGTTTCAGGATGTGAAAGGGGGACAGTCTTCCTTGGGTTCCTGTAACCGCCACTGACTTGAAGTCACGCGGTTCTTGCTGTAACTCTGCATATTGCTCCTAACCGTCCACTGAGTCCGGCTGACTCCATCACGCGGTTTCTGCACTTCCCAGAAGTCCACCTGGCTTGCGCCCTAGATCCTGGGGTCTCTGCTAGAACTTCCCTTTGTCACTGAGGACTTTGCTGATTTCTTAATTTCAAATTGCAACTAGTTCCCCCTGGTGACCTCTATCCCCCTCTTCTCTTTATTTTTAACTGTAGAATTGTAAGCTATCTCACATCTGTGCATTTCATTTACTCTCTGGAACATTTGTCTCCCAACACTGGGAGGGAAGCTGCATGTTTTCCTCATCATCTTACCACAGTGCATAGATGACCACCTAATACGTTGCACATGATCAATAAATTAATTTCAACTAAATTAATTAATTGTACTCAAAATTTATATTGACACAAAATTGAACCCCAGGCTGGAAAACTGTGGCATGTTGAGGCAATGTGCTAGAGGGGCAAAACCCCAAATGCCACCTGACTGGATCCAAGCCAGGAAACCCGATCCTTAGATATTGAATGGGACCCATGGCACTAAAGCTTAAACACCAGCAACCCCCACAATCAGAGGCAGGTGGCCTTCCCCATGACCAGGCATGAATACAAACCAGCTAATGATGCCTCAGCACAAACTCAGTCTGTGGCCGGAAAGGTTGGAGCCTCACATGCAGAGAAAGCATTCAAACACGTTCATGGGCTTAGGGATACTTCTGTGCTCCAAAGTATGTGAGTTTACGAAAAAAATACTGAAGCCTACAGAGGTAAAGCAGCCCGTGTGTCTAGTCCATGTGACAACATTCCTTAAAAAAGACTAATTAAAACTAATTAAAAAGACTAAAATATAGGAGACTATGATGGGTAAAATGTGGTTTAATGAAGCATTAGGACTTTTGGAAGTAGGAAAAGACCATTCTGTCATGGAATGCCAAGGATAGATTTCATGGTGAATCTTAAACTGAAACATAAAGATGTTTAAACTTTCAATAGAATAAAAGAATGATTAAAGCAGAAAATTAGGTAGAGAATGTAGAATCAGGGCAAGAGCTATGCAGGAGGAGGTCAACCTCCATTGAATTAAGAGGAATTGCTGTTGCAACACAGAAGGATGGAGTAGAATTCAGGTTGATGTGCTGAGAAGCATCCATCAATCCAAAGGAAAGGGCCAGACGAGGAAGGAGCCTCCCTGCTCCTCTGTGTGGATAGACACACTGGGAGCACCACATGTGGCTTCTGCTACTGCAGTCTAGGGTGGGCTATGACAGCTGCAAACTCTGGGGACAGAGAATGCAGGGAGAGGTGTGAGGGTCTCCAAACAACCAGGGCAAGTTGCTCAGCCTCAAGTGAGACCCAGAAACGTTCATGTGGATGCACTCTATGTTTACTGATGACATACAAGACATTTTCTACCTTGAATCACTTGAGTGGTAGAACAATAAAGAGTAAGTCAGATGCCTCATCCCTATAAATGTAATTACTCAAGGGGATAGCAGCCTTGTCTCTGTGGGAAGACAGGAGCCTATCTCCTAATAAATTAGCAAACAAAGATTGCCCAATCACACTGCTCAACTTCCCCACCAACAACCACCAGAACTTTTCCACTAGCTTAACCCAGGGCCTACATATTCCTGCCTTGGGCTTCAGGACAGTTGAGTTCAACGGCTCACCCTATTGCAGCGTTTTGACTCTTATTTCAACAGTGTTCAATAAATACTTCCTTGACATTTCTTAAAAGCCTTCTGATTTTTTTTTAATAAAAGACAGCCATTTTTTTCTCTTCTGTTTCTCTGTTTGAGAACTTGAACTCTTCTTACAAGCAGAACCAGAATGGAAGACATCAGACAACTACCTATTCTCTTTTCTAAACCTATGTATTTTTCCCTTTTGCTGCTCAAAGCCACTCAACTCACTCAGAAACTTAAGATTACGGGAAACGGTCTTTCACTGTAATGTTACCTGGCCGGTCACCCTCCCAGCCTCTCAGTGCTTTGTCCGCCTGGATGACAGTGACCCCACTCCCTCTTTGTCCCAGCCCTCCAACCCATGGCCACCCACTAGCTCCTGCCACCACCTGGAATTCCTCCATTTCTGAACATCAACTATGAAGCTCCCCATCCCTGACTCACCCGCTGTCCTTCCAGCCTCTAATGTAGCCGTCCCTCCTTCCCTGCTGATCAGCATCAATAAGGCTGTTCTCCCGGGGGCTGTGCATGGGAATCACCAGGGAGCCTGATACCCAAGCTGCTCTTGGGACACCTGTCATCTGCCCTCAAGCTGCATTGGGACACTTGTCATCTGCTCTCATCTCCTGTCCTTGTGCACGGCACTGTCTTTGCCTCAGGCTCTCCGAGTTTGGTATTTTTGATCTTTTTCAGGCATCTTAGTGGAGTCTTGGAGTAAAACATTAGAAATCAGGTCAAGCTGAGTCACCATTTTTTTTTAAGAGGCAGGGGGCTTGCTATGTTGCTCAAGCTGGTCTCAAACTCCTGGCCTTAAGCAATTCTTCCTCCTCAGCCTCCCAAAGTGCTAGGATTACAAGCTGAGCTACCTTGTCCAGCCCTGAGTCAACATTTTCACTCCCATACCAAGGAATTCTGGCTTTAGGAAATGCTTGGTCCAAGGACTCAAAGCATGAGTTACTTTGTCGTCTTTACCTTTTTTCCCCTTTGTTTCTCTTGATCTTACTTTGGGATCTCTCCCCAGGTGACAGCCATGTCATTCATGGTCATCTCTCTGTGCCCTTCGCAGCTAATCTCCTAGAGAAAATCCCTACTTCTTTCCCTGTTGTTTCAGCCAACTCCTGAGTCCTATGGCCTCTTCTGAGTCTGTTACTGAGGGCAGAGGTTGAGACCCCACCTGGCTCCCACACCACCCCTGCTCCCAGCGGGAAGAATTTAAACTAGGAATGGGTGAGAGGGTTCTTCGGTCACTCCAAACAGTCCACAATCTCATGCTCCCACCATCATGGGCTCTTTGTGACACTTTGGGAATAAGGTAAGAGGATTCAGTCCTACTTCGCCAATATTTTGGAGAAGCAGAAGTTTACACACGCAGAAATGCACAAGTCCAACTTCTCGCCAAGACTGTGACAATGCCCTCTGTTCATCTACTGCTGTGTGGAAAGATATCCCAAACATAGTGGACTGAAACAGCACCATCAGGTCTTCACTCATACCTTGGCAATTTGGGCCTGGCTCAGAGGAGAGGTTCTGCTGGGATCTGAGGAGCTCAGGGCTGAGACACTCGCGCACAGGTGGCAGGCAGTGCTGGCTCAGCTGGGAGCTCTCACAGGGCTGAGGGATGGGACCTTGTGATGCGCTGGGGCCAGATCATGCCGGCTCATGAGAAAGGTGGTTTGTGTGACATTTTTTAAACGGTCCAGAGCTGGGAGGATTCTAACCACAGAAATTTACAAACACTGTAAATCAGAGTTTTGGTTTTTCCCAGAAAGCTGGCTGTTCTGTGTTCTCTAGCTCACCCTCGCAGGTGCCCTCAGTTCATCTTCCTGTGCGAGGCTGAGGCTTCCTCAAAACACGGTGTCTGGGCCCCCAAGTGACCAGCCCTCTTAGTCCGTTTGAGCCACTATTTAAAAAAAAATACCATAAACTGAGTTGCTTATGAACAACAGATATATTTTTCAGTGTTCTAGAGGTTGAGAAGTCCAAATCAAGGTGGCAGCAGATTTGGTGTCTGCTGAGAACCAGCTTTTTCGTTCATAGATGGCACCTCCTCACTGTGTCCTCACCTGATGGAAGGAATGAAGGAGCTCCTTGGGATCTCTTCTATAAGGACACTAATCCTATTCATGAGGTGCCCTCCGGACCTACTCACCTCCCCAGAGGCACCACCTGTTAATGCTATCACCTGGTGGTTTAATATTTCAATATATGAATTTCAGAGGGACAAAAATATTCCAACTGCAGCGCCATCCAAGACGGTGAAAGTGAAAAATACCAGTGTCTTAGCACCTGGGCCCAGCAAACGGCATGGTACTAAGTCAGGTGCATTCTATTGGTGAAGATGTCACCCGACCTAGATCCAACAGGAAAGAAGTAAACCTCCCTTTCTGTGGGAGAAGAGTCCAAGAATTGGGACCACATTTTAAAACAGCCCAAGAGAGTTATTCTTTCATAGTCATTTGTAAAAATTGCTGCAGGCAACAACACCAGACACATAGACAGCATGTGAGAGGCGGCTGGGAAAGGCAGACAAAGGGCAGGGGACTTGGAGCTCCTGCCTGTCCCAGCTGGATCTGCAGGCCCGGGAGTTGCTGTGTGGCACAGGCAGCACCAGGACCCTCCCTGCAGGGAGGTGGACAAAAGGCTGAGGGGAGGGACAGGGCGGTGCACTCTCAGGGGCTGGGAGATGGACAGTTCTCAGAGCTCACCCCCACGCAGCCCCCGCTCTACCCCACGCTAACACACACACTCTGTTCCAAAACTGCCCTTCCACACTGGGTCAAAACCATGTCCCAGGGCCCTGCCCAAGGTCCACACTCACTGTGTCTGCTGGGGTCACCAGACAGCCTCAGAGAGTGTGGGAATATCCTTGCTGCTGCTGAAGGCCTTTCTCCTCTCACACCCACACCTGCACCCCCACCTGTAGCTTCCCCAGGATATTTACCCCAGCTTGAGGGTGTCAAGGCTCTTGTTGAGTGTCTGAAAGCTGAACTGCATGTGTATGAAGGAACAGTTTCAGTTGTGTCTACACTCAGAGTTGACACTGGTGGCAAGTCCAGGACACTGTGCTGGGGGCAGGGTGGGTGGGGGTGGAAGTGAAAGTGTTGCAAAGACTTTTACATGTAGCACCATTTTTTGCTTAAACCACTGATTTCTGCCAAGGTTCTGGTGCAGCCCAGAAAGAAAGGTGAAAGGGACCACGAGATACAGACTCACTCTGTTCTAATTGGGGTTTGGGAGCCACCTGGGGGAGACAGAGGCAAGGCCCAGGTGAGACCTCAGCACAGACTGAGAACCTGACCTGCCCTGGCTGTCGAGTCCCCACCACAGACTGGGAAGGAGGCAGGGACAGGAGCATTGCCACCCAGGAGAAAGAGCAGAGGCCCCCAGACTCAGGTCCTCAGCCCCGCAGCCAGCACAAGGGGGAACGACATCATGACACTAGGTTAGAGACGGGGCAGGCCAGCCTTCCAGGGCCAGCAGCTACCGCTGACACGGAACCAGCAGCAGTGTATTCTGTGCCCCCTGAACTAATGTTGTAATATGTACACTTTGGGGTGCAGAAGAAAGCAATGTGTTTGCTGAACAGCACTTTACAGCGCTCCCATTTGAAGTCCCTCTTGGGTCAACTCCTGTTTAAGGGCAGGAGGGCCACCTGCTGTCCTTAAGGTGCTACTGCAGTGCTGCGCGCCCAGTTCTCTGTAAGGGCAGGTTCTTCTTTACTGGAAGATAGTGTGGGCTCTGCTAGGTCAGCGTCTGATGTGTGAGGACATCTCAGGGTGGAGGTATGCTGGAGCCACTGAGGACAACAGAGACAGCCCTTGGCCTAAGTCAACTTCATCTCGGTGGCATCTCCAAGATGCTCGGTTCTTATTAGGGCTTCCATGTGGGAGTGGGGTGGGGTTAACTCAAGAAAGGCAGTTAACAGAGATGAGGTCCTCGTGACTGCGGGTCACGGTAGGGAGGTTACTTCTCTTGCAGGAGCCTGATGGCTAAACAAGGGGGAGATATACCTGCCTCGATTTTGTGCATGATCATTGAAAGCTGGATCCTAGAGTAAATGGGCTCTTCAAAATAGAGCTTGTGCTTCAGTATTTGCATGTATGTGACTCTAGGGGCAGGAAGGTAAGTAGAGAGAGGGAAAGGAACTACGTGAAGTTCCCTTGTCCCTGACACCCTTTGATGTTCTACTGTTCTAGAAGTTCTGTTTACTTCCAGGCGTTCCGTCTGTTGGCGTGGTGATTGTGGTGACTTTACAAGCTGCGATATGGATCCTGATAAGCCTTCCTGCACCCCATCTGTCTAAACATTTACCAATGCCCATGGGGATTGGTCTGCATTATCTTCTATTTCAATTAAAATAGGCTGGGAACACTTCTTAGTTTCCAAAGATAGAGCATACAATTCCAAAATGCTCCTTTAAGTCAAGACAAATTAGATCACTTATTTACAGAAGTATCTTGTCCTGTTAGCTAGATCAGGGTATCTGAGTAACAGCTCCAGGGTAGGATTTCCAGGTGATAGAGTAATTATTGCCTGTCCCATGAACTACTGGGGAAAGAGGCATAGACAGCTATAAGTCACAATGGACAATTACAGTTTGGGTTGGAGAGGGAAAGTTTAATTCGAAATTTAGATGTTAGTTAAATGGTCATCTCCTGCTGGGTAAATGAAGGCAAAATTCAAATAAATACAGAACAAATGCATTTTTAAATGCCCATAGATTCCCTAACAAAACTGAAACAAAAATCAAGAAAACAATTCCATGTACAATAGCATCAAAAAATAAAACACCTAGGAAGAAACAAGGAGGTGAAGGATCTACACACTGAAAATGAAAAAAAAAAAAATAGTGAAAGAAATTAAAGAATGTAAAAATAAATGGAAAGATATCCTGGGCTGAAAATTGGAAGAATTAAGATTGTTAAAATGTCTATCCCAAACAAAACAATATACCGATTCAGCACAATTCCTATCAAAATCCCCATGGCATTCTTTACAGAAATAAAAAAAAAAATCCTAAAATTTGTATGAAATGGTGAAAGAACCCAAATAGACAAAACAATTCTGAGAAAAAAAAACAAAGTTGAAGACATCACAATTCCTGGTTTTAAATTATATTACAAAGCTACGGTAATCAAAACAATATGGTATTGGCATAAAACCAGACACATACCAGTGAAATAAAATTGAGAGTCCAGAAACACATCGAAACACATATGGTCAAGTAACTTTTGACAATGGCATGAAGAAGACACAATAGGGACAGGAGAGTCTCTTCAATAAATGGTGGTGGGAATACTATTTCCATATGCAAAACAATAAAACTGGACCCTTCTCTTTTGGCATATACAAAACTTAACTCAAAATGGATAAAATACCTGAATAGAAGACCAGAAACAAGAGACTATGAAAATAATGGTAGAGTTCTATATGTTTTGAGCTACAAAGTATTCAAATTACAGCATTAGGGAGAAAAAACAAAGCACAAACCAATGTTTAATTTTTAAGTGGAGATTTCCTGGAGCAGAGCTGCAGGGCTGGGGCAAGGATGGAGGCTCATTACTCCTTTTACCCTTTGAATGGTCCTTGTGGGCAATTCAACATTTTCTAAAATTAAAAATAAAATAAAATTTCAGAGGGGGATTGTGGGCATGTCAATTGTTTCGATGTTTCTCAAAGTGGAGAGAAATACCTAGTACATATTTTAGTTGATACATTCAGATCACATGGGTTTCTTGAAATAAATCTTTTGGCTTTAGTTTTACTAACTCTTTACCTAGTATCCCACTGAGTTCTTTTCCCTTATAGGCTGATAAGGTCATTATCTTCTCCACACTGTGCCCCACAAGAGCCTATTCACCCCATAATCTCAAAGCCTCCTTCATGAGGGCAGAAATGCCCCCTGAATCCTGCAATGAATTAACTCTCTACTCTAGCGGGATCCAGCTCTGGCCTCAAGGTCTAGACCTCCAGAGAGTGGCCAGCCCCACCTTCAGAAAATAAGAGGCATTTGATTCCTGAAATTATTCATTGAAAGCACTGTTCTTTTCTTTTTTGAATATTAACAAGTAAATATTCCAGCAGATGGAAAACAGGACAATGTAACACTGTTCTTATCATCACTATCAGCTGGGACCAGAACAGACACTCAATAAACAGCCTCACACTACAATGAAGCTTGGAGAACAAAGGAGCATCAAAGGGACATGGAGGGCAAGGGTAGCTCTTCTGCTCCCCAATCACATGCACTCCCCGTCTCACCGCAACATCTGTCCCTGAGCCTTCTCCCAGCAGACCTATAAATCCAGGCTGGCTCCTCACTCCCCACACATCTGCTCCTGCTCTCTCTCCTCCAGCGACCCTAGCCATGAGAACCCTCACCATCCTCACTGCTGTTCTCCTCGTGGCCCTCCAGGCCAAGGCTGAGCCACTCCAAGCTGAGGATGATCCACTGCAGGCAAAAGCTTATGAGGCTGATGCCCAGGAGCAGCGTGGGGCAAATGACCAGGACTTTGCCGTCTCCTTTGCAGAGGATGCAAGCTCAAGTCTTAGAGCTTTGGGTAAGAGACACCAGCATTGCAGAGCTAGGAGTGTAGAGAGGAAAACCAAGCACTTCTAGAATTAGATCCAACAGCTGGCTCTTTCTCTTAGGTGATCACCTCCCCAGGCCTCAATTACTTTATGTTTGTACTGAAAAGGAAGAATCAGTGATATTCAAGGCATGACTTTTCTCTAAAGATTTTTTAATTCTATGATAAGTCTATGAAATTTTCTAATTTTTTGCCATGTAGAAATGTATTGAGGAGTCTCTACTTCAAGGAAGAGAGCCTAATTTTAAAGGAATGTTTTGTTTTGCTTTGTTTTGTTTTGTTTTGTTTGATGGAGTCTCGCTCTGTCACCCAGGCTGGAGTGCAGTGGCACTATCTCAGATCACTGCAACCTCTGCCTCCTGGGTTCACGCAATTCTCTCCCTCAGCCTCCCAAGTCACTAGGATTACAGGCACCAGACACCAAGCCTGGCTAAATTTTGTATTTTTTTTTTTTTCAGTAGAGACGGGGTTTCACCATCTTGGCCAGGCTAGTCTTGAACTCCTGACCTTGTGATAAACCCACCTTGGCCTCCCAAAGTGCTGGGATTACAGGCGTAAGCCACCACATCCAGCTGCTAAAGGAATGTTTTTTAATCTGACTTTTATAGGAACCGTTGCAAACTGGAGACAGTCATATGGGTGCATTCAGATGTGTGTGTGACAGGGAAGGAGCAGATAAGTACAGCATATCAGAATGGCTCTCTAATCCTGTGTGTGACCAACACTGCTCTGCGTATTTATTCCTATTGATGGTGTGATCATGCTATTGGCTGTAATGCAGCCAGCATTACATGTCAGCAAGCATGCAACTTCCTGAAGATTCTCTTTACTGCCCGCTGCTGACCCTGGTGCTCAATTTCTGATGCTCTCTCTCTCTGTCCCCAGGCTCAACAAGGGCTTTCACTTGCCATTGCAGAAGGTCCTGTTATTCAACAGAATATTCCTATGGGACCTGCACTGTCATGGGTATTAACCACAGATTCTGCTGCCTCTGAGGGATGAGAACAGAGAGAAATATATTCATAATTTACTTTATGACCTAGAAGGAAACTGTCGTGTGTCCTATACATTGCCATCAACTTTGTTTCCTCATCTCAAATAAAGTCCTTTCAGCAAGTTCTTTTGTGTTTGTGCTTTTCTGGTGTTTGATAATTCAGGATTCTTCAGATGCAAAAACAAAAACCCAAGTCGTATCTCAGAACACTAGCTCTTCGAAAGAGTTTTCTATGTAGACCAGAGAAGTGGTAGAGAGGATGTTGAGAGAAGAGAGGATTTGGGTTTTTTGTTTTTTTGTTTTTTGCTTTCTGAGATGGAGTCTCGCTCTGTTGCCCAGGCTGCAGTGCAGTGGCACAATCTTGGCTCACTGAAACCTCTACCTCCTGGGTTCAAGTGATTCTCCTGCCTCAGCCTCCCAAGTAGCTGGGATTACAGGTATCCACCACCACGCCAAGTAATTTTTGTATTTTTAGTAGAGACAGGGTTTCACTATGTTGACCAGGCTGGTCTCGAACTCCTGACCTCAAGTGATCCGCCCACCTCGGCCTCCCAAAGTGCTGGGATTACAGGCATGAGCCACCGCACGTGGCCTTAGGCACTCTGTTTTAATGTTAATGCTGGCCAGCTGTGCCTGAATTCCAATGGGAGGAGGATATCATGAGGTATTCCTGATCCCCACGTCCCATCATGGCCTGAACCAGTGTTTGAGGTTAACACTAGAATGCCTTGGGCTGAGAGGAGGCGTCCATTCAGTTGGCTGGAGGGCTTAGAATTTTAATCTTGGTTTGAATGGGATACAAACATAGGAGGAAGGAACGTGGGGTCCTGGCCCTTCCGACTCTGGCCAGAACCTTGCCAACCACATGTCCACAAGAACACAGGCCCTCTCTCTTTGCCTTGTCCCTTGTCACTATGTCCAGAGACAAGAGGGTGACAACAGTCCTGGGTATAACAACAACCCTGACATTCATCCAGAGGTCTGGCCAGACTCCCAGTTCTTCTGCCCTTCTGCTGGGTCTTCTTACCTCTTTGTAGGAGAGACCATGTTAAAGTGGCCTATTTTCCAGTTCTCTAAAACACAGACAGAAGACGTGGAGGGAAAGGTTCTCCAAGGCAGGTCTGAACGAGGAGAAACATGGAGTCACAAAACCCATTTCCAAGCCTGACTTTGCCACTTTCTACCTGAATGGACTTGACAAACCCAGCACGAAAATGGAGGCTTCATTTCCTCCTCCATAACCTTGTGGCAGCTGTCTCAAAACTTGACTATGGGACCTAACAGGATTCTTCATAACGGTGGTCAGAGACTTAGACATCAAAGGTGGGGAATAAATAACACAGTCAGATAGGAAGGGTGGGGGGGTGACCTAGCAAGTGGGGGTGACCTAGTGAGTGAGGGGGTGACCTAGCAAATGGGGGGTGACCTAGCAAGCGGGGGGGGTGACTTGACCTAGTAAGGGGGGTGGCCTAGCAAGTGACGGGGTGACCTAGCAAGTGGAGGGTGACCTAGTAAGTGGGGGTGACCTAGTAAGTGGGGGGGTGACCTAGCAAGTGGGGGTGACCTAGTGAGTGAGGGGGTGACCTAGCAAATGGGGGTGACCCAGTAAGTGGGGGGTGAACTGGCAAGGGGAGACGTGACCTAGCAAGTGGGGGGGTGGCCTAGCAAGTGAGGGGGTGGCCTAGCAAGTGGGGGGATGGCCTAGAAAGTCGAGGGGTGACCTAGCAGGATTCTTTGCTAAGATGGGGCTGGACAGACCAAAGACAGACAGGACCTACTTGAAAAGATGGCTCAGAGGAGCCTGACTAAAGTTTGGTCAAGGGCAGAGTCTTGGTTAGCGTTCCTGACCTGAGACCCAGATGATGAAAGGGCTCAATTCGTGCAGATCTCAGGGGCAGAATTCCAGAAATGGAGGCAGGGGAGCAAATGCAAAGGCCCTGAGGTGCTAAGACGGGGTTTGTGCTCGGAGCCACGAAGAAGGCCAGGGATTGGGGGCTGCAGGACCAGTCAGAGCTGTAGTAGGGCCCAGAGCACAGCGGCCTGCAAGGGCCAGGAGGGGCTTCTCAGTGCAATGAAGTCACTGGAGGATGTTCCTTAGAAGAAAGGCATGACTCCTGCTCTGTCTGCTGTGTAGGGAATGCAGTGCAGCAGATCATGAGAGGAGGCAGGGAAGGGGAAGGTGTAGTCTGGGGCTGGATGGGAATGCTCCATGTCACAATGGGGACCGGCGTCACACAGGTGAACACATTCGCCAAAACATACCTGGCTGAACTCCCAAGATTGGTGCTTTTCACTCTGCACATTATGCTTCAATACAAATTGTAAAATATAAAACGTAAGCTTTATGAAAAAGTCCATGAGATCTAGAAAATGAAAATTAACAAGTCAGAGGGAGGAGGGAGTCAAGGGTCACCCAATTCCCCTCAGAATTAAATAGCATTCTAGTGTGCACTGTGCATGTGAAGTGTGTTCTTCCTTTTGTTCCACCTGGCAGGACACGCCTGCAGCAGCGGAGCAGTTCAAGTCCACAGGACAGGCTGCGGTGCCTACTTCAGCCTTCTCAGCTGGGTGTGGCTTGAGAAGAAGGATCCCAGCTGGTGCCACTTCCTTGCTCACCGGGAGTGTGAAGATGGCCACCAGTCACTAATGGAGCAGGTGCCTGGGGGAGGACCTGGTGTAGTTCCCTAGGTACACTCAGGAAACAGGAGTGGAGAAGAAAGTGGTGTCTTGTCTAGACTTGTCTGCCCAGAGACACAGCTAAAAGTGACCACCTGGAGTTTGCCCCAGGACAGCCTGGATGGTGAAGGAGAGGTAGAGCTCACATCAAAGAGACAGGCGCAGGAGCCCCAGGCTGCAGACGTCGCAGCCTGCTGAGCACACCTGAGCAAGCACAGCCGTGCTCTCTCTGTCCTTGCTTCTGGGGGAGCCCCTGTGCCTTCTCACCAGAGCCCCCAATTGCTTCTTTCCCCAGGACCAGACCCTGGCAATAAGCAAATAGAGAAAACACTCTCTGAAAACGGATGGGATCATCGTAATCCACAATGTAAGCACAATGACTCCCCATGTGAAAAGTCCTACCTTGCTCACCATCATTTCCTTCCCCAAGCAAACCCTTAAGACAGGGCTAAACATTCCTGCTTTATGCGAGGCTGGTGAGGGTGCTGCAGTCACCGACTGTGAACCAGCCTGATGTCCATGCTCAGCATCGGGGCCCCCGGGACACAGAATACCAGGGCATGACTGGCGCTTCCAAGGAACCTCAAATACCTCAAATCTGTCTCAAAGCTGCCAAGGGCCAGAAACCCATCCTTGAGGACAAGGAGAATGTGGCTTTGGGGGTCAGACGCCAGAGAACACGCAAACCCGAGAAATGCCTTTTGATGGTTGATGTTATGCCTGGGCCATGGTTCCTGGACAGTTGGACAAACAGTACTCTGGATGTTTATGTAAGGTTGTTTTCAGATGAGATAAATATTTAAGTTGGTGGACTATGAGATAAATATTTAAATTGGTAAAGCAGATGGTCTTCCATAATGAGGAGGGGACATGAATGGAACAAAGACTGACCTCCCCAGAGCAAGAGGGAGTTCTGGCAGCAGGTGGCCTCGGGACTGGCCTGCAGCTCCTCCCCGGGTCTCCAGCCTGCTGGCCTGTGGCTCACCACACCACACAGTTAAGGAATTGGTTCTGCTTCTCTGGAGAACCTGACTAACACGTAGCCTGAGCAAATGATGGGGAGGAGACCTCCCAGGTAGCACTCGATGGCCCCCGAGGTGGGCTGTGGCTGTCCGGGCTTTGCAGGGACTACCTTTATCCCGGCTCCTAAACCTTGTAGACAGTCCTCCACGCAAGACAGCCCTGAAAGTTCTCCAGGCCTCATACCCACCCCTTCCCCTAGAGACATGGTACAGCCTCTAGCTCAGGATGGCTCAAACAGCACGGACCACGTGGCCCAGAAACCCCGCCGTAACTGACAAAGCCACACACACACACACACAAAGACAGCCAGATGGGAGAGGTGGACGGAAGCTGAGAAATATGCAGCAAGGTCCAAGTGTCAGGTAGACAGGGCCCTGGCAGCTGGAGAGGAGGGTTGGCCGAGGAAGCAGAGAGATGTGAGGGGAGCTCCCCACTTGTGGAATTACAGCAACTCAGGGGAGCCCCAACACTGTCTCTGTGGAGACCACAGGACAAGGCAAAGACGTCAGGATGTCCCTGAAGCCCAGATGGCCAGCCCTGAATGGTAGCCTGGACGTCCCTCCCCACGATCCCTCCTAGGGAGTCCCATCCCGGAGCTCACCTGGGCAGAGTGAACACACCTGTCTTTCCTCAGTGCTCACCTCCCTGCACAGGCCAACGGGTAGAATAAGGGCATGGCACAGGTAACCTGCCCAGAACCCAGGTCGACCATGCTCAGGACTAGATTCTCTCTATTCTCACCATTCTTCTCCTGCTAAAGGCAAGGCAGGCTAAGGAGAAATTGAAAGAGAGGTGAGCAAGGGGAGGACAGAGCAGGGGAGGAAGTGAAAGGAGCAGGTGCAGTGGAAACCATTTCACTGGAACCCAGGTCACTCCCCTTAGTAGACATACAATTCAAAATAAAGAGAGCTTGAAGTTACTGGGATCTTCAGCATGCACCAAAGCAATGCTTAGCAACCAGGATTCTGTGTGCCCCTCTGAGGGAACACTAGGGTGAGGGTAACTATTGAATAGACGTACGCATATTCAGGGTTACAGTATTATCTGTATTTGACAAGTGAAAGAGACAAAAAGAAATTTTGCTTTTTGTATTACAAGCCTCAACAATGATTACACCAAATCTCAGCTGTCAAAATTGTGCAACAAATTCAGTGATTCTCAAACAGACACCGCTAAGAATCTCTGGGTCAGGGAAGGGGGTTTAAGTATAGGGTTTTCATGTTATCCAAAAAAGATGTGAGGTTTTGTTGTTGTTGTTTGTTTGTTTGTTTTTTGAGACAGCATCTCACTCCATTGCCAAGGCTGCAGTACAGTGGCGTGATCTCAGTTCACTGCAATCTCCGTCTCCCAGGTTCAAGCAATTCTCCTGCCTCAGCCTCTGGAGTAGCTGGGATTACAGGTGCCTGCCACCACGCCTGGCTAGTTTTTCTGTTTTTAATAGAGATGGGGTTTCACCACATTGTTCAGGCTGGTCTCAAACTCCTGACCTCAAGTGATCCAACCGCCTCGGCCTCCCAAAGTGCTGAGATTACAGGCCTGAGCCACCATGAGCGCAGGGCTAGGATGTGACTTTTTGAGGCTGGAAAACAATGACAGAGAGGAGACCCCCTGGTGGTGAAGTGCGTCTCTATTCTACCACTAGAGGGTGGCAGCGTGTCCCATGGTGTCCCCAAGCCCCTGGACAGCCAGGTTTCCATGAACACCTAGGGGTTCCGCTCATGCTACCAAAGTCCCTGCTAAAGAGAAAGCACTTTCAGAGAAAACAAAGTGGCCCAAGGCCCAAGGGAAACAAGCTGGCAAAAAGGTTCCGCCACACATCCACCTGGCAGCACCCACTCCATCTTCCCTCCCAAATATTCTCTAGTGAAAGACCCTTTTCTCTTTCTTTCCATTTTTTCTTGTGCCAAGCTGTACATTTTTTAAGGCATATATATAATTAGTTCTATTTTTATTATTTGTTTCCATAAACACAAAATTACATGCCAATAAATATAACCAGAACAAAACATGGTACAGAGAAAAAAAAATCTCTGTGCCTGTTGTTTAATGCTAGTGTGCTGGGAGGCATGAAACAGAGAGAATCACCGTCCTCTTCGTAACTTACTGTTCTTTCTCAATTATAATTAAGCAAAAGTTATACGTGAAACAGTGGTTATCCATATTAAATGCCTATAAATATTTTGAATGAAGACTGCCTATTTCATATTTAAAGTTTGCTTTTCCTTGGTGATGTGTCTCAGTCAGATTGATGACAAAGCTACTGGCAGGAAATACTATGTATCTGAATAATTTCTATGCTTTGTTTCAACAACACATCGAAACAAAATAACCTCAGAGTTATCTGCAGAAATAAAAGAAGAAGTAAAAACCTACAGCAAACTCAGAATATTCTTTAACTTTTATACAAAATAAAATGACACTGTATTTTTAGATTTCATCTTTAACCCCTCATCAGCAGCCAGTTTCAACAAGTAGTGGTTTCATTTCAATTATGTTTCAATAAAAGTAATAGATTCTGGTTCCTGGATTTCCTGTGCATCAATCTTATTCGACGAAACAAAATTTCAATGTACTACCTATGTCATAGGCTGTTCAGTGATACAAAGATAGAGAGAGTGAGAGAGAGAGAGAGACAGAGATTTTAGATACAGGTCTGATAGAGACAGAGATAGAGATACAGATATCCTCCTCCTGTTTGCTCACTATGCCAGGGTATTCTCAAAGCATTTATTGAACTTAAAAGAGCCACAGCATACAAGAAACCTGGGTCTTGAATGACTGCAAGGAGCAAAGGCTGCCCCCACATGAGTGCCCCAATGCCCCCCATCCTGCAGCCTATTCCATGAGTCATAAATAAACCTCTATTGCATTGAATCACTATGAGTTGGGGGTTATTTGTTCTCATATTTGCAATATTTGGAAATAACTGTACTAATAAAAATTGTAATTTCTCCAAAAGTCAGATTGAACTGAGTATCTCTTTATATTATCTGCCAACACTAAATTTAATTAACACAAATGAAAGATAATAGGACACCTGCAGCCATCTGTTTTTAATGCACTTTTTGATTTTGGTTATTTCTGCCCCAGTTGCTTTCATTATACAGTGAGAAGAAACAATCTTCGGACTATCTCACATTAATAACATCAAGAGTTGTTTTATAACAAAAAATACTATCAAAGTCAAAATAAATAAGGCGATTACTAATACACTGATCTCTCTGGAGGGAAGGGCTATAACAGATAGGTGGCTTTTTCTTGAATTCTTCAGCCCGAGTGGATGCAGCAGGGTCCAGAATACAGGGTATTGGGGCTCCTATGCAAGAGCAGACTCTGCTCCATGCAGTCATTCAAGACCCAAGTTTCTTCTATGCTGTGGCTGTGTCGAGTTAACAAATGCTTCAAGGATACCCTGGCATAGTGAGCAGATAGGTGGAAGATATCTCTATCTCTAGCTCTATGTCTATCTATCTATATTCGTAATCTATCTGTCTATTTATCTATCTTTCTTGGTATCCCTGAACAGCCTATGATATAGGTAGCACATTCAAATTTTGTTCCATCAAATAAGATCAGTGCACAGGAAGTGCGGGAGCCAGAACCTATTTCTTTCACAGAAAGATAATTCAAATAAAATTATTTTTTTTGAGAGGGAGTCTCGCTGTCTTGCCCAGGCTGGAGAACAATGGCACGACCTCAGCTCACTGCAACCTCCGCCTCCCAGGTTCAAGCAATTCTCCTGCTCCAGCCTTCTGAGTAGCTAGGACTACAGGCATGTGCCACCATGCCCGGATAATTTTTTGTAATTTTAGTAGAGACGAGGTTTCACCATGTTGGCCAGTTTGGTCTCGAACTCCTGACCTCAAGCAATCTGCCCGCCTCGGCCTCCCAAAGTGCCGAATTACAGGCGTGAGCCACCGCGCCCAGCCAAAATGAAACTATTACATGTTGAAACTAGCTACTGATGAGGGGCTGAACCCTGCTGCCTTGTGTTTCTTGTCTCCTCTCTACCACTTTCTAGGCAGCTGATCTTGGTCAAGTTAACGGGGAAAAAGTGGCCTTATCTCCAAGCCTCAGTCTTTTACCTCATCTTCGAGCTCCATCTGTAAAATGGGTAAAAACATTCTCTACTCTGCCTATATCACTGCTTATTGGAGGAATTAGATGACAAAATGGACTTGAAAGATCATCAAAATTTTAAAGCACTGTAGGAATGTAAGTAATATCCGCATCTTTAGTGGAAAAAGCATAAATTCTCCTGAAGGGGAGAGGGACTGTATTTCCTTTCAGATAGGAGCAGTCAACAGAGGTTTCTGCCACTTCAGGGAGGACATGGTTACCTCTCAAAGAATGAAAGGGGAAAACTATGACGCTCTCCCATTAAGAAAAAAATAGTTTAATTAACTTAAGAAAAATGAAATGATTAACTCTAGAAAGTGATGCCAAGATGACTTTTTTCTCTGACTGGTCTGCTATGAGGACTCACATGGACAAACACACACAGGACTGCAGAGTAGGAGCAGATTGTGTCTCTCTCTTCCCTGGATATTGTCAGGCCCCTTGACTGTCTTTTTTCCTTTTGTAGCAAGAAAATTTTGTTATTTTCTTTTTGTTTCTTTTTTTAATTTTTTTCTTTTTGTTTTAACTATGTTTTTCTCTCTCTTTTTGTCTTCTACTTTGAACCCCAAGAAGCTAGCAAGAACATTTTGTTATTTTCTTTTTGTTTCTTTTTTTAAATTTTTTTCTTTCTGTTTTAAATACTTTTTTTCTCTTTCTTTTTTTCCCTGTACTTTGAACCCTAAGAAACTAGAACATTTTGAACCATGATCATCATTTTCTTTTTCCATCTTCTTGCATAAAATCCACCAGAAACATTTTTTTGGCTAAGTAAAGATTTGTACATCATTTTTATGCTTTATTTGCATAGAAAGATGTCTAGCAAGTTGATCACTGTCTCTTAGGTATATCGAATGCATGACCTCATTGGATTTATTTTTTGGGGGATGCAAAAAAGCATCGGAACAGGATCTGTGTTCTAAAAATGCTTGAGTTTGTTTTAATTAGTCATGGTAAACTCACACACGCATGAAGTGATATTATGAAGGAAGAAGCTGAAGCTCACAGATTCCCAGAAGCAGGGGGTGTGGCCGCCACACCAGGCCATGAGGGAATCACCACGATGCGTCAGGAGGCAGCAGCAGGAAGAGGGGAGAGCATGGCCCAGAGCCTTCCTTGGGTTCTCACAGCAAGGAATGGATGAAGCAGGGCAGGTCTCCTAGGTCCCCACGCTTAGAATTGGATACTTGGGATAATTTTGACAGGCTCTGAGCTGTAGGGGTGACCCCTGATTTTTTGGTACATGGCTCTAGGGTGACTTAGGGCAGGCCGGGGAAATATTACTTGGTATGCGCAAGTTTGATAGAGAAGGTAGTTAGGGTATGGGCTCTGGTTCGGTGAGTGTGCTCACAGGGAGCTGCTTGCTAGCTCTAGCAGAATGAGGGGGACGATACACTGAAGGACAGGACATGTGTCCTCATCTTGGTGTCCCTCTATGTAGATGGGAATGTTCTCTGTTCAGGGGCAGGGCCTGAGTTGAAGCCTGTATTTCCCTATTCTCTCAACTGCAATTCAAAACACTGTCTTTTTTTCCTCACTGATCCTGATGGGCAGTCCCTACAGGATCAAGGCACCAAACACCACAGCATCAAGAATATAGAAAATACAGTAGAAAATACAGTCAATGCTGTTTGAGTAATATCATTTCCTCTCCTCAAATGCTTCCTGCAGGAGCCGTTGAAGAAACTTTTTGACCTTTTCATCCTGTGTCATTTTATTGACTTCAGGGCATCAAAAGTTGACTCCAGGCTTTGCTAGTCACTCATCCACTCTCCTCATCATTTATCAGGTGTTCCCCAAGCCCCTGTGATGTGCAGGGACGATGCAAGGGACCCTGGGATGGAGAAGCCCACCCCTGCCTTCCAGGGTTGGGGTGACAGAGAAATCTACAGTTACCAAATTGCCAGGTAGGTGCTTAAAGGGATATGAACAAGTTGATCAGGGTGGGCCGTAGAAGTGACACTGAGCTACATTCTGAGGGATGTGGGGCCGAGGGAGGGGTGAGGTTTGGAAACAGAATGAGGGACTAATGCACTGAAGGGTGGGGTATGTGTTCCCATCTTGGTGTCCATATATGCAGTACATGGGATTTTCTCTGTCCAGGGATGAGGTCTGGGTTGAAGCTTTTATTTCCCTATTCTCTCCATTGCAATTCAAAACGCTGCCTTTTTTTCTCATTGATTGAAAAAAAACAAACATTTTTTTGAGGTCTATCATGTATCAGCAATTGCCTTAGCCATGTGGAATTCAGGAATGGCCAAGAAAGTCAGGGCCCCTGCCCTCAGGGAGCTTACATTTTGGTGAGAGAGAGCAGCAACCAACCGACAAAGGAGTCTCTGCCTTTATGGGTGAAGAGTGAACAATTAAACAAGTGTCTACTATAAGCAATTAAACACAGCATCCAATGTTAGGTAGCCACCCATGCTGCCAAGAAAAACAAAGCTGGCCAAGGAAACAAAGAGGGAGGAGGATGAGAGCTCCAGAAAGTAAAGTAGCATGGGGGCGATGCGTTCATCCCAGATGATCAGGAAAGGTGTTGATGAGGTCTGAGTGGCAAGGAGGAGCCGGGCGCAGGGAGCTGCGGGCAACAACCACCTGCAGAGGAGAAGGTGAGTGCAAGGGAGAGGACGTGCTCCTTGTCTGTGTACCACGAAATGTCACGAGGGAGTAATGAGCAAGGAAATGGCGTAATCTCTGATTTACATCTCAGAAAACTCACCTTGATAGAAATAGAAGACACTGGGGGCTCTGAAGAGCAGGGGAGACTGGGAAGCGAGGGAGTGAGGGTTGAAAATGTATCTATCAGGTACAATGTGCACCTTTTGGATAATGGGAACAGTAGAAGCCCAATCCCCACCAGCACACAATATTCCCATGTAACAAACATGCACGTGTACCCTCTGAATCCAAACTAAAATAATTTTTTAAAGAAAAATCACTTTGGTTGCTGAGTGGCGAAAGGGTTAAAGAGGAGAAAGGACAGAAGTGGGGTGACCGATTGGGAGGCACCACAGTGAGCAGGGAAGGAGGATGCACGCGTACAGAACATCCTGGGGAAAGGAAGGCGGCATCCCAAGAGTAGGGAAATCACAACAAGCTCACATCTGCAAGCAGCATGGCCCAGTGTGCAGATCCCCACTCCACAGCTCCTATTACACTATCTCTTCCAAGGCTTCCTTTCTCTGGCCTTTGCCTCAGGGCCAGTAGGCTTGGGCAAGTGACCCACATTCAGTGGCTGATGTTCAGTGGCCCATGCGCAGATCCACACTCAGCTACTTAGTGTAGAAAAAGTCACTTAAAACTTTCTCAGTCTCATTATCTTTATCTGTAAAATTTAAGGTAGTTCTTATCTCTGGGTGTTGTTACAAGGAAGAATTGAGATACTATCTCAATTCTTTGAAATCGAATCCTATGAACATAAGAGATGGTTTGAAAAACCAGATCTGCTCTGTAGTCCAGCCTCTGGTTGAGGCAAAGCCCAAATCATTAACTTGAGGCCCATTTGATTCCTTGGAGGAATTCTTCCTGTCTAGACCCCAGGTCTTGAGATTATTGCACCCTAGGACAAGCTAGGTTGCTACTCCTAAAGGAAGGCTGGTGGCCAGGCTTCCATCGCATGCAAACGTGGTCCAAGTCATTTTATCCCATTCACCTTGGCTGTGGAGAAATCAGGAAATCAGTCATGCTGGGATTGATTAAGGATGTCGGCTACACACGAGGATAGAAAATGCTCCAGAGCAAAAGTCTGTCCTCCCTCCAAGCATTCACAGGGCAGGTTGGCACATGACGCCAAAAGAAAATAGTTGCTTTTCCTACTTATGTTTTGCTGAGAACCTCACATGGACATTTCATTCCTATAACTTTCATGTTGGCCTGCTCCAAAGAAATTAACTATTCAGTTAGAACAATAGTGTCCCCTACAACTGGGGTTTGGTTTAGCTCCTTCCTGAATGGAAACTTCCTTCATTTTCTCTAAGCCCACTTGTTCAATGTGTAATGCTGGGTACGATGTCCTCACCAATGTCCACACAGCGAGTTTCGAAGGCTGGTTGTCATCATGTCACTCAATGTAGACTCACAGTTCAGTTCATTAAAAACATATACATATATCAAAGAAGAAAACTCATGTTGTCAGCACATGTGGTGGCTCATGCCTGTAATCCCAGCACTTTGGGAGGCCAAGGCGGGCAGATTGCTTGAGCTCAGGAGCTCAAGACCAGCCCAGGCAGCATGGTGAAACCTGTCTCTCCAAAAAAAAAAAAAAAACAAAAATTAGCTAAGTGTGGTAACACACACCTGTACTCTCACTACTCAGGAGGCTGAGGTAGAAGAATGGCTTGAGCCCAGGAGATTGAGGTTACAGTGAGCCATGATCGTGCCACTGCAGTCCAGCCTGGCTGACACAGCAAGACCCTGTCTCAACAAAACAAAACAAAACAAAACAAAACAAAACAAAGCAAAACAAAACAAAAAACGAATGTCTTAATGTCTCCCTGTAGGTTCCCCTGTCAATCTGGCTTAATCGGGGGATTTTAAAAAAATATTTAAAGAGGTTTATTCTGAGCCAGATATGAGTGGCCAAGGCCCCCGACACAGCCCCAGGAGATCCTTAGAACATGTGCCAGAAGTGGTTGGGTTACATCTTTATCTTATACATTTTAAGGGAACAGAAGTTACAGGCAGACATTCATCAATACATGTAAGATGTATATTGGTTTGGACCAGAAAGGGGGGACAGCTCGAACTGGGGGCTTCCAGGTCACAGGCTGATTGAAAGATTTTCTGATTGGCAATTGGTTGAAAGAGTTATTATCTAAAGACCTGGAATCAAAGAAAAGAGTGTCTGGATTAAGATAATGCGTTGTAGAGACCAAGGTTCTAATTGTACAGATGAAGCCTCCAGGGAGGCTTCAGGGAGATTAGACGGTAAATGTCTCTAATCAGACCTAAGAAGGTGTCAGACCCTCAGTTAATCTCTCCTGGTGGTTCCATCGTGTAAAGGTGGGCACCCTGGGCTCTGAACCCAGGCGTAATTTTTAAAGCACCAAAAGAACGAAGCATCCTCTACACAGAACGTGTCTCCTGCTGCAACTGTGGTAAGTGCTGTGGGGAGGGCATTGACAGGAACATCCCAGCAGATGCCTGGGATACAGACGCTCTATGTTCTCATTGAAATGCCGCCTGGTTTCTTTTTACCACAGTTCAACTGGAAATGACGTGCTTTTGTGAAAGGCTGTCATCCTCTGGAGAAAGTTGAGGCATCTTAGGAGGCCACATCCCTCCACAGAAGGCCAGCACACTACCATTTGGAGGAGTGCTAAGAATGCATTTATGGACAAGGTCACAAGTCTCCCCAGAAAGAAATGGTGGAGCCACTTTAACACACAAAGGGCTGTGTAGTGTTTGTGTGGCTTTGCTTCTCTGAGCCTCAGTTCCTTTCCTCGGGACGCTGTGACTGGAGAGGTCTGTGATTCTAAGGCATGGCCTCTCCCTCAAAAAACTTACAATCTCATATCAAATTCATACCAAACCGAACAAAGGCAAAATAAGGCAAAACCATAAACCATCCAGGGCCGAGGTACATGTCAACAACAGATAAAAAGCCATTTTAGGGGAAAATAAAACAGCTGGTAATGGTGATATTTTTACTAAACCTCATAAGATAGGAGGAATTTGGTAAGGCAGAGAGGTAAAGAGAGAAGTGATTAGAGCAGCACTCTCTACCTTCTCACCTGACAGGGGATTGCTGCGTAAGTGAATCTGCATCCATTCATTCATTCATTCATTTCTTCAACAAATATGTCTTGAGCATCTCTGCTGTGCTAGGCCTGTTTCTCCAAGCTGGGGACACAGCAGGAAAACAAAGGCGTTAAGCCCCCTGAATGCGCTGGGCTTACATTTTCCTGGACTGATAAACATATAAGAAAGTAAAAGATGCATCTGCCCAGGCAGCAAGGCCAGCCGGCTCCCTGCTAAGAGGCTCTTCCCTTTTACCTCTGATGCAGGTTTTACCCCAGGAGCTGCCTCCTCCCTCTGACCCTACTTCAGTGACTCACCCTTTTCATTTGGGAACTTACACTTCCCCTGCCTAGGGTTTTAGCACGGATCCCATCAGGGAGGCATTCAGACTGGCGACCCCATGTGAAAAAGAACAATCTAAGTAGCGGCTGACACTCTGTGTTCAGAACCTGCCTGCAAATCCAACACCGGCCCAGCATGGTTGGCCCAAGCGTGTGGTCTTCACATTCTCTTAACTGAGCATGGGTTCTTTGGCCGTGGAGCAACTCAAGCTCTCTGCCACCTACGCAGACTCCACGACACATGTAAGTCTGCAGGGAGACCACAGCTTATGCTGTCACTCTGGGTCCCCTGTCATATGCAGTCACCTCAAGCAGAAAAGGCTTAACGTAAAGACATTCCCATCCTGATCCCTTAATTTCTCATGCAGATATACCAAGCACTAGCTTCCAGGCGGCAGCCCTTCCACTGCCAGATTTCATGACTCTCTCATGGAGTTTGCTCCTGGATTTTCCTCCAACGTGGCTATGGCTCAGTTCCCACTCCTCCTGGCTCGTGATCAGCAGACATACCAGGCTAAGCCATCAGCACAAGGCAATAGGCCACTCAGGTGTGTCGCCTGTCCCCAGACCAGAGCGTCCGCCAGGGGACATCTGGCTCCAGCAGGCCTCTTTCCATTTTCCACTTTAACTGTAGTGGAAGTAATGACCCCTGACATCCAGCAAGTGCTTATTGCTTCCATGTTTTAATTAATGCACTACACATATTATCTCATTTATTTTTCAGAACAATTCTATGATATAGGCACCAGGATTATTTCATTTTATAGATGGAAAAAGCTGAGTCATGGATATTAAATAGGTTAATTGCCCATGATCGCATGTCTTGAGAATGGTTGAGCTGGTGTTCAAAACTGGGCCTGTCTGTTTCTAAGGCCTTGTTTGCCATGAGACACAACCTTGTTTGAGTATAACCTGCTGGAAATCTGTTGACTTTAAGGATTCCCAGAGCTGAACAAAGGAAGAAGTTCCCTTGCCAAATACACTTCCTTTCTTCAAAACAGAAAACAAACACATGAAGTCATCCTTCCAGGTAACACATTTATATCAACCAGCAGATCTTGATGAGCTGGTTGGGAAGAATTTGAGATGACTCCGTCTTCACCTTTCAGCCTTGTGGTACCTGGGTTTTCATTTTTCTCTGTCAGTTGGCCCTAAAGCCTGGAAAAGGGCCCTCCCTCTCCAGAGTCACTGGAAATAATAATGCTAAGAGGAGATTTGATCAGCAATTCCACGTGTCAGTAAAAGGGACCCACGTTCCACTGACCCTCAAACCAGCAACTGAATTTTGTTGATTAACTATTACTGGGTGTCTATTTGGAAACAAGCACTCTTCTAGGTTCTGGGAATAAAACAGTGAACAAAATACATTTTTAAAAATCTCCAGCAACCTAGATCATTACAACAGCCACTCAGCTTGTCTCATTGGATCTTCCTTGCCCTCGTTCCAATCTACTTCCTCCACATCTTTTTAAAATGAAAAGGAATTAGACCAGGTGCAGTGTCTCATGCCTATAATCCCAGCACTTTGGGAGGCTAAGGTGGGAGGATCACTTGAGTTCAAGAGTTCAAGACCAGCCTGCGCAACAGAGTGAGACCTCATCTCAACAAAAAAATAAACAAACAGCTGGATATAGTCCCAGCTACTCTAGGGGCTGAGGTGGGAGGTCAAGACTGGAGTGTGCTGTGATTGCACCACTGCACTGCAGCCTGGGTGACACAGCAAGATTCTGTCTCAAAAAAAAGAAAAAAATGGCTGGGTGTGGTGGCACAAGCCTGGAGGCCCACCTGCTCAGGAGGCTGAGGTAGGAGTATTGCTCCAACTAGAGAGGTCTAGACTGCAGTGAGCTATGACTGTGCCACTGCATACCAGTATGGGCAACAGAGCAAGACCTTGTCTCTAGAAAAAAAAAGAAAAATGAAAACGATTTCTTCACATCGTTCTCAATACCTTCGATGACATCCCATTGTCCTCAAGAAGCATCCTGAAGTCCTGTAAATGGCTTATCAAAAAGGCAGCTGTGAAGTGGCTCCGTCACACGTTGTGCCACATGCATGCGTCTAGGCGGACCTAGGTCTGGATCATCCTGTCTGTTCCGTTTATTCTGCCACCTTTACCCAGCCAAGCGCTGCTGAAATAATCACACAGCCCTATGCACATGGCCTTCAGTATTGAAGGAAAGGCAAATGCAGAGACGTGGGGGCCCATTTCCTCCCCATTATGCAGCTTAGAGAGGGCCGGCCCTGCACACCTGAGTCAGCTCGGTGGCAGATCAGGGTGTGCCAGTCCCTGCCACCGAGATGTCCCCTTTCTAAGAGAGCCACTTCTCTGAGCAGGGAGCATCACTCTCTATGACATTTAGTTGTTCCTTGACCTAACCTCTAGTCCATCCCTGAAATAGTGATCACTACGGAGGACAAGGCCTCTCTCTGTGGACTGCCTACCAAGATCCTCGCAGGCCACCTATGCTGAGCCACACCATGCAGTCCCGAGAGTTCCAGGGAGCCAACGGGCTCCACCACGGCTGTTGGTAAGTCTGCAACCTCTGATGCCCTCTCTTCTCTCCCCGACGTGTGCCTGTGAAGAACGTGGTGAGGACCTGCAACATTTTTGCTGAACGCTATTTCCTTTTTATTTATTTGTTAACTTTTCTTTTTGAGACAGGGTCTTGCTATGCTGCCCAGGCTGGTCTCGAACTCCTGGGCTCAAGCAATCCTCCTGCCTTGGCCTTCCAAAGTGCTGGGATTAGAGGCATGAGCTGCCACAACCAGCCACTCAACATTTCTCATGATCTTGTTCAAATCTACTTCCTGATGTGTGTTTAAATTCCATCAGGACCAGGGACCTCTCTGACTTATCCCCTATATTCTCCGAGCCTAGCACAGAACCTGGCATACAACAAACGACCAACAGCTGTTTCCTGAAGGAAAGGTGCTCCTATGATAACTCATCATGCTTTGGTTGTTGGTGTGTCTTTTTCCTCAACTAAACTATGTTCTGAAATGGTCGAAACAGTATTTTATTTATGGTTGTAATTCCACACCCTAATGGCATACTTGCAGCACACTTGCTCAATAAATGCCAAATGAATGAATAAAGGAATGAATTAATGCCGTCCCTCCCCCTCTCTGGGCCTCCTCTGCAAAATGATCAGGTAGAGGAGAGGACCTCTTTCATGGCGCTGCTTCTATTGCTCTATGATATCAGCATTGCACAGGCAGCCGTGTTTCTGAGTCTCTGAAAGTTGGAGTCCACCACAGAGAGCTGCATAAAATGTTTGCTCAAATGGAAGGATAGACAGAGGAGATAGTTGGGAATTCTAGCTAGAGTGTGTCTTTCTAAAAATTTTGAAGTCATATGCCAAAGTCAAAATTTGTAAAGCTTTGGTTGAGTGGTACAATGAATAATAACCAAACGCTAAGTTTCCAGATTCTGTTTCTTGCAAATTAGTTTTGTTAAAGAGGTTGGCTAAGAAAGTGGCTTTTAGGCCAGGCACAGTAGCTCACGCTTATAATCCCAGCACTTTGGGAGGACGAGGGGGGCAGATCACCTGAGGTCAGGAGTTCGAGACCAGTCTGGCCAACATGGTGAAACCCCATCTCTACTAAAAATACAAAAAAAATTACCTGGGCATAGTGGCGTGTGCCTGTAATCCCAGCACTTCAGGAGGCTGAGGCGGGTGGTTCATGAGGTCAAGAGATCAACACCATCCTGGCCAACATGGTGAAACCCCATCTCTACTAAAAATACAAAAATTAGCAGAGCCCAAGTGGTGGCAGGCGCCTGTAGTCTCAGCTCCTTGGGAGGCTGAGGCAGGAGAATCACTTGAACTGGGGAGGCAGAGGTTGCAGTGAGCCGAGATCATGCGGCTGCACTCTGGCCTGGTGACAGAGCAAGACTCCGTCTAACAAAAAAAAGAAAAAGAAAAGAAAAACAAAGTGGTTTTTAAACTACATTTCAAGTTCCCAGAAGTCTTTTTGGTAGGGAGAGATGAAGTTGAAGTTTCCATATAATATAGATATAGTGGCCACAGAAACCTGTGTTTAACTACAACCATTATATTTAATATGTATTTTATGTATGTTTATAAGCAATTTAAAAATATTTCAAGTTTATAACATAAAACAAACATACATAAAATACTTTTAATTATCTCATTTTTCAAAAATAATAATAAGGGTGTGTACATGTTATAGTATTGCCGAACTGCCAACAGTTTGTGAGCGTCAAAATAACATTTTTTCTTTGAATTTGATTACTTCTCAGATTTCCATTCTTTTTAAAAAATTTTTAAAAAATGGATGTTTTTGCTGTCAAGATTTGTAAGCACCTTAAGAAATTGTTTTGACCTGACCAAACATTGTTCCAGAGGCAGAAGCAAGAACTCAGCCATCCACGAGTTGCACTCTTGGTCATGTCTTCCTATTCCTTGAAACACTGGTGCTCTGTGAGACCTCTCAGATGTGCCATGAGAATTTAGAAAAAAAATCCCAAATTGTACCAAAAATATTTAAATAATAACCGTCATGACAATATTATTTCTAGCTCTCATGAAATTTATCTCTTTAGTTATTTTGACATGGTGCTATTCAGATTTGGGGTTCTGAAATTAAATGAGAAAATACAGTCAAAGCACCCAGAATCCTAGTGGCCCCTGGTGCTCCCCACTTCTCTCCTCCACTGGTGTCCCTCCCATGGTAGAATCACTTTTAGTGGCTTCTTCACTGAAAAAGATAACTGAAGTCAAATGTTCACCCTCTCCACCACTCCCTTAAAAGATCCTGCCGTGGAAAAGATTCTGCCAGGGATCCAGGGCGCCATGGATCCTTTCATGGCACCTTTGGGATTTGGCATTTTGCAAGCTCTGGGAGGGTTTGCAGGGAATTGGTGATGTTGTGATAACAGAGGCCTGAGAAGAAGGGGTATTAGACTTCTACAGGACCCCTCTCTTCTGTGCTCATGGGTGGGTGGATGACTGGAATCGAACAGGACCACACAGTGAGTGGGCTCCAGCGGCATGCATAGCTCAACCCAGCTGTGGGTCAAGAATTACTTTAGTTGTACCGTTAAGCTGAACATGGAACTACAGCCACACTCATTCTGTGCTTATTTACTGAGCAGCTACTATGCGAAAAGTGGCCAGAGTGCAAGAACTATAAGAAATATGGCCTGGTCCCTGCTGTTTAGGAGCTCCCACTTTTCCATGTATCTGCATAGAAAGCTTTCTATTAGTTGGTGCAAACATAATTGCAGTTTTTGTATTGTGGAAATTTGCTAATTGACATTGGAATAGCTTCCTAAATAAATGTGGTTATATTATACATTTCAATGCACATTTCTCACTTTTTTTGGCTAACGGCTTGTTACTTGCTATTTATTTTATATTTATTTTGGACTATGGAAATGATGTTAGACAAAAAGCAAATTTGAGCAATTTTCTTATTTGAGTTCAAAATGCGTCATAAAGCAGCAGAGACAACTTGCAACATCAACAACGCATTTGGTCCAGGAACTGCTAATGAACACACAGTACAGTGGGGGTTCAGATGAGAAGCGTAGTGGCCGGCCACGGGAAATTGACCACGACCAGTTCAGAGCAATCATCGAGGCTGATCCTCTTACAACTACCCAAGAAGTTGCCAAACAACTCAACGTCGACCATTCTACGGTCATTCGGCATCTGAAGCAAATTGGAAAGGTGAAAAAGCTCAATAAGTGGGTGCCTCATGAGCCAAACACAAATTTAAAAAACAAAATCATCATTTTGAAGTGTCATCTTCTCTTATTCTGCACAACAACGACAATCCATTTCTTGATCAGATTGTGACATGCGATGAAAAGTGGATTTTATACGATAAGCGGTGGAGACCAACTGAGTGGCTGGACTGAGAAGAAGCTCCAAAGCATTTCCCAAAGCCAAACTCGCACCAAAAATAGGTCATAGTCACTGTTTGGTGGTCTGGTCTGCGCAGGTCTGATCCATTATAGCTTTCTGAATCCCTGAGAAACCATTACATCTGAGAAGTATGCTCAGCAAATCCGCGAGATGCATCGAACACAGCAATGCCTGTAGCTGGCGCTGGTCAACAGAAAGGGCCCAATTCTCTCCTCGACAATGCCCGACCCCAAGTTGCACGATCCATGCTCCAAAACTTGAACGAATTGGGCTATGACGTTTTGCCTCATGCACCATATTCACCTGAACCTCTTGCCAACCAACTACATCTTCAAGCATCTGGACAACTTTTTGCAGGGAATACACTTCCGCAACCAGCAGGATGCAGAAAAATGCTTTCCAACAGTTACTCAAATCCTGAAACACAAATTTTTACACTACAGGAATAAACAAACTTATTTCTTGTTGGCAAAAATGTGTTGATTGTAATGGTTCCTATTTTGACTAATAAAAATGTATTTGAGCCTAGTTATAATTTTTTAAAATTCACAGTCTGAAACCGCAATTGCTTTTGCACCAAACTAATATGAACATGAGGTCTCCCCAGCTCCTGGGCTGAGTACACACACCCTGTCAGAGGAAGACGTGAAGTGGATTCCATCACAACTGCCACACGCCTGGGCCCGGTGGAGCCAGTCAACCCAAACTTGTATTCAGTGCAGCATTTTCCCACATTTTGCCATCTGGTCTTATGCAAAACAGGTGTTGTTCTGCAGCTACAGAAAATGTGACCCGGGCACTTTGGTTATATACTCCCAGTTACTTGTCTAATAATTAGCCATGCTGGAATTCACAGTCGCAGACACTAAAGCCTGGGATTCTTGCAATGCTACAGCCATGAGCCTAGCCACACAGAAGGCACTGGGCCTTAGCCCATTTGACCTCCACAGCAACAGTCCTATAAGGCCACTGTCACCCTATCTCCCAGGATGAGACAGAGACTCAGGGAGGCAAGTACTTGCACTCTACCTGTCCAGCTCGCATACGCCACTGGGCTAGAATTCACCTTACAGCTCTGCCCTTATGCACATCAGGGAGGAGGAAGGCAGCCTTTACACGCCACAGACTTACAGACACCATTTATAGACATTTCAGGCAGCACAGAGTGGAAGCCAGGAGGGCTTGATAGGCTTGCAGTGAGAACAGTCATCTCTGTGCCCCAGGCTGCACTCATGCCCTCAGTTCACACCAGTCCTTGGAGCGCCTACGCTGGTGACTGGGGCTGAGGGATGGTGGATGGAGGGCATGCTGGGTCAGAAAGAATCGTGGGGGGGCTTCATCCAGCCTGTCCTTTCTCTTCCCCCATCCTTTCTCTTCCCCCTGTCCTTTCTCTTCCCCCTGGGTCCCTGCTGCCCCTGGGCTCCTTCCCAGCCTGTGCCTCATCTGGGATGTGTCCTCTGAGGCAGCAACTGCCCTTGACCTTATTGTTACCTACCCTCTAGGCTCCTCTCCCAGCTTTTGCGTTTGGGTGGAGGATGTGGCCAGCAGACACCGTGATGCCTGCGTGTCTGGGCAAAACAGGGGAAGAGAGGAAATACCAGCCGGCTCAGCCTGTGTGTGTATGTGCACCCGTGGGTCAGCATGTGCATGTGTGTGTCTGTATGTGTGTGTCTCTGTGTGTCTGTGTGTGTGTCTGTGCGTGTGTGTCTGTGTGTCTCTGTGTGTCTGTGTGTATCTGTGTGTATGTGTGTCTGTGCATGTGTGTGTCTATGTATCTGTGTGTGCCTGTGTGTGTGTGTCTGCATGTGTGTCTGTGCATGTGTGTCTGTGTCTGTATGTGTGTGTGTCTGTGTGCTTATGTGTCTGTGTGTGTGTCTGTGTGTGTCTGTATGTGTGGGTGCGTCTGTATGTGTGAGTGTGTCTACGTGTGTGTGTGTGTATGTGTGGCTGTGTGTGTCTGTGCGCGTGCGTGTATACAATATTGGTGGCTCCCTCTCTAGAGAGGCCTTCTCAGACTGCCTCCTCTTAAACTAACCTCTTCATCCACTTATCCTGATTAATTTTTTACACACTTTCCCCTGCCTGACACCATATTTTACACACACACACACACACACACAGAGTTTATGGGTCTGTTGTCCGTCTTTTCCACTGGGTTAACCTATTCTAGTAAAACAGAAGTTCTAGGAGGGAAGGAACCTTGCTTGTCCTGTGACTCCATGTGATTGGCATCAGGACAGAGCCCCTGCAAGTGGAGCCAGGAAACAGGGAGGGCGGGCGCAGGGGAAGTGTCGTCCTCCAGGCTGCAGACCAAGGTCACAGAAGCCTCCCCACCCATGGCTGAGGCCTGTTGCCGAGAAGGCTAAGAAACCTCCACCAATCTCCAAGAATGGTGGCCTGCACTTCACCAAAACTGTCCAAATCCCTCACGAGTTCCCCACAGTAGTGAACCCTGACTCAGGCCCACACGTGGGAGGGACAAGAGTGTTGCTGCTGAGGGCACAGCCAGCTGGGAGACAGGAGGCTCCCAGATGCACAGCAAGCAGTCAATCAACATCCATGAATAAATGGGCAAACTAATAAGGAACCCATTGATATTTAGACTGATTCAAATGCACTAGAAAGGGCCAGGCGCAGTGGCTCACGCCTGTAATCCCAGCACTTTGGGAGGCCAAGGTAGGCTGATCATTTGAGGTCAGGAGTTCGAGACCAGCCTGGCCAACATGGTGAAACCCCATCTCTACTACAAATGCAAAAATTAATCAGCTGTGGGGGCGCATGCCTGTAGTCCCAGCTACTCAGGAGGCTGAGGCACCAGAATCGCTTGACCCCAGAGGGCAGAAGTTGCCGTGAGCCAAGATCATGCCACTGCACTCCAGCCTGGGCAACAGAGTGAGACTTGGTCTCAAACAAAAAAGAATGCATTAAAAAATTTCAAGACTCTGATTTTCAACAACTAATAATCTTGTTCATCTATTTAAGAATATTGCACGGCATATTTATTTAACCTGTGAAAGGAAAATCAATCTCGGGACCACCAAATCACTAAGCCAAGGGGAAAATTCAAGCAGGGAACTGCGATAGGCAAACCTGCCTCCCATTTTATTCCTAGATAAGATAGCTGCAAAGATTTAAAAAGCTACACACCTCCCTCACAATTTTCCCACAAGGAAATTCCTTGTGGGCCTCAAGATTTTTCCCCTAGAACAGTTCTGCTGAATTTTACCCTGACAGTGTAAACTGATAGCTTACCTTCCCAGGTGTGGGACAGAAAGTCATCCCTCTGCTCACCTGAGGCAAATGCACATCTGATTGCTTCCTCTGCCCTTTTGTTGATGGAGAATGCAGATTCACTGAGCCAGACTAAGACATAAGTGACTATTCCCCTATCCCACTCTCACATATATATTGTATATTCACTGAAAGGCTGAGCAAAAACTCAAAAGAACGCAAACTTTGGGCTCCTATCTACCTATGACGTGGAAGCCCCCGCCTTGAGTTGTCCCAACTTTACAGACCAAACCAATGTACAGCTTACACATATTGATTTGTCTCATATCTCCCTAAAATGTTTAAAAAGCAAGGCGTCCCCTGACCACCTTGGGCACATGTCATCAGGACCTCCTGAGGCCGTGTCACGGGCAAGTCTTTAACCTTGGCAAAATAAACTTTCCAAATTGATTGAGACCCGTCTCTAATACTTTGGGTTCACAAAACAAAAGCTCATTGTTGCCACGGTTTGCGCAATTTCTCAGCAGCCAGCGCAATGAGACACATGGGTTCTGTCATCAGTTTTATTTGTGAAACCTGGCTGTGGTTCCTACCTTCAAAAGTAGAGCAGGGATGGCTTTCACTTAACCTCCACCAGCTTTTATCTCATCCGGCTGTGGGCAGACCTTGTTTACTGTCCCTGCCACCTGTGGCTTCAGTGGCTCGTAGGCAGGAACCAAACCTTTGAATCCCTAAAATCCCAGCCCCATGCACATCCCGGCACAGAGGATAGGCTCCGTGACTGTTTGCCAAATGAGTAAAAGGAAAGGAATCTGTGCACCGTGTGCCCTGTTACTAACCATCTCAGATCAGAGCAAATCTATGATAGACTCCATTATTTCTACTAATTATGCATTAGAATATGCTCTCCCGGAACCAAGGCACACCATGGTGCAGAGATGATTTGTTGACAACCCAGTGCCCAAAATACTCTATTGAGCAGGTACCCAGTTTAAAAGGTAATAATTTATACTAACATTTTAGGTGAATTAAGAATGCATTCATCTATTAGAGATATAGTCTGATAGGCTGGGAAGGGCATGGGCTTTGGAATCCAAAGCCAAGTCTGGATCCTGACTTCACTCTTTTCCTAGCTGGCCCTGGAAAGGTTGTTTTGTATTTCACTAATATCTCCAAACTGCCTGTCTATATTTGGGCATTACGGTCTGCTTTGCTGGGTTGTTGTAAGAATGAAATATGATGCCTGCAAACTATATGTTATAGCATTTATTGATGAGGATGTAGAGAAATCAGAACCCTTGCACACTATGGGTGAGAATATAAAATGGTGCAGCTGCTATGGAAAACATCATGGTGGTTCCTTAAAAATTAAACATAGATTTACTATATGATCCAGTCCATTCTCACATTGCTATGAAGAAATACCTGAGACTGAGACTGGGTAATTTATAAAGAAAGAGGTTTAATTGACTCACTGTTCCACAGGCTGTACGGGAAGCATGGCTGGGGAGGCCTCAGAAAACTTACAATCATGGCAGAAGGCAAAGGGGAAGCAGGCACATCTCACATGCCAGAGCAGGAGCAAGAGAGAGCAGAAGAAGGGAGAGGCCATGCATTTTTAAACAACCGGATATTGTGAGAACTCACTCACTATCATGAGAACAGCATGGGGGAAATCCGCCCCCATGATCCAATCACCTCCCAGCAGGTTTCTGCCCCAACACAGGGGATTACAATTCAACATGAGATTTGGGTGGGGACACACAGCCAAACCATATCCATACCCAAAACAAGTGAAAGCAGAGATACAAACAGATATTTGTACATTCATGTCTACAGCAACATTATTCGCAATGGCCAGAGGGTGGAAGCAACCCAAGTGTCCATGGACTGCAGAATGGATGAACAGAATGGGTCGTCCACAGGCAATGGAACATTATTCAGCCTTAGAAAGGAAGGAAATTCTGACACGTGCTACTCCATGAATGAACCTTGAAAACATTACGCTAGGTGAAATAAGTCCAGTCACAAAAGGACAAATACTGTATGATTCCACTCATATGAGGTACCTAGAGTAGCTGAATTCATACAGATGGAAAGTAGAATGGGGGTTACCAGGGAAATGGAGAGTTGGTGTTTCATGGGTACAGAGTTTCCACTGGGAGAGATTTTAAAATATCTAGAGATGGATAGTGGTGGTGGTTGCATAACAATACAAATATAGTTAGTGCCACAGAACTGCACACTTAAAAATGGTTATAATGGTGAATTTTATGTTATATAGATTTTTCCATAATTAAAAAAAAAAAACAACGTAGCCTTTTCACAAGATGGCGCCGAAAGCAAAGATGGAAGCTCCTGCCCCTCCTGAAGCGGAAGCCAAAGTGAAGGCTTTGAAGGCCAAGAAGGTAGTGTTGAAAGGCGTCCACAGCCACAAAAAAAAAAGAAGATCCGCACGTCACCCACTTTCCGATAACACTGCGACTCCGGAGGCAGCCCAAATATCCTCGAGACAGCGCCCCCCGAAGAACAAGCACCCAGATATCCTCGAGAGAGCTCCCCCTGGAGAACAAGCAGCCCAGATATCCTCGAGAGAGCTCCCCCCCACCGGGAGAACAAGCGCCAAAATATCCTCGGGAGAGCGTCTCCTGGAGAACAAGCTTGACCACTATGCTATCATCGAGTTGCCGCTGACCACTGAGTCGGCCGTGAAGAAGACAGAAGACAACAACACACTTCTGTTTATTGTGGATGTTAAAGCCAACAAGCACCAGATCAAACAGGCTGTGAAGAAGCTCTATGACATGGATGTGGCCAAGGTCAACTCCCTGATTCGGCCTGATGGAGAGAAGAAGGCATATGTTTGACTGGATCCTGATTACAATGCTTTGGGTGTTGCCAACAAAATTGAGATCATCTAAAAAGCTGGCCAATTCTAAATATACATATATAATACATATAATACATAATATAATATATATTATATATATAATATAATATATATAATATATAATATAATATATATAATATATAATATAATATATATAATATATAATATAATATATATAATATATAATATAATATATATAATATATAATATAATATATATAATATATAATATAATATATATAATATATAATATATAATATATACATACATGTAATATAATATGTAACATATGTGATATATATCATATATGTGTGTGTGTATGTGTATGTGTACATATACACATATATGATATATGTTATATATGTGTATATATACATATATATGTGTGTATATATACATATACATACATATATATGTATATTACCAGAAAAAAGTATATGGCACAAGAAATAAATGTTTGCTTTTATTTGTCTGTTTGTGAGGGTCAGATCTTAAGAAAAGCTTACAGAAGTCAAGAGTGATGGTGATGCCACAACTGGAAAGATTGGGCCCATGGAGTTTCTTGCCCCAGTGAGGGTGCTGCTGCTTTCCAGCAAGGCTGTTTTCAAGCCGGAAACCTGAGCCTTTGTTCAAAGCCTGTCATCTCTCCAGTGTCCTGAGCAGACCACCGGGAAGGTGCAGTGGAGATGGTTTCGGGGAGGGTTGGAGTCATGGCTGTAGAGTACAGCCAGGGGTACCACTGGCTCACAAGTCCTTTCTCTCTATGACAGAAACCAAACTGCTGGTTGTGTGTCTAGAGACAAACCTGGGAACCTGTGAAAATTTGAAAGCATTGAGCAACCCCTACCAAGAGCATTCCCTCAGTCCCTGACACCAAAACACCTGGCATCCCAGGTGAAGGCCTAGCTCAGCTGCCATCTCCAGGAGGAAACGGAGGTCTCACCACAGCAGCACACTTGCTATCCTATCCCTCCAAGACGCAGCAGCGCAACTGCTCCATCCAGTGCCTTCATTTCACTGCATCACTGGCTAGTGGAGTCACTGTTTAATATATGAATGTTAGCAAATTCCACGATCACACAAATGAAAATATCTACACCTGGTATTTGCATTTGATATATAAACATGTTTGTTGTATGATGAGAATGACAGATATCCTAGCCCAGGGTGGTATCCAACAAGTCCTATGATTCACAGCAGCTCCAGTGCTCTGAGCATGGGATAAATACTCAACCAGGGGTACACAGCAGGCCTAGAATAGGTGGAAGGGCAGTCGACCCCAGCTCAGGGACATTGCTGGGAGCCCAGGGTGGCCCACACAAGTACAGGGAGTAGGAATCCAAAGATGATTGAGATGAAGTGCCCACCTTCAAGGAGTGTGAGCCTCCAGGTGCCTACAAAAACAGCAAAAACAGTAAGGCCCACCATCGCTGGCTGGGTGACAGGCACTATCCTGATTTCATAACAACATTTAATCCTTGCAACAATATTTTGCAGTAGATACTGGTTATTGTCACCACCTCACAAATGGGGAAACTGAGGCACAGAGCATTAGGTAACTCCCCTAACACCACCCAGTTCCTCACAGTGGGTAACCGGGGTTTTAGCCTCCTGAGTCTGCAGGTCTGCCATGCTGTAGGGTGCAGCCTAGTCCCATAACCCAAGCCAGGAGGTGAGGAAGGTTTCCAGGCTGCATGAAACTCTCCTGGAGGGAGCTGATCCCATTCTGGATCGTAGATTCCAAAGGAGGAAGGTAAAAACCTTAGAACTCATGAGGGCCACACTCATACTTAATAAACGAGGAACCAAGGCCACGAAGGCACCCCGTGAAGATTCTGGTTGGGCCTTGCTGGGAGCATCCAGCTTGCTCTTCCAGATGGCTGGGAGTGTCTGGCAGTGCTTGCCGCTTATGGACACAACACAAGCAGTTTGCTTTGATGAGAAAGCCTGGCTCTAAGCCAGGGCTCACATGGCAGGTGCATGATGATTTACTAAGCATGTAGGGACCCAGAATCCAGCACCCAGCCTGGCCTTCCACGGGCTTTGCTGGGAAGCAGCTATGCTGGTTGGTAGGCGGTAAGGAGGAAATGAGGGTTTACAGAGGTAGGAGGGAGAAATTGGGGGAGAGAGTACACCCCCTTTTTCCTGATAAGACAGCTGTTCCATTACATCCTGAATTACCCTACTCTCAATACTGTTAAACAATAAAGCTTGCTTGGTTTGGGACACTTTTAAACGCAGTTGTAATTTTGAAGTCCATAGGTAGAGTTAGGGCAGGATTTTGTGAAGATCTGGGCCAAGACTTGCCTCCGACCTGGTCTCTGTGCCCAGCTCATTGGCCTCTGCTGCCCAGAAGCCACCCTGCAGTGAGTGAGATCCAGGACTTAGGAGCAAAGTCTGCCTTCACATGGGTAAACTGGTGGCAGCCCCAGAAGCAACCTGCTCTTACGCCAGGCCATGAGCCCCAGGAGTCGGATTCTTCCTTCTCCACACTGTTCTCTGGTGTGTTTTCCTCACCTCCCTACTTGTTCCTTTACCTTTTCTTCCTATCCTTCCTTGACTCCCAGAAATACCACAGGAACAGAAGCCAGAAGACTCAGCATCTACAGACCCAGTAGCTGGGAGACACAAGGCAAGTCGGTCCACACTGTTGAACATCAGTTTCCACCTCCAGAAAATGGGACCTTGGGGAAGATGGATCTGCTATACTAGTCTCACAGGCTGAGGCAGTGATCATATGAGAGCGTGTGTCCCACAGGACCTCTTACATGCTGTGCGAACATGCCAGGACAGGAAGCCCCAGCCGAGACGGCTAACGGGGGGCATCCCAGAAGAAATGTGTGGCCATTTCATGGGATGTTTTCTCCAAGCTAAAGGTGATGGAACATCATATTCATTATCTTAGACCCTAATAATTAGCTGTTCAATCAATGAGTGCATAAGTGAGCCAAAACCAGTTAAGGATGCATGCATCTGAAATCAACAAATACCCACTGAGCTTTCATTACGTGCCAACTGTTGTCATGGGTTTCCTTTGTATGAAATTCAAAGACTAAATCACCTTCATGTTCTAATATAAAGGCAATAAAGAGGCAAATAACTCTGATTCAAGGCAGAGACACTAGGAGGAAAGTAAAAAATACAGTGCAGATTCAAAAGGAGGAAAATGCTACAGCATTGGGAGGTCAGGAAAGGTTCACTGGCCTTGACACAACGACAGAATTCCAAACTGTGTCACCAAGAAAGGGTGTCCCAGGCCAAGGGAGTCACCTGCCCAAAGCTATCAAGGCAGAAGATGTAGGACTTGGAGGGAGCAGTAAAACCAAAGCATAGGTGTAAGTGGAAGTGCAAGAGAAAAGTGGACACTAAACCAGCAAAATGTGATTGGAGCCAAAGAACAGAGGTCTCCAAGCGTCAGCTGAGGATCTTAGATTTACTCTCAGGACAGGAATGAGTGTCTGGGTTCTTCCAGGCATTGGCTGACACAACAGATTCCTTTTGCAAAAGAGCAAGTGATCAATTACGGTTTCAATTAATAATCCCCTGCCTAAACATAACTTCCTGCTACCTGATACAAACACTCTCTCCCACATGAGCAAGTCATTAGCCCCTGAAGCCAAGCAATCATCATGTATTAAATGGGATTAGCAGTACCCACATCACAGAGTTGTTTTGGGAATTAACTGTGACAAGAGCTATGCAAGTACCTGGCTTGGAGATGTGTCTTTTTGTCCAAAATACAACAACTTTTTTTGGTAGGGACTTATTTGCAATACAGACACACCTGAAATGAGGAAGTACATTCCAGAATTATCTAGCTGAAGAAGGCTCCATGTCATAGGTTAGGAATTTCAAAGGTGGGAGTCAGTGGCTTGCCAAGGCTGCATGGCCAGTCACCCACAGCATTGAGCCCAGAGTCCAAGCCTCCCAACCCCAGCATCCTCTCTCTTGCTGCTGGCTTCTCAGAAATAAAACACCAGAGAGTGAGTAAATGCACCTGGGATGTTTCCTGCAGCAGAAAAGCCTGGTTGTTCTTGCTCATCCTAATCCCCCATCCATTAAAAGTCCTGAGTGCAAATGTTGAAGACAACATTGACCAACGCTGCAAAACCCCTTTGTTGCCGGCTTGCATAGAACAGAGAGTCCAGGGAGTCAACCACAAAGTCAAGAAGATCACCTTGTACAGATAGACCTTGCCTTGACTCTGGAAGCCATATTCTATCTACCTCCAACCCCTAAATGCACAGGTGCTATGAGTTATTGGGTGTATCATTTTGCAGATTAGGAATTAATGGCTCAGAGAAATTGAACAACTACACCAAGAACACACAGCTGGTAACCATCGAATGTCTCAGCTTCTGCAGCTTCTCAATATGCCATTGCCTTCACCAATGCTACCAGTTACCTCTGTGTTGCTGAAACCAGTGAGCGCTCTTTCAGTCTCTCTCACCAAACACTTTCTTCCTAAAAGCCCTTATCTTCCCTTGGCTCTCATGACACCACACTCCTCTGGTTTGGTGCTCTCAGAACAACCCCTTGTACTGTTGTTGGTTGGCCAATCCAACTCTACTAGACCTCAGATGTTGGAGTTACTAAGGAATGTCTCCTTGGCCTTTTCTGCTTTTCATTCTGCAGAGAGGAGTTTCACGCACCCCTTTGGCACTGATTGCCTCTCTAGGCCAGTACTTTCCCAAATGAGCCTCGAGCTTAGAAGCATATATCCCTGCCTGAATGGCCCATGCACTTCTCAAACTCCACAAACCCAAAGCCCAACTCATTGTCTGCAGCTTGCCCTTGTAAATAACAGCCCCATCCACCTGAAATGACTCTTGAGTCCTCTTTCTCCTCCACTTCCTACACCCAAATAAACTTTTCATTCCTCCTTCTAAGTATTAATAGCTCTTAAACCTTCCATTTCTACCATCCTCACCGCCACCCAGCCTCTTATACTGGACTCATCTGGCAGCCTCCTAACTGGGCTCCCTGCAGCCACTCACATCTTCTTCCAAATCAGCCTCCACAAAGCAACGAGGCTGATGTTTCCAAAATGTAAATCGGACCATGTTACTCTCTTAAAATCTTTTGATAGGTGTCCAAACGAATGACTGGATAAACAAAATGTAGTATACACAGGCAATGAAATAGTATTCAGCCTTAGAAGAAAGGAAATTCTCACACATGCTACATGGATGAGCCTTGAGGACATTGTGCTCAGTGAAAGAAGCCAGACACAAAAGGACAAATACCGTGCGATTCCATTCAGACAAGGCACCTACACTAGTTAAATTCACAGAGATGGAAAGTATAGCTGGGTTTACCAGGGGCTGGGCGAGAGGAAAGTGGGAGTTACTGCTTAATGGGTATGGAGTTTCAGTTTTACAAGATAAAAAAGTTCTGGAGATGGATGGTGATGACTGAACAACAACGTGAGTTTACTTAATGCCACTGGACTACACACTTAAACATTGTTAAAATGGTAAATTTTGAGTTATGTGTATTTTGCCACAATATTTAAAAAGAAAAGAAACTGTTCAACGGTTTCCTCTTGTCCTTGTAGAAAAGTTCCACATTGCCAGGCATAGTGGCTCATGCCTGTAATCCCAGCCTCTGGGAGGCTGCGCAGGCAGATCTCTTGAGCCCAGGAGTTCAAAACCAGTCTGGGCAACATGGTAAAACCCCATCTGCCCACACACAGAAAAAGAAACAAAAAATTAGCCAGGAGTGGTGGCACCTGCCTGTAGTCCTAGCTTCTCAGGAGACTAAGGTGGGGCCTGGAAATCTCTTGAGCTTGGGAGGTCAAGGCTGCAGTGAGCCATGATCAGGCCACTGCACTCAAGCCTGGGTAACAGAGAAAGACTATGTCTCAAAAAAAAAAAAGAAAAGAAAAGTTCCCCATCCTTGGCAGGGTTCCCCAGGCATGGTGGCCAAGCCCCTGAGCCTGCTGTCCTCCTCTCCCCGTTTTTCAGGGCCAGCTGCAATGCACTTTGCTGGTTCCTAACATGGATGGCCTCTGAGGGTCTATGTCCTCTGCCTAGAGTGCTCATAGCCCCTCTCTCCCTGCACCACTCCTTTTGCCTGAACAGCTTCTGCTCATCTTTCAAATCTCAACTTCAACACCCCAAGCTCTGAAAGGACTTCCCTCACACCCAAACGATGTCACGACCCTGGATTCACATGAATACTAGTCCGTGTGCTGCGCCTGCAAGAGATTTAACACCTGCAAAATTATTTAACACTTGTATGCCGTGCTGAGAATGAGACCCATCTCTGTCTCATCCGTGTGTGTTTGTGTGTGTGTGTGTGTGTGTGTGTGTGTGTGTGTGTGTGTGTGTAGTGCCAGGCACAGCATTGATAAAAGTCCTTCCAGGCCTACTGTTGGATGACAGAAGAGGTGGCATGCTCACTGTTTTCCTGAGTCCAAGCCTTCCCTCTCTGTGGCTCTGACGCCGCCAAGTCCCTCAGTGACAGTGGACAAAAGAGCAAAAGTGGGCTGAGGGCAGGAGTGCAGGATGGGTCTGATCTCTTCACGCCGAAGAGCCTACCAAGTGTTCAACCCCATGAATTATCACAAAGCCAGCTCCCCTTCAGCCTGCCCTCCACTTGCAACAGAACCCAGCAGGGCAGGGCCCTAAGCCTCTTCCCTCCTTCCGAATCATTCCTATCCTGGTGCATTAGTCAGGGTTCTCCAGAGAAAAAGAACCAAAAGCACATTCATAAATAGATAGAAAGATGCTTATTAGGAGGGACTGGCTCATGTGATGACGGAGGCTGAGCAGTCCCACTATCTGCCATCTGCAAGCCAGAGGCCCAGGAAAGCTGCAGATGTCGTGCAGTCCAAACCCGAGGGCCTGAGCACCAGGGCAGTCTACGGAGAAAATCCTGATCGGAGTCTTAAAGCGCCTGAACTAGAAGTTCCAATGTCCCAGGGCAGGAAAGGATGGATGTTCCAGCTCAAGAAAAGAGAGCGAGTTTGCCTCTTTGTTCTATTCCTCCCCCAAGAAATTGCACAATGCCGCCCATGCTGGTGAGTGCACATTTTCTTTACTACAGATTCAAATGCTAACAGCTCTCCCAATCACCGTCAGACACACCCAGAATGAGTGTGTTACCAGCTTTCTGAACACAGCCCAGTCAGGTTGATAAAGAAAATTACCCATCACACCTGGGTCCTACCCCACTTCCTGTGTTGCTGAAGTGTCGACACTATGCAAGCTCTTGGCCAACATCGTCTCACCTAACTCCAACAACAGCCCTCCGTTCTTCAGAGGAGAGATGGTCACAAATTGCCCCAAGTCACATTGAGAGAGCAAGGATGCCAACATGTGTTTCCACCACCAGAATCCTGCTGTGTGTCTACGGTTTGATTCCTTGGCTTTGCAGTCTCCGAGGATAGCACTATAACAGTGTCCAGCATGCCCTACCCATTCTTCAAGCTCCCTCTAAATGCCACTTCTCCAACGGTGCCTTTCCTAAGCCCCATGAGAACCAGTCGCTCTTCCCCTCACCTCCCAGAGGAGACTTCTAGAGCCAATATTGATCTAGCCACGGGCACGAATTATTGCTCTGATGCCCCCACAAGCCTGCAAGCTCCTTGGGGACAGGAGCCAGGTCTTCATCTCTGCTTTCTCCCAATCTAGCCCAGCCCCTACATACAGAAGATGCTTATTATTAACGTGGGTTGAATAAATAAATCAAAGGGTAATGTGCCTAACCTATTCAAGCCCGTTTCTTCTTCTGGGAAGAGGGGATAAATAATTCTTGCACAACCTACTTCACGTAGTTGTTGTAAAGTTGGAAATGAGAGGAGGTGTTTCCTTCACTTAAAAATACCGCCGCATATAAGATTCACAATTCATTATCCACTTCTCAAGGAGAATCGGGGGAAGGGGAGAGAAGACCACATTAATTATTTACATCAATTATAAGATTCACCTTAACTTCAAAATGCTAAAATTGAAAAAGCATACATTCACAAATCCTAGAAATACATCAAGATGTGTAAAAGCATGAAGCAGTAACATTGTGTGAGTTGTGGCCATTTGGGGGGTTTGTTAAAAAGACAGATCCTAGAGCCTCATTATCAAAAATTCTGATTCGAGGGTGATTTTTTTTTTGGGTGAAGAATCACCAGGTGATTCTGATGAGCTGCCTAGTTTGAAAATTGGTCCCTAAAAAGACATAAAATTCACCCTCTTCTTTTAAAAGGGAGGAAACCGGGGGTGGCTGATAACCCATAGCTTCTCACAGATCGGGCACAGGCGGTTCCACAAAACCCTGACTCCAGCTTCACCTCCCACTCTTCATCGGGGCTTCCCACCAGGCCATGGCGCCTCCTTCTGGCTCCAGCTCAGGCTTTGCCAGATGCTGATGACTTCGGCAAATCCGGACTCCTGACATCATTGGCTGTTCTCATTTCTGCAAAGCCAATGAACAAACCACTCACAGGAAAAAGCTGGTTACAGCAGGAAGCTGTCTGGGGGGATTTCAGATGGGAGCTGATAGTTGCACACACAAAATTGGTTTTACTTCCTTTAGCGTCTAGTAACCCTTTTACTCCACACTCACAATAAATCACATAAACACATGATCTCTTGAGTTGCTGAAATGCTTCCAATTGCCTTTGTTTTCAACAAGGTTAAAACAGTATGAAACAACCTGGCTGGCATTTGGCAGAGGACAACCATGATTCCTTTTGGTGTGAAACAAAAAGAAGTCCCCAAAAGTTAAGGACCTTGAAGAGCCCTATGTATGCTCAGATTTTTTTTGTTTGTTTTTATTTTTCTTTGCTTTATTTTTAATTGACACATAATAATTGTACATATGTATGAGTTACACTGTGATACTGACATATGTACACCTTGTGTAATCATCAGTAAGCCAGACACAGAGAGACAAATACCACCTGATCTCACTCATATGCAGAAACCAAAAAGTGGATCTCACAAAAGCAGAGAGGAGAATAGCCTTACCTGAGACTGGGGAGGGGACGGGGAGGGGGGATGGGGAGGGGAGGGGGAGGGGGGATGGGGAGGGGTTGGTCAATGGGCACAAAGTTACCATTAAACAGGAAGAAAACGTTCTGGTGCTCTACTGCCCAGTAGGGTGATTATAGTTGACCATGATGTATTGTATATTTCAAAATAGCTAGATTCTGAGATTCTGAGAAACCAGGGTCAGGCTCAGGGGTGAAAAGGGACTGCCCGGACTCTCAGGCAGCACCACCCACCCCAGCCAAGTGGGATTGGCTGGGCCCGGTGCTGGGACAGATGCAGGTACAGTCACCTCACTTCAGAGGCTCAGGGAAGCCTCTGATTGTCCCTTTTTTAGCTTTCACGCTGTCACTTTGAACAAATCTCTTTACACTCTGCAATTATCTTCTATATCTGTAAATTATCTGATGATGTTGAGCTAGATTAGTTCTACCTTTCCTTTTATTAACTGCCAGAAACTGTCTGTCACACAAAAGCCATTCAGAAGTCCTGGCCTGTGGAAGAAATGGCTATGGCTAGGAAGTGGGCTAAGGTGTCGAGCGCAGCCTTGTTGGTACTGGCAGAACTCTAAGTCCCAGGGACTCCCAGAAACTCCCTGGAGTAGACACTGGCTACGTCCTTCCAGCTGAGATATTATGAGGCTATGATTCGGATGGGCAGTAAATCACAATTCTGGGCACAACAGGAAGAATTTGATTTCCTCGCTTGGCTCAAAGCTTCCCTGGCAGAGGTGTGTTTTCGGTTCCATCTGCCAGAGCACAGCTTGCAACTCCCTGCGGGGTACAGGTTGGTCATGACTATAAATGCTATCCTATTCCAAGTGTGTTTCTATTGCAGTGGGGAACACCATTCAACACTCGGTTCTGGAAAGAATATTAGACGCATTGCAACACATCCTAGGAGGATCGCTGGGGAGCTAGGGTGGACATTAAGACCATCCATCCACCTCTTTGCCACCTCTAAGGCTTTTTCTATTAGATATCACAATGGGATTTGGATGTAGAACAAAAAGATGCTGCCAGATAAAGCTTTTTCTGAATTGTAGAATTACTACTGGCTTTGTGTTTCTTCAAAGTGTGTGTAACGTCTCCAACCCGGCCAACAAAAAGGTTGTTATGCGAATTATGAGTTATAATATCAATGTCACTTTTTTAACATTTTGCCTTCATATTTCAGAAAGGAACTGAAATAGAAATTATCTGCAAATAGAATTTGCTTCTCAAGAAATCCTTTGAAACCCTTTGAAAGCACCAAGCACTGTGGATTCACAGTGTGAGTCTGAGCTACTTGCATCACCTCTGTAAGGTACACTGACATCACACACTCATCTATCTCCACGGTGGCCCAAATGTGGCCCAGAAAGCCAGGATTCTACTGCTGGCTCCCTTTGGAGCTGTGTAGCTCAGTAAGGCCACCATTTGGGCCAATGGCCATCACCGGACCTATCATTTTTTACTCAAAGGAGTGGACATTGTGATTATATTCAAAATAGAAGACATTGAAACATTGTTATTACACTGAGCAATTCTATCCTGCAGAACAAAGAAGAAACATAATGAATCAGGTTGAATGATAAAGTGGGGGAAACACTGGTAACATGCATGAGAAACAACAGCACTGATTTCAAAGGATAAAAAAAAAGCTGCAAAACAATTTTTTAAATGATCCAAGAAACTGTTCAAAAATGACAAACAGAACTGACCAAGAAAATGCAACGCAAACAAGATAGCAGAGAAACAACGAGAGGCACGGATCCATCCTTCCCTAAGTCACCAAGCCCCACAGCTCCTCCTGCTCCTACCATGCTTCCTCTAAAGTGGTCCCAGAGCTACACATTAAGAAATATCCATCTCCCATCCTTCTTCCACTGTGGTGTGTCATCATTATACTATGACCCACCATTCATGGACAACTTCTGCTGTGTCCTGTGCTCCACAGTTCAATTCATTTTTCTCATCTAATAATCACAACATCTAATCTCGTCCCCTATGCAAAAGACAAGCATGTTGACGACCGCTGAGATGCCTTTACAGTGGCTAGCCTAGGATTTGAACCCTGCCTTGTCTGGTTCTTTCTTTTGCCAGGGTCTCTCAACCTTGGCACAATTAACATTTGGGGCTCGATAATTCTTTATCATAGGAGGCCACCCTGTGCCTTGCAGGATGTTCAGCAGCACCCCTGACCTCTAGTGACCAGATGCTCATAGTGCTCCCTCCTAAGCTGCAGCAGCAAAAGTGTCTCCAGACATCACCAAAGTCCCCTGAGTGGCAAAATCACCCCTGCTTGAAAACCACTGCTTTCAACTATGTTTTTAACCCAGCTGCCCTAATTTCATCCCAGATCGACAACAAGAAACACAGTGATTCTCCCGGGCCCATTTCAGCTGGGTGTGGAAACATAACTAAGTCATTTAAAGTAATGTATTTATTGTCGTATTTATTGTCTGTCTCTCCCCAGCCCACAGTGAAGTTGTCAAGACAAGGAACTATGTCTCTAATTCACCCTGGCATGGTGCCTGGCATGTAGTCAGTATCCAAGAAAGTTCATAATTTATAAATGAATGGATAAACCCAGGCCAGTATGAATGGTAATATTGGAAACAGGTGCAAGTCTATACTTTTTTTTTTTTTTTTGCATGTGATTGTAAATTAGTAAACCTTGTGGAGGACAAATTGGCAATATGTATTAAAATTTTAAAGATGAAACCCCTTTAACCTTTCAGCCAACAATTCCAAGCCTAAGAATTAATGCAGTAAACCCCATATTACCTACCTCAGGAAAACCCACCGGTGAGTTGCCCAAGTCAAGTTATTCATCCTCATGGTTCCCTGTGCTTTTTCTTCATAATATTTATCATCAAAATAATTAAATAGGCTCACTAGTCCTCCTCCTTTAAAGCAGGGACCAAGCATTTACAGGTTCTTAGTATATATTTGTTACATGAGTAATAATTTAGATGAGTAATTATAACAAGTAAATACATGTATATACATACATTTGGTATTATAACAGTGATTACTGCACCACTCTTATAGTAGTAAAAAAAATAGAAACAATCTAATGTCCATTTATAGGAATGTGGTTAAAAAGTATTCTACTGAGCATCTGTATATCTTCTTTGGACAAATGTCTATTTTGCCCATTTTTAAATCATGTTGGGTTGTTTGTTGTTGAGTTTTAGAAGCTCTTTATATATCTGGACATAAAAATATTGTCAGACATAAAATCTGCAAATATTTGCTACCATTCTATGACTTGCATTTTTATTCCATTTATAATGTATGTTGATGCATAAAAATATTTTTTAAATTTTGATGAAGATCAATTTATCTATTTGCTCTTTTATTGTCTGTGTGTTTGGTGTCATATCCAAGAAATCATTGCCAAATCTATTATAGTGAACTATTTCGCCTATATTTTCTTCTAAGAGTTTTGTAGTTGTAGTTTTTGTGTTTAGGTCTTTGATCCATTTTGAGTTAATTTTTGTATATGCTGTTAGCTAAGGGTCCAACTTCATTCTTTTGCATGTGGGTATCCAATTTTCCCAGCACCATTTATTGGAAAGATTGTCTTTTCTCCCTTTCAGTGGAGTGGCACCCTTGCTGGAAATCATTTGAACACATATGCAAAAATTTACTGTTGGGCTTTCTATTCTATCCCACTATTTATATGTCTGTCTTTATGCCAGTACCAAGCTGTTTTGATTATTGTTCCTTTGTAATGAGTTTTAAAGTCAGGAAGTTTGAGTCCTCCAACTTCATTCTTTTTCAAGATTGTTTTGGCTATTTAGAGTTCCTTGGCATTTTCTATAAATTTTAAGATGGACTTTCTATTTCTGCCAAAAAAATCATTGAGATTTTGATAGGGATTGCATTGTATCAGTAGATCACACTGGGTAATAAGTACATGAAAAGTTATACATGAGGCACAGTCAAAAACTCACATATAACTTTCAACTCCCCAAAAACTTAACTACTAATAGCCTACTGCTAACCAGAAGCCTTATCAATAAAACAAAATATTAATTAACATACTTTTTCTATGTTATATGTCTTATATACTGTATTCTTACAATAAACTAAGCTAGAGACAAAAGTTATTAAAGAAAACATAAGAAAGATAAAATATATTTACTCTTCATTAAGTGGAAGAGGATAATCACAAAGGTCTGCATCCTCATCATCTTCACATTGAGTGGGTTGAGGAGGAGGAGTAGAGGAGAGGTTGGTCTTGCTGTCTCAGGGGTGGCAGAGGTGGAAGAAAATCCATGTGTAAATGGAGCTGTACAGTTCAGCCCCGAGTTGTTCAAGGATCAACTGAAAATGCATGCACTATAAAAATGGATTTGATCTAAAATATTGAAAGACGTACAACTACTAGGTGGAAAGGAAAACAAGCAAGCTGCAGATCAGCATTACAAAGTGTTTCCTTTTTACAATCTGTAAGTATTGAAGTGTACATGAATAGATACCTTTATGTGTGTAGAAGAGAATGTCATTAACTGAGAGAAACCCAATTGTTAGCAATCTGTTTATCCATGAGAAATAGGATTCAAGACAACTTTCCTTTTCTGCTGCTACACATCAGTATTGTTTTAACTTTTTGCAACACGTATATTATTTTTATAAATAAAATGTTATCTATAAATAAGAAATATTTACTTTATTTGTAAATAAAGACAACAAAACCAACAACGGGGAAGACTTTGAAGACCAGTGTTCCCAGAGCCGTCAGCTCTGCTGCACTTGCTGTGTCTCTGGTGTCTGAGGTCACTCTCCTTAGCACTGGGATGTCCTGCCTGCAAAAGAGAGGATGACACTCAACCCCCTATGCTGATGGCTTGGGTCAGTTCTGGATGTACCACTCATTACCTGTACATTACTCTCTGCCAGTCTAGGTGTATGATCTAGGAAATGGGGTAATGATGACCTCATAATATGGGAAAGAATAGAAATAATCATGGTAAGAACCAGCACTAATTGAACACTCCTCATCTGTGCGCATAAATGTGTTAAACCCACGTAATCCTCTGGTGTTAGACAGTTTACCACTGCTACTAGCAGCAGGACAGGTGAGTGCCAGGCCCAGCTGGCCCTGCCTCTCCACAGAGGCACAGAAGCTGAATCCATCCTGTCTGACTCAGGGGCTGGCCCAGCTCCCTTCAAACACAGCCTCTCGTGGTCCTGAGGACTAGACACATTCACAGTGGCGTCACACCTGGCTGGGGTGGTGCTTGGTGAGGCTGTGTCCTTCGTTTTCCTTCACAGTGGCATTGAGGAGCTAGCTCCAACCTACGTGGGTGGAACTGACTCTCTGAGGAGCTCCTGAGTTGGGACTGAAACCAGCTCAACCCCACCATGTAAGGACTGTGTCCTGTTGACCTTGCAGGTGGAGCCCCAGGGCAGGTACTGCCCTACACAGCTTCTGTCCCACCCCAGACCCCCTCCCCTCTTCACACTCAGGTCTCATGCTCCAGAGCTGTGACAAGCACCTGACACAAACAGCTCCTGCTCTGGGCAGCTGCCAGTGGCGTGGCCTGTAAGGTCAGCAGTCAAGGACGTGCCTTTAGCAGATCATAATCAAGATCTACTGCGAGTGGCCAGGTGCAGTGGCTCACGCCTGGAATCCCAGCTTCTTGGGGGGGGCTGAGGCATGAGAATTGCTTGAACCCGGGAGGCAGAGGTTGCAGTGAGTCGAGACCACGCCACTGTACTCCAGCCTAGGCGACACTGTGTGAGAGTCTGTCTTGAAAAAAAAGAAAAAAAAAAAAAAGGCCAGGCGGGGTGGCTCACACCTGTAATCCCAGCACTTTGGGAGGCCGAGGCAGGCAGATCACGAGGTCAGGAGATCAACCCCATCCTGGCTAACATGGTGAAATCCCATCTCTATTAAAAATACAAAAAATTAGCCAGGCATAGTGGCAGTTGCCTGTAGTCCCGGCTACTCGGGAGGCTGAGGCAGAAGAATGCCCAGAACCCAGGAGGCAGAGCTTGCAGTGAGCCGAGATTGCACCGGTGCACTCCAACTTCGGTAACAGAGTGAGACTCTGTCAAAAAAAAAAAAACAAACAAACTATTGCGGATAAGGGAATAAGCAATAGTGTTCCAAGTTGTGCTCACCACTTATGGGACTTGCAAAGTCTCAAGCCAAAACAAAGCATCCATGTCTTAAAAACCTGAAGTTCCTCCCTGAAGAGGAAGCCCCCATAGGGGTGAGGGTAACAGGAGGTTGGGGTGCTGCCAGGAATGGAGTCCCCGGAGTTTTGTTGTCCTAGAAGAAATGAAGAGTTCACCAAGAATACAGACAACACTTGTATAAGTCTAACCAGCTGCCACAACAATGTGCCACAGGCTGGGTAAATGCAAGTTTATTTCTCATGGTTCTGGAGGCTGGAAGCTCAAGATGAAGATGAAGGCTGATTCGGTTCCCGGGAGGGACGCTTCTTGGTTTGTGCGTCACGCCTTCTCGCCATGTCCCAGAGCTCTGATTTCTCTTCGTCTAACTATTAGGCCACCAGTCCTATGACCTAATTTAGCCTAATTACCTCCTTAAATATCCTTTTATATATTTATGCAAGCAGGGAATGTGTTCCGTCCATAGCAACACTCTTCTGTTTATTCATTTATTCCAAAACAGTGACTGATTATCTATGCCAGACCCTGGACCCTCCAGTGAGGGGAGACTGTGGAAATCCCACGCAGCCCCTCCCCTCCGTCAGCCTTCACTGATGACTGGAGGGAGAGACCAGCATGCAGAGGACACATCAGCCACTGTGATGGCGAATGAGGGCACCCCTTACACTCACTTGTCTACATAACTCAACATCTTCCCATACCGGCTCTTCCTCCCCTCACCCAGCTCAGGGCCTGACACCACACTCAGTCAAGCCAGGGCCAAAAATCCAGCTCCTTCCATCCAGGGCCAGAAATCCAGCTCCTTCCATCCAGGGTCAGAAATCCAGCGCCTTCCATCCAGGGTCAGAAATCCAGCGCCTTCCATCCAGGGTCAGAAATCCAGCTCCTTCCATCCAGGACCAGAAATCCAGCTCCTTCCATCCAGGGCCAGAAATCCAGCGCCTTCCATCCAGGGTCAGAAATCCAGCGCCTTCCATCCAGGGTCAGAAATCCAGCTCCTTCCATCCAGGACCAGAAATCCAGCTCCTTCCATCTGCCAGTGGAGGGTGGTTAACTTTAGCTTCTTAATTCCTCTCAAGTTCCTGTCTCATTTCTTCCCCCTTCCCCATATTGTGTGAGACCCTAATGGCTCCTCAGCCCCTTCCTGGGTCTTCCCAAGTCCAAGCTGACGCCCTCTCCATGCATCCTCGACACCTCCATATTAGACTAGTTCTATAATGGCAACAGGCTCATGTAATTCCTCTTCCAAAGTCTCCCTATTGCCTAAGAAGAAAACCAAAGCTGCTCAATAAGACACTCAGAAGCCTAAATGTGCACCCTCCACACACACACAAGCCTAAATGCACGCACACACCACAGCGTAAATACACACACAAACACGCAAGCCAAAATGCACACATACACACACACACGCAAGCCTAAATGCACGTACACACACACAAGCCAAAATGCACACACACACAAATCTAAATGCACACACACAAAAGCCTAAATGGACACACACACAAACACACAAGCCAAAATGCAAACACACAAAAGCCTAAATACACGCACACACAAGCCTAAATGCACGTACATGCACACACACACGCCTAAATGCACACACACAAATCTAAATGCACACACACAAACACACAATCCCAAATACAGGCAGACACACACACAAGCCTAAATGCACACACGGAAAAGCCTAAATGTGCACCACACGCACACAAAGATATGAGCCTAAATGCAAACCACACATAAGCCTTAATGCACCACACACACACGCATGCATCTCCTATATAGGCCTTGGTCCCTGCTCTCCTGAGATGTCCGTGGTCCTCCCACCACACTTTCATCTACTTGGCCCCCATCTGCTCTACAACCTCATCCCGGGTGTCATTTCCTCCATTAGACTGTCATTCATCACAGGTGGGTCAGTAGCCTCATCCCTGGGCTGTCAAAGGCTTGTGCACTTTCTGCCACCACAGCCCCCATCAGTCTCCTTAGTCAGCGCCCACCCACAAAGGCCACACTTTGGTCAATTGTGAGTGATGAAGCCAGGACTCTGGCCAGTCTCACTGCAATATTTATGTGAAAGTAGATGCTGCATTCTGCTTGTATGTGGTTTCTCCTGGGCACATGGCACAGGACCTGGCCTCCTTATCATCTCGCCCGGGCTCCCATGCCTTCCGAGCTGGCTACCACGCCTCACTCCTCAAGAGCGCCCAGGAGTGAGCTCTGCTCTCCAGCATCACCCTGTTGATGGACGTGAGCGGAACAGGGTGATGCCCTGGACACTGGGACTAAAATGACCTTCTTCTAGCACCCTCACAGGATGCTTGAAATCCTGAAAATGTAACCTTAAAAAGCAAAGTGTTTCTTCTCAAAAGAAGACATGTATGCAGCCAAGAGACACATGAAAAAATGCTCATCATCCCTGGCCATCAGAGGAATGCAAATCAAAACCACAATGAGATACCATCTCCCACCAGTTAGAATGGCGATCATTAAAAAGTCAGGAAACAGCAGGTGCTGGAGAGGATGTGAGGAAATAGGAACACTTTTACACTGTTGGTGGGACTGTAAACTAGTTCAACCATTGTGGAAGTCGGTGTGGCGATTCCTCAGGGATCTAGAACTAGAAATGCCATTTGACCCAGCCATCCCATTACTGGGTATATACCCAAAGGACTATAAATCATGCTGCTATAAAGACACATGCACACGTATGTTACTGCAGCACTTTCACAATTGCAAAGACTTGGAACCAACCCAAATGTCCATCAATGATAGACTGGATTAAGAAAAATGTGACACATATACACCATGGACTACTATGCAGCCATGAAAAAGGATGAGCTCATGTCCTTTGCAGCAACATGGATGAAGCTGGAAACCACCATTCTGAGCAAACTATCACAAGGACAAAAAACCAAACACCGCATGTTCTCACTCATAGGTGTGAATTGAACAATGAGAACACATGGACATAGGGTGGGTAACATCACACACCGGGGCCTGTTGTGGGGTAGGGGGAGGGGAGACAGATAGCATTAGGAGAAATACCTAATGTAAATGATGAGCTAATGGGTGCAGCAAACCAACACAGCACATGTATAAATATGTAACAAACCTGTACGTTGTGCACATGTACCCTAGAACTTCAAGTATAATAAAAAAATAAATAAAATAAATAAAAAATAAAAATAAAATTTAGAAAAAAAGTTTTCCAGGTTCAGAGCAGAAAACATCAGTCCTGAAAATCAGGATTCCAGGGTTTAGATTCCTTTCACTCCCAGGATCTACAGACACCATCGGACCTCACATGGTGCCCGGCAGCATTCTGAGATTTTTTACTTTATTATCTTGTAAACCCCCAAAATTTGAGACAGGTCTCATTTAATTTAAAAAGTTTATTTTGCCAAGGTTGAGGATGTACCTCTGACATAGCCTCAGGAAATCCTAACAACATGTGCTCCAGGTGGTCAAGGCACAGCTTGCTTTTATACATTTTAGGGAGACATGAGACATCAATCAATGTATAAGAAGTACAATAGTTCTGTCCAGAAAGGCAGAGACAGCTCAAAGCAAGGCCCCCACCACTGGGGGCTTCCAGGTCACAGGTATGTGAGAGACAGACAGTTGCATTCTTTTTATTGTATTTTTGAGACGGAGTGCGGTTTTGTCACCCAGGTTGAAGTGCAGTGGTGCGATCTCGGCTCACTACAACCAATGTGTCCTGGTTTCAAGCAATTCTCCGGCCTCCGCCTTTTGAGTAGGTGGGATTACAGGTGTGTGCCACCACACCCAGCTAATTTTTGTATTTTTAGTAAGGACGGGGCTTCACCATGTTGGCCAGGCTGGTCTCGAACTCCTAACCTCAGGCGATCTGCCCGCCTCGGCCTCCCAGAGTGTTAGGATTACAGACGTGAGCCACTGCGCCCTGACCGGTTGCATTCTTTTGAATTTATTATAAGTCTTTCCAAAAAAGTTAATCGAAATACGCATGTATCTCTGGGAGCAAAAAGATGACTTGAATAGAAAAAGAGGCAGATTCGCAATAAGCAGTTCCCAGCTTGAAGGTGCCTGAGATATTTTTCTTTCACAATCTTATTGAACCCACACCTGGTGTAATAACCTGGAAGCCTCCCCAGGAGGCGGTCAGCACAGAGGCTAGGGAATGAGGCTTTCCAGGCCATTACACCAGTTTTCCATTTACCAGCAGGGTGACCTTGGGCAATTTGTTTCAATTCTCTGAACCCCAGTGTTTTTCTTCTCTAACATGAGGATTATATTGCCTGGTCAAAGAATCATAGTGTGGCTTCAATAAGACAGAAGGAAAGGGACAGAAACAGATCCGATAGAATACTGTAGCTAGCTCATTGAGGCAGTTCACAGACGGTGTTTGGGAGGAACTTGGAAGAGGCTGAGCCATGTCTTACCCAGCACCAGCAAGGAAAGCTGTGTTTCGGTTCTTTCTTTTCTCTTTCCACAATCTCACTGCTCCTAGGTCAGGCATGGCTCAGCCTCTTCCAAGTTTTCTCCCAAACACCCTTTGTGAACTGCCTCAATGAGCTAGCTACAGGATCCCACTGCATCTTTCTGTCTCCTTCTTTCTGTCTCTCTGAATCTATTTCTCTCTATCTCTCTCTCTCTCTCTATTTCCATCTCTCTCTGTCTGTTTCTATCTCTCTGTTTCTCTGTGTCTCTCTACTGTCTCTCTGCATGTCTCTGTCTCTTCCTCTGTCTCTGTTTTTGTTTGTCCATCTTTCTGGATCTCTCTCTGTCTTTCTCTGGCAGGGTTGAAGTGGGAGTATACGGCAGGTTCATGTTTGGGTGCAGAATGGCATTCTGCCAGCGGTAGAGTGGCTGAGGGTCACTCCACTCTGGGTGTCTCATGCCATGTGGCTGCAGTATGGGGTTCTCATTGGACCACCGTGACAGTGTAGGGTGGATGTCATTCCTGGAAACTGAGCCTCAAGCTGGGTTCTCCAGCAATGCCACCACCCCCCACCAACCCTGATATCCTCCGAATAAACTCTTCCCTTCCTTGGTCAGCGAGAGCCAGCGTCTGCTGCTTGCAAATAAGCCACTGAGACATCAGGAAAGCTGCTCACAGAATTACAATGAAAATCAGTAATAAATAAAATGTTTCTTAAATCTTTAGAATCAAGGAAAACCTGAGGGATACTTGGAGAGTCGCTAACAGCACCCCAATCTGGCAGTTGTAGCTCTGCAGGGTGGGCCCAGGCTGGCCCAGACCCTCACCCTCCAAGGGCCACACTGGGGGCTCACTTTCTGAGGAGTGCCCTTTGGAAACGTCCCAGGAACACGTCTAGTGGGAAAAGAGAAAAGTTGGTCCATCGAGGAGAGTGTTCTGCATAAGGGGAGAGATGAGAAGGTAGCCTTGGCCAGAGGAAGAAACTTCATTACAACCAGCTCTCCTTCTGCAAGGGAAGAGGGTGAAGTTTGAGTTTGTCTTGCAGGAAGACAATCAAACTAAAGAGGCCAACACCAGCTTAGAGCCGAGCGGCCCCCTGCTCAGAGCTTCCCTGTGGCTCTCCTCCATGTGATCCAGAAGGAGGGACTCCAGTGTGAACTGCCTGTTCCAGAAACCCCATCAGAACTGCCTAACCTAGAAAACCAAACAGGAGGAGCTGGCACCAGGGCTCCAGGCTGAAAGCTAAATCCAGCGGCAGCCAGATGGAGACAATGTGCCATGTGACTGCTGACTGCTCAGGGCAAATGACACCAGGGGTTAGCGATTAGAAGTTCACCCTTGACTGTGGCACCTCCCTTCAGTTCCGTCGACGAGGTTGTGCAATCCACCAGTCTTATAAATACAGTGACGCTCCAGCCTCTGGAAGCCTCTGTCAGCTCAGCCTCCAAAGGAGCCAGCGTCTCCCCAGTTCCTGAAATCCTGGGTGTTGCCTGCCAGTCGCCATGAGAACTTCCTACCTTCTGCTGTTTACTCTCTGCTTACTTTTGTCTGAGATGGCCTCAGGTAAGCTCTGGTACCTGCAAGAGTTTCCCATCCCCAGGGCTGGGGACAATGGGGCTGATGTGAGTCTCGGATGGCTGCCTCCGTGTCCCAAGGGACGAGGAACAAGCAGCAGGAAAGCATCCCGTGGTTGAGTGGCCTGCAGTTGGCAGAAGGCAGCAGGCAAGCCCTGCCAAGCCTTCAGGGTCTGTGAGCCGCCAAGGAGTGAGCCTGGCAGGGTCATGGCGCTTGTCACAGGCAGCTGCCTGCATCCTTGTCCTGGACATGTAGACAGTATCCTATGTGGATGAGATTGCTGCTTCCCCTGCAAGACGACTCCTCACACTGAGAGGCCAGCTTCCTATGCAGAGAGAGGGGCCGGCCCCATCCTCAGCCCACGTCACTGGGTGCAGCCTCCTGGGGTGCCCTGGTACAGGTGAGGTGCTGCCGCCCCACCCATCAGGCCAGCTCAGCCGGTGCCTTGGACTCACCTCCTGTGCAGGCAGGCGGTCCTCTCCCTCTCCTGAGAAATGCATCCACATTCTCCAGGTTAGCAGTCTCCCCAGTCAATAGGAGGGGGCTTCCTGTGAGCCAGGTGTATGTCAGCTTCTCTGGGCCAAAGCAGCCATGACCCTGACATGATGGTGGGACGTGCAGGAGGAATCGGGAACATGTTTTATCCCAGCCCTATCCTTGTTCACACGAGTCACATGGTGCTAAGCCTTGGTTTATTCATCTGCAGAATGAGGGGCTGGGAAGGATGATCCTGAAAGCAAGCACTCCAGTTCAGAAAGTCTCTGTAAGATCCTATTGTAAGTTTCTCTAGGCCATCACTGTATCCAGCAGATAGGCTTAATTTATTCCAATTATGCCTCAGTTTTTCCATCTGAAAGCTGAGTACAAAAGCATTCTAAATGCAGAACTTTTCATGCTGCCAGTTGCTACAATGGATTTTGTTTTTTTGTTTTTTTTTTTGGTTTTTGGTTTTTGGTTTTTGTTTTTGCTTTGCTTTTTTTTTGAGACAGGGTCTCACTCTGTCACCCAGGCTAAAGTGCAGTGGTGTGATCTCGCCTCACTGCAGCCTCTGCCTCCTGAGCTCAGGCCATCCTCCCACCTCAGCCTCCCAAGAAACTGTGACTACAGGCATGCACCACCACACCTGGCTAATTTTTTTATTTTTATTTTTTCGTAGAGATAAGGTCTTACTGTGTTGACCAGGCTGGTCTCAAACTCCTGGGCACAAGCAACCCTCCTAGTTCAGACTCCCAAAGTTCTGGGATTATAGGCATGAGCCACTCCACTCAGCCTACCGTGTTTTTTTGTTTTGTTTTGTTTTGTTTTTTTGAGATGGAGTCTTGCTCTGTCACCCAGGCTGGAGTGCAATGGCACAATCTCAGCTCACTGCAACCTCCACCTCCTGGGTTCAAGCAATTCTCCTGCCTCAGCCTCCTGAGTTAGCTGGGATTACAGGTGCATGCCACCAAGCCTGGCTAATTTTTGTATTTTTTAGTACAGACGGGGTTTCACCATGCTGGTCATGCTGGTCTTTAACTCCTGACCTCATGGTCCGCCTGCCTCCGCCTCCCAAAGTGCTGGGATTACAGCCATGAGCCACCACGCCCAGCCCATGTTTTTTTAAAGGAATAGAAAATATTACTTCATGCCATGTAGTAAAAGTAGATGCTATTTAATTACACCCATATTTCAGTTTGGGGTGTGTGCATATGTTTTTACTGAGTAGCAGTGAGAAATTTCTTTCTGATGGTGGTTCAGTCCAAACTCAAAAGGGTTTGAAAGGCACTTTGTTAACATAAAGAATTTTTGTTTTCAGTCTATTATATCTAAATTGAATTATGAGAAGCTATTCTCGAGCCTTCCCAGTCACAACTCCCTCCTACCCCCAAGAATAATCACTCACTTGACTTTTATGGTGGTAACTTTTCATATTCTTTACACTTTTGCCACACTAATTAATATTCAGGTTGAATAGTACAGCTTGGTTTGTGCACACATTTCTATTGGCCAGTAGGTGCCCTTATGCCTCTATTTCTACATGCTGAAAAGTTGCATCACCGGATCATAGGCTATGCATATATTCAATTGTATTGGACAATGCCAAACTGTTTTCCAAGATTATTTACACCAACTTGCACTCCCACAAGCAGTGAATAAGAGTTCCTCTTGCTCTGTATCCTTGCCAACATTTGATAACATCAATTATTTTTAAATTTTAACCACCTGGTGAGTGTAGCAATAGCTCACTGGAGTTTTAATCTGCATTTCCCTGATAAATAATAAGTTGGGCCCTTTTATACATAGTTACAGGCAACTGGGTTATTTTTTGTAAAATACCTGTTTGTCTTTTGTCCATGTTTTCTTTTGGATTATCTGTCTTTTCTTATTGGTTTGTAGTTCTTTATGTATTTTCTATGCAAGCCTTTTGTCAATTATATACATCACAAATATCTTCTCTTGCTTTGTGTTTTGATTTTTCACTCTCTTAATGGAAACTTTCCTAGAAAAGAGGCTTTTATCATGATTTCAATGTAGTCGAATGTGTCATGTCTTTTTCCGTAAGGTTACTGCACTTTCTATCTTGTTTAAGAAGACTTTCTTTACATCAAAGACATGAAGATAGTCCCCAATATTGTCTTCTAAAAGCTTATCCTTTTTCTTTTTACATTTAGACTTACAATCCATCTGGCAATGGGGTGTGTGTGTGTGTGTGTGTGTGTGTGTGTGTGTGTGTGTGTGTGGCTTCGGTATGAAGTAACGGTCAAGTTACTTTTTTTCCCCAATATGAATATCTGATTGTCCAGAACCAACTTTTTTTTTTTTTGAGACTGAGTCTCGCTCTGTCACCCAGGCTGTAGTGCAGTGGCACAATCTTGGCTAACCGCAACCCCTCCCTCCCAGGTTCAAGGGATTCTCCTGCCTCAGCCTCCCGAGTGGCTGGGATTACAGGCGCCTGTCACCACACCTGGCTAATTTTTGTATTTTTAGTAGAGAGCAGGTTTCACCATGTTGGCCAGGCTGGTCTCAAATACCTGACCTCAAGTTATCTGCCTGCCTCTGCCTCACAAAGTGCTGGGATTACAGCCATGAGCCACCATGCCCAGCCCAGAACCAACTGTTGATAAGACTATTTTTCCCCACTGTTCTGCTGAGCCACTACTATTCTACATCAATTCTCCATGTATGCATGAGCCTCTTTCTACACTCTATCTTATTCCATTTGGACATTTTTCTGTCCTTGTGCCATAAGCACATTGCCTTAATTACAGACGCTCTACACTTAGTCTTGAAATACAGTAAAGCAAGACCTCTCACCTTTTTTCCAAATGTGTCTTGGCTATTCTCGGCCCTTTGAATTTCCAAATAAAATTTAGAATCACTTTGTCAAATTAGAACCTCTGGGGATTCCCATGGTATTTGGTTGAACCAGAAGATTAATTTTTTTTAAAAAAGTAATCTTCAAATGCTTTAACAGAGCATTTCCACTCATTTAGGTCTTCTTCATTTCAAAATGTTTCAGGCCTTCATAATAACTTTTTTTATGTTAGTAGGATGTGATGTTCCTGCTTTTGTTTCGGTCTTTCTCTCAAATCTTGACCTAGTAATTCTTTACTGTTGGTTCTCTAATACCTACAAAGTGCACATGTGCGTGTGTGTGCGTGTGTGTGTGTGTGTGTGTGTGTGTGTATGTCAGATATTCTAGCTGTTCTTTTTGGGCTGCCTGGTCCACAATTATTGGAAAACAAAAACCTTCAGAAGCATTTAGATTACACTAACATCCTTAAGAAGCACGTAAGAGAAACAGACACAGGCACAGCAATATCTAACACAAGGTGAAGGCAAATGTCATGAAAATGTTAAAGGCAAGTGCTTTTAAAAGGCCCCTAGACTGAAAGCAGCATAGACTGCTCCAACAGGAAGGAACCTCAATATTCCAGACCAAAGGTTGTAAAAGTATGGCCTCTGGACCAGAAGCTTCAGTGTCACCTAGGAGCTTGTTTTAAAATGCAAATTATCAGCCCCAACCCAGACCCACTCAGATGCTGAGGAATGGAATGTGATCTTGTCACCCAGGTAATGAGCATAGTACCCCACAGTTAGTTTTCCACACTCCTCTGCCTCCTTTCCCCTCTAGTAGCCCCCAGTGTCTCAGTGTTTAGCCCCCACTTATAACTGAGAACATGTGGTACTTGGCTTTCTTTTCCTGTGTTAATTTGTTTAGGATATTGGCCTCCAGCTGCATCTGTGTTGCTGCAAAGGACACACCTTCATTCTTTTTTATGGCTGCGTAGTCTCCTCCGTTTTAAATTTGAGAAGCTGCTGCCTAGAGAGGTTGAGTGGTTTGCAAAAGATCACACAGTAGATTAGATGTGGAACACAGAATGTAATCAAAGTACCCTCTCACTAACTTTGCTGCAATTCCTTTTGTGTCCCATAATGTACTAGATCCTGGAAGGTAATGCCAGAAATTAGTTCTGGTTATGCACCGTGACACCACAGTCAACCAGCAGTGTGGTGAAGTGGAATGAGAACTGAAGTGAGATCAGGAGGCATCCATTCTGGTCCGGGGTTGGTCTTTGACCAGCTACATGCTCTGGGGACATCACTGGACCTTGTTCCTTCATCTGGGGAGAGGATCACAGAAAGGTTGAATTAATTGAGTTCCGAAGTCCATCCTGGCTCTAAAAAGCTACATCCATATTAAATTTGGGCCTCCTCTGCTTAATCAGCATATATACACCCAACCATTTGATTACTGAGAAGAACAATCAAGAACAAAGATGTATAAACCTTCTCGATTTCAAAGTGCTTTCAAATTTATATGCTCAGTTGATCTCTCTAATAACAGATAATCACTTGGAGAGGTTCCATCTTTCGCAGTGTGGGTTGGAGTAGGCATCCTCTAAGTATCTTTCCAGCACTGGGAGCCTCCAGTGCAGGGAGACTAAAGCAGAAAGTGGAGACTTTGGCAGAGTCTAGCTGGTCATGATCTTACTTGAGGTCAACATTATGGCGAGATTATTAAAACATAGTACAATCTCAGACAGCCTCATTAGGAATCAGTCAGAGAAAAAGAATATAAGCTGGCAATCAAGAGACTGTGTTTTGTATGAACAAATGAGTGGCCTTGGCCCAAGATGCTTCCCTGAGTACTGGGATGGGAGAACCAGAGTGCCTCTCAATTCCCTTCCATCTCCACAGCAACACAAAAAAACTCTTCTTTTCTCATTCTCCTCAATGCCTGGTTTCCGGGCCCTTCCCAAACCTCTTCATTCTCCTGTGGATGTGTTTAAGTTGGCCAATAGACTTCCCAACGTTTGAAGCCTGGTATCAATACAGAGTACCTTCTATTGAAATGAAGTTGAATAAAACGTTCTGCAGTGGTAAAAAGATTCTATATCTGCTGTTCAATGAATGCAGCACCCACTAGCCACATAGTGCTCGTGAGCACTTGCAATGCGGCTAGGGTGATTTCAATTAACCTAAAAGAGAACAGCCACAGGGAGCATGTGGCTGCCATATTGGATGGTGCTGCTTTGAGAACAAAATGAGAGAAATGAAGCCTCTATTTACCTTGGTTGGCGGAACACATTGAAGGGACTCTGTATTGATACCAGGCTTCAAACTTTGGGAAGTGTACTGGCCAACTTAAACACATCCACAGGAGAATGAAGAGGTTTGGGAAGGGACCAGAAACCAGGCATTGAGGACAATGAGAAGAGTTTTTCAAAAGTGGAATTACTGCAAAAAGTGGAAAAATAGCCTTTGGATGGAAGTTACTGATGAGACAATTTCCATCGGTGTGAAAGCCATCTTTCCAACAGAGATCTGCAACATGAGAATGTACTGTCTCCTAGGGTAGCGATGGCCTCTTGTATTAGTCCGCTCAGGCTACCAGATTTATCGTTTAAACTGCCCATAAACAGACCAGGCAGTTTAAACAACAGAAATTTATTTCCTCGCAGTCCTGGAGGCAGGAAGTCTGCGATCAAGGTGGAAGCAGGGTTGGCTTCTTCTCAGGTGTCTGTCCTTGGCTGGTAGATGACCGCCGCCTCCCTGGGTCCTCACATGGTCTTTCCTCTGTGTGTGTCTGTCCCAATCTCTTCTTATAAGGATGCAAGTCTTATGGATCAGAGCACACCCCAATGACCGTGTTTAACTTGAATCACCTCTTTAAAGTTTCTCTCTCCAAATACAATCACCTTCTGAGGCACTGTTAGGGCTTCGACACAGGAATTCTTTTCCTAGGGGATTCAGTTCAGTCCAAAACGCCTACCAGTGGAGACTTGCAACATGGCGGCCTGCTGGTCCCTCGCCAGGAATATCACAGGCGACTGTTCCCTGTTGCATGGAATAGAAGGCTATTCCAGAGTACTGTCTCTATTTATCAGATCTGGGATACTGGGAGAAGGGCAAAATAAAGTCCAAGTAGAAAAAAAAACTATGAAAGTTTTAGAGAGTAACCATAATTTCAGCCCGATGTGAAACGATCCTAGATTTCAGCTGAAATAGTGATGTGGGAAGTGAGGGGGCCGGGATTCAAGGCAGAGGGAACAGCGTAACTGAAGGCATGGAAGGAGGGAAGTGTAGGCTGTGTTTGAAGAGTGGCAGCTGCTTCCACATTTCTAAAACACAGGATGTGATTTTGGGGTGTGTTGAGACAAGGCAGAAAACTTGTTTGGAAAAATAACTTGAATTCCCTGCACATTTAAAATCTCTCAGCAGAAGAAAACCCCACTCAGAACCCCACTGCTCATTCCTTGGCTTGTATTTGGCCACAGCTGGCATAGCCCCAGACTGAGTAAGCTGTTCAGACACCTCATTTCATGAGTAGCCCCAAAGATCAATCATGGGCCAATTTCTTGGAAGAGAAGACTCTCCGGTGTTTTGCAGTTATTTGTTCTGCTTTCGCGAGATGTTCTCAAATCGTTGCAGCTACAAGCCATGAGTCTGAAGTGTTTGTGTTCCCTCCTTACAGGTGGTAACTTTCTCACAGGCCTTGGCCACAGATCTGATCATTACAATTGCGTCAGCAGTGGAGGGCAATGTCTCTATTCTGCCTGCCCGATCTTTACCAAAATTCAAGGCACCTGTTACAGAGGGAAGGCCAAGTGCTGCAAGTGAGCTGGGAGTGACCAGAAGAAATGACGCAGAAGTGAAATGAACTTTTTATAAGCATTCTTTTAATAAAGGAAAATTGCTTTTGAAGTATACCTCCTTTGGGCCAAAATGAATCTTGTGTCTCAATTGGAAGAGGTAAAGAAGTAGGGGGTTAGGGTGCATGGGTTGGAACGTGAGACAGGTCGAACCACAAAGCCTGCCTGGAAAAGGGGAGTGATGTCCTAGGCTTCAGTGATGTCACCTCCACTTTGTTTGATCCACAAACCAACAGGTGACTGATTTTGGTTTTTTTTTTTTTGGTTTTTTTTTTTTTTTTTTTTTTTTGAGCTGGTGTTTCACTCTTGTCGCCCAGGCTGAAGTGCAGTGGCACAATCTCGGCTCACTGCAACCTCTGCCTCCCAAGCCCAAGCAGTTCTCCTGCCTCAGCCTCCCGACTAGCTCGGATTACAGGTGCCGGCCACCATACCTGGCTAATTTTTGGGGTTTGTTTTTGTTTTTAGTAAAGACAGGGTTTCACCATGTTGACCAGGCTGGTCTCGAACTCCTGACCACAGGTGATCCACCCGCCTTGGCCTCCCAAAATGCCAAAGTGCTGGGATTACAGGCATGAGCCACGACGCCGGCCCCAACACATGACTGATTCTCAAGTGTCCACATAATTCAGAGGTCTCAGCAGTCTGCTCAGTGAAATAGTCCTTTGGCAGGACCCAGAACTTCCATTTTTTCTCCTTTCTGGTCTTAGGGCACTGTGTTGGTTAACTTTAGCATTTGAGAATCTCCAGGACTACTTGGAGAAATGGCAGCCTCCAAGTCTGGAACATAAGATGTACAAGACAAGCCTGAGTTATTTTGCTGTGCTAGAAATAAGACATCTCAAAGACTGAAGGGTCGCACCAAAAGAACACCAGCTCCAAATCAAAGGGGAGCCCAATGGCCACAGATGAGACATTTTTCCTAACTGCAGTAACTAATGATAACAATTGATTGACGCACACAAATACATAAACATCCATGAGTTCATGATGACAATTAAATAGTTTCATTTATAATTAGAGCTTGTTACAGCACCAACTTATCACTTCAGAAATTTATTCTGCATTTTCAGTACAAACTGCCTTTTAGGGTGAACAATAGTTAAGGAAATGCCTTCTTTATAGAATTTCCCCAACTAATAAATGAAAAAGGGATGATAGAATAATAAAATCACCATATTGCAACCCTGAATGAAATTATAGGTCTAAAGCAATCATCAATGGACTGTTTTAGAACCATTTGGTGAAAAGCTTGGCAGGGAATTTGATAACTGAGGGTTAAGGGTGCACTCGATCATCAGTCTTACCCTCCCTAAAACTGAGACAACCAGACATTAATGGATTTCCTGTTGTGATGTAATAAGAATTACACAGCACCACCCATGAACTATTCTTGCCCAAAGAAATGGAACCTGAAACTAATTGAGTTTCTAGATCTAACTACTAGTTTACGGAAAATACAGGACTTTCGGAAACAAGCGAAACAACAGCACAGGAAGCAGTGGGTCAAATCCAGAGTGTGAGACATTCTACAGGAAAAATAACCTTGTTTCTCCAAGAAACCAATGCCATGATGAAAAAAAAGGAGCATGACTGTTGAAAAAGAGAGAAAGGAGACAAAACAGCCAGCATGTGGTCTTGTGTGGCCCCTATATTGAACAGTCTTCCTGGCCGGGTGTAGTGGCTCACACCTGTAATCCCAGCACTTTGGGAGGCCAAGGACGGTGGATCACCTGAGGTCAGGAGTTCGAGACCAGCCTGGCCAACATGGTGAAACCTCATCTTTACTGGAAAAAAAAAAAAAAAAAAAAAAAAGTCAGGCCTGGTGGCGGGCGCCTGTAATCCCAGCTACTTGGGAGGCTGAGGCAGGAGAATTGTTTGAGCCCGGGTGGCAGAGGTTGCAGTGAGCTATGATTGTGCCAGTGCACTCCAGCCTGGGCAACAGAGCAAGACTCTGTCCAAAAAAAAAAAAAAAAAAAAAGTCTTCCTGTATCAATGGACCCTGATTACACTTTTAGTAGTGGCCAGGAGGAGTTTAAACCACAGATGTACCGCCAGTGGTTGCCACATGGGATTAGATGGCTATGTCAGTGGCTCAGCACATGGGTCGTCAAATATTTCCAAGGGGCCAGATAATAAATATTTTCAATTCTGTGAGTCATATCCCATCTGTTGCAAGTACTCAACTCTGTCACTGCAGAGTGAAAGAATCCTTGTCTGACACATAAGTAAATGGGAGTGGCTGTGCTTCCATAAAACTGTGTTCAAAAGAACAGGCAGCAAGCCAGATTTGGCCAAAGGTCATTGTTTTCCAACCTCTGGTTTAGGGGATAGACCTGATTCTGTCCATTGTTTAGAAGGAGAACTTCCATGAAAATGGATATTTCCAGTTAACTCCCAATATACATACACTTGTTCATGGCTGCTTTCTTCTGAAAATACATGAACTATCCAAAATATTGAAAAATAATAGTTTTTTAAAATCACAATAATAAAAAGCCTTGGGAGAAATAGTTATTCCCCTGCCTTTATCTCTTCTGTTAGATCACGGACTGATGGTAATTTATGAACAAAAGCCACTTGAGGCTTTTTTATTATTAGTCCCAAATCTTGGAAGACAACAGGTTTTTAAAAGAAATTTAGTGAGCTGTCATGTGGGTGCCCCTTTGTTCTGTTCTGGACAGGCATGAAAGCTGATTCACTAACTTCTTATACCATTCACATTTTTGATCAAGGTTGTTTTATGCCACGAAAGCCTGAGAACCCACAAATATCAGCAGAAAAATACACGCTTGTCACAATCAGTCAAAATACAAAACAGTGCTATAACAAAAATTGCTCAAAATACTACTCTTCCAATCAAATCTACTATTGGCCTGTTTTTCCCAGTATACTTCTCCAATCTGAGTCGGCACATAAATTTTTTGTTTCATCATTGCACTCATCGGGTATATGGCATTTTGATTCCTGCTGTTTCTGTACACACAGTGCCCTGGTGGCTTCATCTCATCCACCGTGGTCCTCTTTAAGGACTGCACCATGCTGGGCCCAGCCTATTCACCAAGGGGGCAGCATGGAGTTCTCTCTTCTCTCTTAGTTGCATCCATCTGGCTTTAGCTTAAGGAGCTGCAGAACTCCCCCTCCTAAGGGAAAAAGGGGGTGCTTTAAGATCCATGGAGGGGTGTTTTTGAATGGCCTTAGTAGATGCTGTGCACAGAAGACACAGCCTCAGGAAAGGCTGCTGGGTTCTTCACATCCTTAAGGAACAGAAAGGGAAAAGTTTCCATTTAGAGCAGTCCTTGCCCAGAACATGTCAAACCTGAATGCTGAGATTCAACCCAATTTCTTCCAACCAGCCCAGACTGAACGGTGACTCAGAACTCAGAGTGACTCCGACAGTGCCTCATTCACCTAAAGGAAGACTCCTTTCTGAAAAATGAACAGCGTAGAATGTTTTAACCAAATGTGTGCAGACTAAAGACCCTGTTGCTGCCTAGTCAGGGTGCAGCCCTCCACATTCACTGGCATAGTCTCCAAGTGCAAGCACCCGCCATTCTTTACAAGTGAAACCTGATCTTCCCCCTCCGTGAACCACACAGGGACTTGATTCGCTTGTTCCCTTGTTGACAGGCAAATACACTGGTGCCCACTGGGGATCACCCCGCTGGTCATCATCCACAAGACCTGGAAGAGGAGGAGGAGACTCCCATAGCAGGAGGGGTTACAGGCTCTTCTCTAGAGGAAAGCCACCTGGCTCTCGCTGGAGCTCACCCAGGTGCAGGAGGACCAGAGGTCCACCATGGGGCTGGGGACTGACCCCCCATCTCAGCCTCACCTTACTTGGTTCTCCCCTGCCTCCCTTGCTGCCCTGTTGTGGTGGGCCAGGTCTCACTAATGTAGGCCTCCCTTACAACTGTCCCAGCACTGACTGAGCAGCTACATTAAACATTAAAGCTAATTGAGCCAGTGCCCTTATACAAAGGCTGGAATGTAACAACGAGCCCACCAAAAGTTTTCTCTAGGCTTTTCGTGGGCCTTGGAGCATGACAAGATAATGAAGGGATTCTTAACAGGACCTTCAAGTTTAAACAAGTTTTACTGGGGGTCTGAATAAACCCCCCAGGCCTCCATAGACAAGTTTGTTGGGGTCTACAGAACTCCCCAAACCTTTATGATTCATCAGGAGACAAGATAAGGGTAATCACCCCACCACCTAGACCCATTTAGATTAAGTAAATTTACTGAGGATCCAGAAGAAAGTCTTCAGGATGGAGACCTTAGTTATAGATTAAAAGAAGTTAATCACTTATGTCTTTCGATGAGTGCACACTTACATGTAGACCTACAGTTTAGAAGGTATATAAGCTCTGGAAAACTGTGTAATTTTGAGTTGGTCTGGTTATCATTTCCAGGCCTTCTTCCTGTAACTGGTTACAGAAATAAAAACTCTCTTCCTCCCCAGTTCATTGGCCTCTCATTATTGGGCCACAAGAAATAGCAGCCTGACCCACAGTTTGGTCCAGGAACACTGTGACCTGGCAGACCCATTCCTTGAAGCATGTCCCACAGCCAGGTGACCTGGGCACACACCCAGGAAAAGCACTTTCTCCTAGGCTGGCCCCAGGAAGACGCACCCACACTGGCCCCCTCCCCAGCTGGCCAGGGGTCCTGCTGTGTGTTTGATTATTATTATTTTTGTTTTTTTCTGTTTTTGTTTTTTGAGATGGAGTCTTGCTCTGTCACCAGGCTGGAGTGCAGTGGCATGATCTCGGCTCACTGCAACCTCCTTCTCCCAGGTTCAAGCAATTCTCCTGCCTCAGCCTCCCAAGCAGCTGAAATCACATGCGTCTGTCATCACGCCCAGCTAATTTTTATATTTTTAGTAGAGACAGGGTTTCACCATGTTGGCCAGGATGGTCTCGATCTCTTGACCTTGTGATCCACCCTCCTCGGACTCCCAAAGTGCTGGGATTACAGGCGTGAGTCACTGTGCCCGGCCCGTGTTTGATTATTGTAACTGACATCAGACCAGACATGCAGAGAGGTGTCATCACTGCCCCCTCCCAGCTCCCTGGACTCATTCTACCTGTAGAGACCAGACACCTACGGAGGTAAGTAAAGAGTCTTGCTTAATTGGGTTTCTGATTTTGTTTTTGTTTCAGTTTTGTTTTGCTGTTTTCTAAAAACCAGGTTCACTGATAAACACGCGGGAACTGCCGAAATGATTGCTCCTGGGCTTAGTCAAGTCTGACCTGACTGGTCTTCTTCAGACAAGTCACAAAAACAGGTCTCCTGTAAGGGACTCTAAAGATAGTTTTTTCTGCTGTCTCTGCAGCCCCCCAGACAGAACCCCACTTACTCTCAGCACACAGTAAGCATCCACGCTTGTTGCCAGCGGGGCTCCATCCCCACCCCAAGCCTGTGGGGCATTCTGTCTAAAGTCTCTGATGTCACTTTGCTGGGCACAGTAGACTTAGTTTAGAAATACACATTGCAACTATAAATACATTCGACTATAAATACCTGGCTTTCACATACTGGCTAATATACCTGCCTAGATAAGCTCAACTCACACCTTTAACAAAGTCGCCTACCATTTGTTTAAGGCTGCAGTCACCACAGTAATCACTGTGGCTCCCTATGGAGCCCTACTGGGCAAAGCTTAACTTTCTCCTGGTGTCTCGAATCCCACAAACCTCACATCCCATTTCACCTCCTTCGCTAAGAGCTCCTCCCCTCTGGGCCTTTCCCAGGCAGCACTCCAGCTCTCACTTTCCTTCCGCTCTGGGCACGGCTCTCTGTCCGCCAACCTGTGCCTCCAAACCCGTTCTGGGCAGTTCTCCCCTGTTAATTAGTCTTACAGAGTATTCTAAAATATATGCTCCAGGCATTCCTGGACATTTCCTAGCCAGGATATTTAAATATGTATTTGCATTTGTGAAAATAAATTACATTTAAAAGCTGTTGGAACTTCCAGGACTCCTCAAGCCTTGAGAGAGGTGTGGCTATGATCTGGGTCATGGAACATGTTTTGCAATTCTGTTGCTTGGATTACAGCTTAACTCTTCCTCATTCTTCTTTTTCTGTAATGGCTAGGAAACACCGGAGACCAGATCTCCGCCTTCTAATCACAGACCTTTGTTACAGATTTACCACCTCTTTAAGAGTCCCGACCATAACTCAGCCTAGATGGCAGTGTGGAATGTTAGATATACCTTTCCAAAAGAGGCCCCCCTCAAGTAATCAGATCATTGGAACTATGCATTAAGCCTTACACAGATGTTGAAATTCTGTGAAATTCCCCTAAGCTTTGTTTATATAAAGCAATCCCAAATCTCTACACTTGGTAACACTGACTTCCATTCTTTGGAATCTGTGCTTCCCAGAGATGTCCCGTTTTCAACCTCTGCACTTGAATAAACCCTCTGTAAACTAGTTTCTGACCCTTTCTATTATGTTAAGTTGACACATTCTCCCCTTAAACCACCGAAACCTCCTGAGCATTCTCTGCTTGCACACGCACCCTGCACCTTCTACCACCTCTCACACCTGGACCCCAGCGCAGCCCAGAGCAGCCCTGCGTCTCAGAGCACTTTGTACCCCTGGGTCTAGCAGAGTCCTATTCACAGCAGACTTTCCATGCAGACTGATAGCGACCTAACAAGGAGTGAATAACAGACCACCCCCTGGGGGTAAATCATGCTTCTGGGTCTGCTACTTGCCTAGAGGCAGTCTGCTAGTGGCAGGAAGAACAAGAGATGCAGACCCAGCTAACACGCCTGCCTCACCTCACAGGCCCTTACTGAGTCCCAACAGGGTATTATGAGGCTGATTCTAAGTGGGAAACACGCAAAATCAAATCCAGCTGCTGCCACAAGAAGAAACTGCTGCTGCCAGGTCGGGGTACACGTAGGTCAGGGGGCCTGCTCAGAGACTTTGGAGGCCTCAGGAAGCAGCCACAGGAGGAGCCCCTCCCCGCCAGCCTCCCTTGTCCCCGCCAGGCTCCCACGTCCCCGCCAGCCTCCCACGTCCCCGCCAGCCTTTCCACTCCCTGCCAGCCTCCTCCGTCCCCACCAGCCTCCCCACCTCCCAGCCAGCCTCCCTCCCCGCCAGCCTCCCCACCCTCCCCTCCAGCTTCCCCACCTCTGCACCAGCTCCCCCAATCCCCACCAGCCTCCCCAACTCCCCACCAGCTTCCCCAACTCCCTCCAGCCTCTCCCACTCCCTGCCAGCCTCCCCCACTCTCTGCCAGACTCCCCCATCCCCTCCAGCCTCTCCACTCCCTGCCAGCATCCCCACCTCCACGCCAGCCTCCCCACTCCCTATCAGCCTCCCTACTCCCCGCCAGCTTTTCCACTCCCCGCCAGCCTCCCCTCTTCCACCAGCTTCCCCTACTCCCTGCCAGGCTCCCCACTCTCCGTAAGCCTCCCTTTTCCCCACCAGCTTCCCCACGTCCCTTCTAGCCTCCCCCACTCCCCACCAGCCTCCCCCACTCCCCACCAGCCTCCCTACCCGCTCCCTGCCCTGTGGGCAGAGCTGAGCAGGACCTTCCCAGATCCGCCCCACCGCAAAGCAGGTACTGAGTAGGGAACTTGGGGCTGAGAAACAATAGCTTCGTAACCAGCCCAGTGACTCTTGCAGAAACCAGGGCAGAGTGTGATTAGACATGTCCTGTCCCGGGGCAGCCGTCATCCCATGGTTGACAACACATTTCACCCCAGAGCGTTCCTGCCTCCACCTGAGCCAGAGCTTCTAGTGTGTTTTTCCTCACCTCCCCATGTTCTGTGAGCCCAGCCCCCCTTAGATCCCCTTCCTCCAGCTACTAGAGAATCTCTCATCCAGCGACTATGACCCAGCACCAAAGCAGGTCACCGTGAACCCCACGTGGGGCAGGAAACCACAGGCTGACTCTCAAGTCAGACAGACCTGGGCCTTTGGACAAGCTGCACAACTTCTCTGATTCTTGCATTCTTGGGTGTATGAAAGTGAGTAGAATAAATGGACCCCCCCGGACAGGTGTGAGGACTCAGTGAGATAACCTTTATGTGGCACTCATCCAGCCCAGCCAGCCCCTGACATACAATCAGAACTCAGCTCATCTCAGTCTCCTTCCTCATTCTCCATCTTGCTCTTGGAGGTGTCATGGATGGGACACCTGAGTCACCTCGTCCAGCCGGCCAGCGTGAAGGAGCCTGACTGGCCCATCCACACATGGTTTCCTTGGCTGCCTCCATCTGCCTCCATCTCTCATAAGGTGGTTTTGCTCTTTCTGTGGATTGAAGAGCCTCCAACTGTGGCCTAGAGTATGGCTCAGGGCTGAATCAGAATATATGTACAAGAAGACAGAAGTCAGGTACAACTGGACACTTGAAAGGCTTTGGAGCAGAAAGGATGTCACAGTTGAAGCTGAACAGACTAGAAACCATCCAGAGAGGTGAAGGCGAAGGCCTTGGGTCCAGTTCCTCTGCCACCACCCACCTGCGTGTCTACCTGGACAAGGACTTAAAACTCTCGGGCCCTTGTTTTTCTCCCTTAAAATTATGGCAAACATGGTAATAAAACGTTTATGGGAACTTACTCGGCAAAGTGTTATAACTGATTTGACTGATGTGACTCGTTAGGTATGGGAACCCCCAAAATCTGAGACAGGTTTCAGTTAATTTAGAAAGTTTGTCAAGGTGGAGGATGCGCACCCGTGACACAGCCTCAGGAAGTCCTGACGTCATGTGCCCAAGGTGGTTGGAGCACAGTTTGGTTTTACACATTTTAGGCAGACATAAGACATCAATCAATATATGTGAAAAGTACATTGGTTCGGTCTGGAAAGATAGGACAATTTGAAGGAAAGCCAGGAAGACTTGAAGCAGGGAGGGGCTTCCAGGTCACAGATAGGTGAAATACAAACTTGCCTTATTTCGAGTTTCTGATTAGCTTTTCCAAAAGAGGCAATCAGATATGCATTCATCTCAATGAGCAGGGAGATAACTTTGACTAGAATGGGAGGCAGGTTGAATAGAATGGGAGGCAGGTTGAATAGAATGGGAGGCAGGTTGAATAGAATGGGAGGTAGGTTGAATAGAATGGGAGGTAGGTTGAATAGAATGGGAGGTAGGTTGAATAGAATGAGAGGCAGGTTGGCCCTAAGCGGTTTCCAGCTTGAGTTTTCCTTTTAGCTTAGTGAGTTTTGGGGGCCCAAGATATTTTTCTTTCCCAGGGAGCAAACCTGAAGTGGTTTCTTCTTCCAAAAACTGCTAATGGTCTCTCAGTCCAATTCCATAGATTTTTAGCAGCTTTCCATTGTTAAAGAATCTCCTTCTTTTTCCTGACGCCCCACTCACTGGCATGGGACATGACGTCAGGCTCATCCTCTCTCCTCCATCACCCCCATCAAAGCCAATATCTTTATCTTTTGAGACCCTTTTACTCAACAAGTGGCCCTGTAATGAGAGGCAGGACCGAAACCGCCTTTGCAAAATTATAACTGAGGAAATTATATCAGTGAAAGATCAGACCTAACAGACCCCCGGACCCCCATCTTCCTTCTAACGTCTAAACTGTCTTTGTTCATTCCCCCACCCCATCTAAACCGAGCTAGCCTTGGGAAGGAATTTAGTTTATAGTTTAAACTCTGAAACAAAATGGATACTAGCCCTTTCCCCCAAAAAAACCCCTTTTTGCCTGGGGACCAGTCTGCCTTCGTAGGACTAACAAATTAGCTACAAAATTAGATATCAGAAAAACTCCTTCTTGCCTGGCGACCAGTCTGCCTTTGTAGGAACAAATTAGCTACACAGTTAGATATCATGATTTAGGGACCATGCAGCCTCTGGCTACAAGAGTCTGGACCTCTCCCAATTGCTCCTGGGAATAACGTCACTATAGTAAAACCTAAGATCAGTGCTTGAAGTATTTTGCAGATCCTATATTCCGGTGCAGCAGATGACACCACCCAGACTGAAAATCTGGCTCAACCAGTTCTGTGATCCCACCCAGGAACAGAAGTCAGCAAAAACTCACTTTGACCCCCTGTCATTTCATCTTCAACCTGACCAGTCAGCACTCCCCACTTTCTGAGTCCATACCTGCTAAATTATCCTTAAAATCTCTGATCCCAAACGCCAGGGAGACTGATTTCAGTAACAACAAAACTCCAGTCTTTGCATGAATTACTTCTTCTCCATTGCAATTCCCCTGTCTTGATAAGTTGGCTCTGTCTAGGCAGCAGGCAGGGTGAACCCATTGGGTAGTTACAGGACAACATGTCAACTAAATGATCTAAGTCCAGCCGCTTTCACAGTGACCCTAGCAGAAACTAACAGATCCTTGAATGCAAGCAGCAGGTGTTTAGACCACCCACCCCGACAGAAACCTCAGCTCTCAGCCCCTCCCTCCCTGCTCCTCCCTGTCCACCTCAGAATAATAGACTCCACACAGTCAGCAATGTCCAGACAAGAGCTGAGCTCAAGTTAGCCTAGTCTAAGGATGCCCTCCAGGCTTGCAAAGAGAAAGAGGACATGATGTGTATTTGGGCTCCACACTGGCAGAGGAGTGGGACATTGCAGGTCCGCAAAGGCTGATGACATCACAAAGACAGAGAGGGCCAAATTTACTAAAAACACAAAGGCCAGTGGGAACGAATTCAAAAGAGAACCTGGGCCGGGCGCGGTGGCTCACGCCTGTGACCCCAGCACTTTGGGAGACCGAGGAGGGAGAATCACTTGAGGTCCGGAGTTTGAGACCAGCCTGGCCAACATAGTGAAACCTTGACTCTACTACAAATACAAAAATTAGCTGGGCATGGTGGTGGGCACCTGTATGCCAGCTACTCAGGAAGCTGAGGTAGGATAATTGCTTCAACCCAGGAGAAAGAGGTTGTGGTGAGTCGGGATCCCGTCATTGTACTCCAGCCTGGGTAACAGAGTGAGATTCCGTCTAAAAAAAAAAAAAAACCAACCAACCAAACAAACAAACGAAAAAACAGAACCTGAAAAGTCTTAATTTGAATGAAGAAATTTGGAGAAATATAATATTGAAAACTAGATGCAATTAGTTAAAATGTTCCAGCATGTAAGGAAAAAGTAATCAAGTCATTTGACAAGGAAAAAAGAGGAGAGAAAATAAAAGGAAAGAGAAGAAAAGAGAAAAGAAAGCAAAGAAAGAGATGGAAGGAAAAACAGAAAGAAAAAGAAGGAAGGAGAAAGAAAGAGGGAAGAAAGAAGGGAGCCAGGAAAAGAAAGAAAAAAGTATGAAGGAAAAAAGAAAAGCTTGAATTTTAGTCTGATCTTTTTGACACTGATTATTCTTTTCTTTTTCTATAGGCATCATCATGATTGGGTATTTGCCAGAACAAAGAAAACAATCACAGAGGACCATAAAAGTCCTTTAAGCTACAGAGTCATAAATCCTGAATTACGAATTCCCCCTGGGCAACCAAGCAACAGAACCACTGACATCCCAGGTCCTGAGGGCTGACCTCTCAGATTACTAAAACTATACCTCTGCATGGAGCATCCTTAACTTTTCCTGCTGTCCTCTTGAACGGCAACTTTTAAAGTTAAGCTCTTAACAAATTTGAATTCTAAATCTGTTCAACAAAATTAAATCATTCCTGTGTTTTTCTGTGAATCTCTTAAAACCCTTTCCTTTTCCTTCTTGCCAGTGAACAGCCCTGTTACCAACTAAATGAGAAAAGACTCTGAAGATGGACATGACGCAGGAGATTGCCGTGCTGTCCATCTGTCCATCTGTAGCTATAGGGGCCCCTCATCCACCCACCGCCCCCACCAGGGAACCTTCACAGGGCACTGTTAAGAGAAAACCACCTCCTTCGCCACTCTTTTTTACACGACATTTTTAAATGAAGTAGTCCTACGTCTCAGATTCCACATTACTTCACCCTACAATTTTGGGTGAGCATCTGCAATTTTTTTTTTTTTTGAGACAGAGTCTTGCTCTATCACCAGGCTAGGGTGCAGTGGCATGATCTCGGCTCACTGTAATCTCTGCCTCCTAGGTTCAAGCGATTCTTCTGCCTCAGCCTCCCAAGTAGCTGGGACTACAGGTGCGCACCACCACACCCAGCTAACTTTTGTATTTTTAGTACAGACCGGGTTTCACCATATTGGCCAGGATGGTCTTCATCTCCTGACCCTGTGATCCGCCCACCTCAGCCTCCCAAAATGCTGGGATTACAGGCATGAGCCACCGCGTCTGGCCTTGCATTTCATTTTTTAATGCAAAACCCACGGGCTTCAGGCACCCGCTCTTTACAGAAAGTTTGGTGGAAGAAGAGCTGGTTTCTGCAGGGTCCAAATCTTCGCTTTCTCAAGGCCGCCTTCTAGTGGCCAGTAAGGGTAGCCTGGGTAATCTGGGCTCCAGGTCTCTTCCCTGGGGCTCCAAGTCAAATCCCTGAATGACTGATTTTCCATTATTTAATTTTCCAAAAAAACAACTCTCTGAATACATTTTTCCCAATGACCTATTGTCCCGCAACTTTAAATTGTGCCTAAGACAAGTCACCAGATTCTTTTAACCTCCAGAGCAAAGAAGGACCAGGGTGAAACAGGGCTGAATGAGGGAGGGGGAAGGGGTGCTGGAGATGGGGAAGGAGGGGAGTAGGGCAGTCCCTGGGATGAAGGTGGAATGGGAGGGGTAGAGGCAGGCACCACAGCAAGATCAGAGGTGGGAATAGCACGGGACCCAGGCAGGCATGAACCTGCCAAAATGCAGATCGCAAACTTCATCTCAGGACAACCTCACACACCTCTATCTATAAAACTGGGCATTTATATTTATTTATATTTTGGAAATGGAGACTCACTCTGTCACCCAGGCTGGAGTGCAGTGGCATGATCTCAGCTCACTGCAACCTCCGCCTTCCAGGTTCAAGCAATTCTCCTGTTTCAGCCTCCCAAGGAGCTGGGATTACAGGTGTGCACCACTGCACTCAGCTAATTTTTGTGTTTTTAGTAGAGATGGGATTTCACTATGTTGGCCAGGCTGGTCTCGAACCCCTCAACTCAAGTGATCTGCCCACCTCGGCCTCCCAAAGTGCTGGGATTATAGGCGTGAGCCACTGCGCCTGGCCAACACTGAGCATTTTTGATGCACCTGGATGTGAAATATGAAACAGATATTTGTGACAAATCACAGAAACAAAACTGATATGGTGAAGACACAGAGAAGCTGAGGACTTTGAAAATTCTTACGTCCAGCACACCGGTCATTTGATTAGTCCACTTTTAGCAAATTCACCATTGGGCAGAAGATATGCTTCCAGTGGGGAGGGTTGCAGTGAACTGGCTTTCTGTCATTTCTGCATTCAGACGTACTTACATTTTGTAAAATATATTTGTAAGAATATCTTCCTCCAGTTTTGAACTGGCTTTCACTTCCATTATAGTGTCTTTAGCATAAAAAGGAAGTTCTTGATTTTAACGGAGTAGAACATATCAGACTTTTTCCCATCAGTTCGTAGTTTTCATGACTTCAGAAAAATTCTTTCCTCAGACAGGCGCAGTGGCTCACTTCTGTAATCCCAACACTCTGGGAGGCCGAGGCAGGTGGATCACCTGAGGTCAGGAATTCAAGGCCCGTCTGACCAATACAGTAAAACCCCATCTCCACTAAAAATATAAAATTAGCCGGGCGTGGTGGCTCATGCCTGTAATCCCAGCTACTTGGGAGGCTGAGGCAGGAGAATCGCTTGATTCTGGGAGGCAGAGGTTGCGGTGACCCAAGATTGCACCATTGCACTCCAGCCTGGGCAACAAGAGAGAAATTCCATCTCACCAAAAAAATAAATAAATAAATAAATTCTTTCCTACTTGAGGTAATCATGATCGCACACTACTTTACTCAAATTAACTTAAATTTCTGCCTTCACAAACAAATCCTAAATCCATCTGGGCTTATTTTTCTCTGTGATTTTTATTTTCCTTGTATATGTATTCATAATTTTTCTATTATAAAAAATGGATGCTATTGTAATTGAAAATGAAAAAATTCCAACAAATCAATTATGTCGTAATAGTTGCATAAGTCTTCTGAATATTAGTACAAAACAATGTATTTTTGCCTCAAAGTTTTTTGCATTATTTTCAAGGTTTTGAAAAGTGAGATAGAGATTTTTTAAATTGTAGTGTCAGGAAGTAAAACATCACCAGCTTTCCACAAACATGTGTTAAGTGTCTAGTATATCCCAGGAAGTGAACTCCACCGAATGTCAAGGACGTGAAGGATTTAAAATATTTTTAAAAATTGCTTTCCTTAAAGAATTCACCTGCTAATGTGAGCTGTCACATTCCAAAGGTAATTACAAATTGTAATATGATACAGAACATACAAAGATAAAGACGTTATCAATGTCTTTCGCAAGCACGGGGAATGTAACTGTCACAAAGTGGGAAAGACCTAGAGGATCAGAGAAGGCGTTCTTTAACTGACTGGGAGTCAGGCCTGTTGGACAAGGGAAAAGTAGGGATCAGCAAACAGTCCAGGAGCTGAGGCATGAGCAAGAACAGTTTGATGGTGCCTCATTGGAAAGTGTTAGCAAGAGAGCTGATGGCTGAGTTGAGCTAAGATTAAATAATCTGTGCAGCATGACCTTGCACAATTTAACAATGTTGGGCCTTTTCCTGTAGGTGAGAGCTGTTCAAATGCTCTGCAACATGCTTCACCTGCGTGGGCAAATGAGAACAAAAGCCCCACTGGTGCCAAAGGGGCTACCTGCTGGATGTTCAAAATACCTTCAAAGCCGCATCTTATCAGGCAAAGGCATGTGTCCCTTCCATTCTATTCCATTCCATTGCATTGCAAGGTAATCATTTTTGAATCCTGAGAGGAAAAACAATGCTCCAGGAAGGTAGACCATGTTTGCCTGTTGCTGTCAAAGCTCCAGCAGACAGCTCCTGACCTTTGGTGGGGGCACAGCCTGGGAGATGAGGAGCCTCAGAAAACTTTGGGTCCTTGAAGAGGTGACACAGTCAGACATGAAATTCAGATACATTATGCTATGGCATGAATTGTGTCCCCAGGAAAAGAGACATTCAAGTCCTAACTCCAGCCACTCAGAGTGTGACTTTATTTGGCAATAGGGTCTTTGCATAGATAATCAACCTGTAATGGAGTCATTTGGGAGGCCCTAATCCAATAGGACCGGTGTCCTTATATAAAGGAGAAATTGGACCCAGAGAGAGGGGCATACAGAGAGAGGACGACGTGAAGACATACAGGGCCGTGTGACTGGACATGATGCCTCTACAAGCCAGGGAAGGCAGGGATTGCCAGCCATTAACAGAAGCTGGAAGAGGCAAGATGGGATCCTCTCTCAGCATTGTGAGATGGAGCATGGCCCGGCCAACACCAGATTTCAGACTTGTGACCTCCAGAACAATGTGAGGCAGTACAATTTTGTGGTTTTGAGCCACCCAGTTTCTCATACTTTGTTACAGCAGCCCGAGGACACTAATCCTAGAGGGATCCCTTTAATAGCTGGGTGGAGTACAGATGTGAGGTCCAAAGGCAATTCTGGAGGTGGGGAGCCCATGTGGGAGCCTCTTGTATTGATCCTGGGAGAAACAATGGAAGCCAGACCTAAGATACTAAGAACAGAGAGGAGGACAAAGATTCGAGAAACATTTAGGAGGTAAAAACAGGCAAGGTAAACTTGCTTCGGTGAGTTGTGTGAGGTCAAAGACAAAGACGGCCTCGAAGATCTCCTCCTGCAGTCTGGAAGTCCCATAGGACCAAGAGCAGTTTTCAAGGTGGCGGGAAAAGGTGAAGCCTGCAGTATAGATATGAAGCCCCTGCAGCTCTTAGAGATTCCCGCACATCCAAAATCCCAGGTGTCTGTACTGATCGCCTTTTGCTGCAAGAACAAACGTCCCCAAATCTCAGATTCTGGAAGTCACAAACATTCATGTCGCCATTCACAGTTGGCTCTGTGGCCTCTGCAGCCGGCTCTGGACTGGGCTCAGGGCTGCTCTGTGTGTGGCCCTGTCGGGGACAAATGCTCAGTGAACAGGGGCTGCCTATGACACGCTCTCCCCATGGGAGCTGAGGGCTGAAGGCTGTGGGCTGAGACACATGCTGCCCTTTCTGGAACAGGCACGCAGCCACTGCTTCCTGCTGGTGGACACAAGGCACACTGTCAGGCCCTGTGTCGGCGGGTCAGGGAGTACAGTTTACCTGCTGAGAGCCACTGCCAAGCCACGGCTGAGGGAAGGCATGTTGGAGCAGTGGATTCGCCGTATCTCTTGTTGTCTGAATTCTCATGCCTTGATATCTGGGGACTTGCCCCCTCAGAGTCAGCCAATTCTTAGAGATAGTAGGCAACTCTCCCAGGAGCACCCCTTTCAAATGCAAACCAACCAATCAAAAGTCCACACCCCCAGTTGCCCTCTTCGGGAGGCTCTCATGCTCTGGTCTCTATCCACCAGCCCTTATCTACCCTGGGCCAGGTACCAGACGACTAGGGACACCCTCTGTGCCCCAGAACTGCTGAAATTATTCATACTAGCAAATCCCAAACCTGCTTGCCCTGTCTTCTCATTTCTTCCCATGGAAATCACAAGAAAGGCTCTCGCCCACAGTTCCTTTTGTCTCCATCTACTTCCTAACCCCAGGCTTCCCCATGTGGCCCCCCTGCTCTGTGTGCCCCTCCTGCGATCTGTGGGTCTAACAAACTCCCTTTTCAATGGCACCGTGTCCTGATCCGTTGGCCTCACTGTATTTCTGGTGCTATATTTTAAAGCCAGCAAAACTCTGATTCTATCACAGCATCCTAAAATTTCATATCCTCTTGACACACCAAAAACTCAAATCTAGGAGATGACAGAAGCCTCATTGAACCCAGGTGCCGTATCTGCAGAATGGAAAATTCAGCAGAAGTATCTAGGGCCTACAAAAGGAAAATATATCTTGGGGTCCCCCAACAAATCACTAAGCTAAAGGGAAAGGTCCGGCTGGGAACTGCTTAGGGACAACCTGCCTCCCATTCTATTCAGTCACCCCTCTGCTCACTGAGATGAATACATATCTGATTGCCTCCTTTGGAGAGGCTCATCAGAAATTCAAAAGAATGCAACCATTTGCATTCTTGGAAGCCCTTCCTATCATTTGGAAGCCCCTCCCTGCTTTGTCTTCTCGCCTTTGCTTCAAGTTGTTCTGCCTTTCCAGACCGGACCGATGTTCATCTTGCACATGTTGATTGATGTCTCCTGTCTCCCTAGATTGTGTAAAACCAAACTGTGTTCTGAAGACCTTGGGCACATGTCCTCAGGATCTCCTGAGGCGGTTTCACAGGCACACAACCCCAACTTTGACAAAATAAACTTTCTAAATTAACTGAGACCTGTCTCAGATTTTGGGGGTTCACAGGCCAGATGGAGCATTCCAAACTCACTGCTGTTTCTAGACCAAGGAGTGCAAGGAAGACATTTGAGGCTAAGCAGGGAGTTGATGGACTCCCTGCGGTCAAGTCCTGAAAGCTTTGTCTGAAGGTTGTAGAAAGTCTATGGAGGTGCTTGGACCATGGCTCCCCAGGCAGGTAGGCATTACAAACTGCATCCTGCTCCACTCTTTTCAGTGGGCGTTGCAACTTGACTTGTTTGTTCTTGAAACAAGATAGTGAAAGAACCAGGTGGAGATGATTTAACTTGTGGTCTCCCCTTGGGGAAAGTTTCCTGGAACAAGACATGAAGGGTTGGGGCTGTTTTGAAGGCAGTGGTTCTCCTCCAGTGCAGAAGCCAGCTTCTCTGGCTCCCTGGGATGGGGCCCAGTTCAGAGATCAGATAAACCATGAGAAATGCAGCAGAACAGAATGCGGGCAGTTAGAAACATGTCTTTCTCCCTTTGACAGGCTGTGTGGAAAGACTTAGCAGCTGATAAGAGGGAGAAGCCAAGCGAGGAGGTTGTAGAAGTGCACAAAGACTCCAAGGTTTAGAGACTCAGGAAACACCCATAATTTGAGAAGCACTGAGCCCTACTGTCAATGCAGGCAGAAGCTGCAGTCCTGCCCTGGGATGGATGAGTGATTTTCCCTGCAGGCCGCTCAGTCCCACCACAAATATTTGAGAATAGTGGGGAAGAACAAACAGAGACTTATGTGCCAAGAGACTAATATTTAACAGCTATAAATCAAACTATCACACTGTTGACTAAAACGTGTTCTATCCTCCCACCCTAAACAAATATACTTCCAAGACAACCTGGACCTCCAGGAAAAATGTAGGATCCTTGCACTCCCACAACTCCCGCACCAGAATCAGACAGCACAAAGAGGGCAGGGCCTTGGCTTGCAGCCCCTCCCCTTTCTCTCCCTACAGCCAAGACCATCCTCAGCCTCCAGGGTCTCATGCACTCCCACACAGGACCTCTTGGCTTGCATCTCTAAGCTGTGTCACAGTCTCACAGCAGCCACCACTTGGCCTATGACACACCCTGGGAGCACGTCTCACCTTGGGGTTCCAACCCAAGGAAGAAACTTCCAAAGGCCCTAGACGAAGGCTGGGGGCAAGTAATTCTTAGGTCATAGGAGCCCAGAGAATGATTAATGAGAAGGGACATAGATCTGGCCAGACAGAAGACCTCTTAACCCCAGGCCCGAGAAGAACCCCTCTTGCCTGGGTCTCCAGCTGGTACAGAGACGAGGAAGCCCAAAGAAGTTTCCACTTGGCCCCAAAGGTTGGATTCAGAAAGCTTCCCAGGTTAAGAGAGGGAGTCACGGGATAACCCTGATCCAGCTAAGGTGAAAACGGATTCCTGCAGGAGACAGAGATGCCCTCTGCAGACACCCTCCTACTAGTAAATGGGAAAACAGACACTCAGACCGTGTGTGTGTGTGTGTGTGTGTGCATATGTGGGCGTGGGTGTTTGCAGGTGTGCATGTATATGCATGTGGATGTGTGTGAGTGTATGGGGTGTGCGTGCATGCATGCTTGAGTGTGTGCAGGTGTGCATGTGTATCTGCATGTATATCAGTGTATAAGTGTGCACGTATGCATGTAGGTTTATGCAGGTGTGCATGTATCGACGTGTGCATGTGCAAGTGTATGTATGAGTGTGTGCAAGTGTGCATGTATTTGTGCAAGTGTGCATCTGCATTTGAGGGTACGAGTGTGCATGTAGGTGTGTGCAGGTGTGCATGTGTGTGTATGTGCAGGAATGAGTGTACAGGATGTGTGTGGATATAGGTGTGTGTGTGGGTGTGCATGTGTGTATATGTGCGGGTGCGCATGTGCCGGTGTGATTGTATGGGGTGTGTGCGTGCATGTAGGTGTGTGCAGGTGCACGTGTGTGTATACGTGCAGGGGCACAAGTGCAGGTGTGAGTGTATGGGGTGCATGTGCAGGTAGGTGTGTGCAGGTGTGCATGTGTGTATATGTGCAGGTGTGCATGTGCAGGAGTGTATGGGGTGTGTGTGCATGCAGGTGCAGGAAGTGCAGGTGTGCATGTGTGTATATGTGCAGGTGCGCATGTGCAGGAGTGAGTGTGTGGGGTGTGTGTGCATGTAGGTGTGTGCAGGTGTGCATGTGTGTATATGTGCAGGGGCACATGTGCAGGTATGAGTGTATGTGGTGTGTGTGTGCATATAGGTGTGTTCAGGTATGCATTTGTGTCTATGTGCAAGTGTGCATATGTGTATATGTGCAGGTATGAGTGTATGGGGTGCATGTGCATATGTGTGCAGGTGTGCATGTCTGTATATGTGCAGAGGCACATGTGCAGGTTGAGTGTATGGGGTGCATGTGCATGTAGGTGTGTGCAGGTGTGCATGTGTGTATATGCGCAGGTGTGCATGTGCAGGTGTGTGTATGGGGTGTATGTGCATGTAGGTGTGTGCAGGCAGGCATGTATGTTCATGTGTGCATCTTCCAGTGTGACTGGGTATGCATGTGTGTGTGTGTGTGCATGTATGAGTGCACACATACATGTGCAGCTATGGGTGTGTGCATCTGCATATGTATGGTGGGAAGTGGGTTCTGGTGTGTGGGAATTCCCCTTGCAGTGACCTGCCCTGGGCCCCTGGTCTCCCCTCGCTGAGTTGTCTGTCACCAGCTGTCCTAGAATCTGGCTTTGTGGAACAGGTGGATACTTGGTACTAACTTCTGCAGTGAGCTGACTTCTCACTGCAGAAGTCAGCACCAAGCAGGTTGGTTCTGTGCAGGGCCACAACAGAGATCACCTTCAAATTCTTTAAATGAGAAGTTGACAGACATTTCCATCCCTCTTCTGGCCCTGGCTGTCTGTGTTCCCTGAGGCCCATTGACCTCTGTGGTCAGGTATGTAGGCCAAGCGTCCACCCTTGGAGCTAAATATGAGGTCTTTCCCATCTAAACGTGTGGCTGGCCAGCAGAAGGGTAGGAATGGAGCTGCTCAATCGGAAAGCACTCCCTGTGCAGATAAGATTCATTCTCGGGTGGAGCCAAGATGGCCGAATAGGAACAGCTCTGGTCCACAGCTCCCAGCGTGAGCGACGCAGAAGACAGGTGATTTCTGCATTTATATATGAGGAATGCAGCTCCTCACCAGCAAAGGAACAAAGCTGGATGGAGAACGACTTTGACGAGTTGAGAGAAGAAGGCTCCAGACGATCAAACTACTCCGAGCTACAGGAGGAAATTCAAACCAACGGCAAAGAAGTTAAAAACTGTGAAAAAAAATTAGACGAATGGATAACTAGAATAACCAATGCAGAGAAGTCCTTAAAGGAGCTGATGGAGATGAAAGCCAAGGCTCGAGAACTATGTGAAGAATGCAGAAGCCTCAGAAGCCAATGCGATCAACTGGAAGAAAGGGTATCAGTGATGCAAGACTAAATGAATGAAATGAAGCGAGAAGGGAAGTTTAGAGAAAAAAGAATAAAAAGAAATGAACAAAGTCTCCAAGAAATATGGGACTATGTGAAAAGACCAAATCTACATCTGACTGGTGTACCTGAAAGTGACGGGGAGAATGGAACCAAGTGGGAAAACACTCTGCAGGATATTATCCAGGAGAACTTCCCCAATCTAGCAAGGCAGGCCAACATTCAGATTCAGGAAATACAGAGAATGCCACAAAGATACTCCTCCAGAAGAGCAACTCCAAGACACATAATTGTCAGATTTACCAAAGTTGAAATGAAGGAAAAAATGTTAAGGGCAGCCAGAGAGAAAGGTCAGGTTACCCACAAAGGGAAGCCCATCAGACTAACAGCGGATCTCTCGGCAGAAACTCTACAAGCCAGAAGAGACTGGCGGCCAATATTCAACATTCTTAAAGAAAAGAATTTTCAACCCAGAATTTCATATCCAGCCAAACTAAGCTTCATAAGTGAAGGAGAAACAAAATACTTTACAGACAAGCAAATGCTGAGAGATTTTGTCACCATCAGGCCTGCCCTAAAAGAGCTCCTGAAGGAAGCACTAAACATGGAAAGGAACAACCGGTACCAGCCACTGCAATAACATGCCAAACTGTAAAGACCGTCAAGGCTAGGAAGAAACTGCATCAACTGATGAGCAAAATAACCAGCTAACATCACAATGAGAGGACCAAATTCACACATAACATTATTAACTTTAAATGTAAATGGGCCAAGTGCTCCAATTAAAAGACACAGACTGGCAAATTGCATAAAGACTCAAGACCCATCAGTGTGCTGTATTCAGGAAACCCATCTCATGTGCAGAGACACACATAGGCTCAAAATAAAGGGATGGAGGAAGATCTACCAAGCAAATGGAAAACAAAAAAAGGCAGGGGTTGCAATCCTAGTCTCTGATAAAACAAACTTTAAACCAACAAAGATCAAAAGAGACAAAGAAGGCCATTACATAATGGTAAAGGGATCAATTCAACAAGAAGAACTAACTATCCTAAATATATATGCACCCAATACAGGAGCACCCAGATTCATAAAGCAAGTCCTGAGTGACCTACAAAGAGACTTAGACTCCCACACAATAATGATGGGAGATTTTAACACCCCACTGTCAACATTAGACAGATCAGCGAGACAGAAAGTTAACAAGGATACCCAGGAATTGAACTCAGCTCTGCACCAAGCAGACCTAATAGACATCTACAGAACTCTCCACCCCAACTCAACAGAATATACATTCTTTTCAGCACCACACCACACCTATTCCAAAATTGACCACATAGTTGGAAGTAAAGCACTCCTCAGCAAATGTAAAAGAACAGAAATTATAACAAACTGTCTCGCAGACCACAGAGCAATCAAGCTAGAACTCAGGATTAAGAAACTCACTCAAAACCGCTCAACTACATGGAAACTGAACAACCTGCTCCTGAATGACTACTGGGTACATAACGAAATGAAGGCAGAAATAAAGATGTTCTTTGAAACCAACGAGAACAAAGACACAACATACCAGAATCTCTGGGACACATTCAAAGTAGTGTGTAGAGGGAAATTTATAGCACTAAATGCTCACAAGAGAAAGCAGGAAAGATCCAAAATTGACACCCTAACATCACAATTAAAAGAACTAGAAAAGCAAGAGCAAACACATTCAAAAGCTAGCAGGAGGCAAGAAATAACTAAAATCAGAGCAGAACTGAAGGAAATAGAGACACAAAAACCCTTTAAAATATTAATGAATCCAGGAGCTGGTTTTTTGAAAAGATCAACCAAATTGATAGACTGCTAGCAAAACTAGTAAAGAAGAAAAGAGAGAAGAATCAAATAGATGCAATAAAAAATGATAAAGGGGATATCACCACTGATCCCACAGAAATACAAACTACCATCAGAGAATATTACAAACAACTCTACGCAAATAAACCAGAAAATCTAGAAGAAATGGATAAATTCCTCGACACATACACCCTCCCAAGACTAAACCAGGAAGAAGTTGAATCTCTGAGTAGACCAATAACAGGCTCTGAAATTGTGGCAATAATCAATAGCTTACCAGCCAAAAAAAGTGCAGGACCAGATGGATTCACAGCCGAATTCTGCCAGAGGTACAAGGAGGAGCTGGTACCATTCCTTCTGAAACTATTCCAATCAATAGAAAAAGAGGGAATCCTCCCTAACTCATTTTATGAGGCCAACATCATCCTGATACCAAAGCCTGGCAGAGACACAACCAAAAAAGAGAATTTTAGACCAATATCCTTGATGAACATTGATGCAAAAATCCTCAGTACAATACTGGCAAACCTAATCCAGCAGCACATCAAAATCTTATCCACCATGATCAAGTGGGCTTCATCCCTGGGATGCAAGGCTGGTTCAACATATGCAAATCAATAAATGTAATCCAGCATATAAACAGAACCAAAGACAAAAACCACATGATTATCTCAATAGATGCAGAAAAGGCCTTTGACAAAATTCAACCACCTTTCATGCTAAAAACTCTCAATAAATTAGGTATTGATGGGACGTATCTCAAAATAATAAGCGCTATCTATGACAAACCCACAGCCAATATCATACTGAATGGACAAAAATTGGAAGCATTCCCTTTGAAGACTGGCACAAGACAGGGATGCCCTATCTCACCACTCCTATTCAACATAGGGTTGGAAGCTCTGGCCAGGGCAATTAGGCAGGAGAAAGAAATAAAGGCATTCAGTTTGGAAAAGAGGAAGTCAAATTGTCCCTGTTTGGAGATGACATGATTGTATATCTAGAAAACCCCATTGTCTCAGCCCAAAATCTCCTTAAGCTGATAAGCAACTTCAGCAAAGTCTCAGGATACAAAATCAATGTACAAAAATCAGAAGCATTCTTATACACCAATAACAGACAAACAGAGAGCCAAATCATGAGTGAACTCCCATTCACAATTGCTTCAAAGAGAATAAAATATCTAGGAATCCAACTTAAAAGGGGTGTGAAGGACCTCTTCAAGGAGAACTACAAACCACTACTCAATGAAATAAAAGAAGATACAAACAAATGGAAGAACATTCCATGCTCATGGGTAGGAAGAATCAATATCGTGAAAATGGCCATACTGCCCAAGGTAATTTATACATTCAATGCCATCCCCATCAAGCTACCAGTGACTTTCTTCACACAATTGGAAAAAACTACTTTAAAGTTCATATGGAACCAAAAAAGAGCCCGCATCACCAAGTCAATCCTAAGCCAAAAGAACAAAGCCGGAGGCATCACACTACCTGACTTCAAACTATACTACAAGGCTACAGTAACCAAAACAGCATGGTACTGGTACCAAAACAGAGATATAGATCAATGGAACAGAACAGAGCCCTCAGAAATAATGCCGCATATCTACAACCATCTGATCTTTGACAAACCTGACAAAAACAAGCAATGGGGAAACGATTCCCTATTTAATAAATGGTGCTGGGAAATCTGGCTAGCCATATGGAGAAAGCTGAAACTGGATCCCTTCCTTACACCTTATACAAAAATTAATTCAAGATGGATTAAAGACTTACATGTTAGACCTAAAACCATAAAAACCCTAGAAGAAAACCTAGGCAATACCATTCAGGACATAGGCATGGGCAAGGACTTCATGTCTAAAACACCAAAAGCAATGGCAACAAAAGCCAAAATAGACAAATCGGATTTAATTAAACTAAAGAGCTTCTGCACAGCAAAAGAAACTACCATCAGAGTGAACAGGCAACCTACAGAATGGGAGAAAATTTTCACAACCTACGCATCTGACAAAGGGCTAATATCCAGAATCTACAATGAACTCAAACAAATTTACAAGAAAAAAACAAACAACCCCATCAAAAAGTGGGCAAAGGATATGAACAGAGACTTCTCAAAAGACGACATTTATGCAGCCAAAAAACACATGAAAAAATGCTCATCATCACTGGCCATCAGAGAAATGCAAATCAAAACCACAATGAGATACCATCTCACACCAGTTAGAATGGCAATCATTAAAAAGTCAGGAAACAACAGGTGCTGGAGAGGATGTGGAGAAATAGGAACACTTTTACACTGTTGGTGGGACTGTAAACTAGTTCAACCACTGTGGAAGTCAGTGTGGCGATTCCTCAGGGATCTAGAACTAGAAATACCATTTGACCCAGCCATCCCATTACTGGGTATATACCCAAAGGACTATAAATCATGCTGCTATAAAGACACATGCACACGTATGTTTATGGCGGCACTATTCACAATAGCAAAGACTTGGAACCAACCCAAATGTTCAACAATGATAGACTGGATTAAGAAAATGTGGCACATATACACCATGGAATACTATGCAGCCATAAAAAATTAAGAGTTCATGTCTTTTGTAGGGACATGGATGAAACTGGAAACCATCATTCTCAGCAAACTATGGCAAGGACAAAAAAACCAAACACCGCATGTTCTCACTCATAGGTGGGAACTGAACAATGAGAATACATGGACACAGGAAGGGGAACATCACATTCAGGGACTGTTGTGGGGTGGGGGGAGGGGAGAGGGACAGCATTAGGAGATATACCTAATGTAAATGACGAGTTAATGGGTGCAGCGCACCAACATGGCACATGTGTACATAAGTAACTAAACTGCACATTGTGCACATGTACCCTAGAACTTAAAGTATAATAATAAAATAAAATAAAAAAGAAATAAAAAAATTTAAAAACAAAGAATCATTCTCTATAATTAAGTCTCATAACAGGCAACACTTCCAGATCTGTTGTGTAAGCAGCCAGAAGCAGTATAAACAGAGGCTCTTCCAGCGAGCCTCGTGGTCTCAGCAGGGCACATACCTTTTCCTTCTGTTACCCATCAGGAGTCTCTGTTTTTGGCTCCTGGCCTTCCGCGTTCTTGTTGGTCAGGTTGCCCCAGGTAAGACCGGAAGCCGGGCAGCGTGGGGGCTGCAGGGTCTCGGGCCCAGGGAATGGGGATTAAGCTGTGTTTTGACAACGGCTCAGGGTCTAGAAATAAGTAATAAATCTGAGCATCAGGGAGAGGATCAAAATAATACAGACTCAAGGAAAATGCTTATATATATTTTTTTAACTTACTGAGACATCCTCCAGGATCTCTTTAGACTGAGGGTTGCTTCCCTGGAACAAGAACCGACTTACCAGGGAGACAGTGAAAGGAATGAGCCAGGCTTTTAGGACAGCAGATATGGTTAGCGCTAGAAATAGGCCTTGCAGATAACTGCCTCATAGGAGGCACCTGTCCCCAGGGCTCATTTCCCACCTGATTCATTTCTCGGCCTGGAAGAAAGTGCAGTATACAGAAGAGGGCTCAGCCTGCGAGAAAGTGCAGGATACAGAAGAGGGCTCAGCCTGCGAGAAAGTGCAGGATACAGAAGAGGGCTCGGCCTGGGAGCCAAAGTACAGTGTGTGGTTCCCAGCTCTGACACTCACTCGCAGTGGGCCTTCCTGCGAGTAACTGAGTTGTCCTCAAATTCAACCCTGTCTCTGTAAAACAGGAATAAAAACCCCACGTGGCACAGAGGGTTTCATTGATGACACCTGAGGCTAGGTTCAGGAAGAGCCTCTTAAAGCATCACAGACATTGGAGGTAGTGGCGGTGTTTCTGTTGCTGTTGCTTTCCGGCTTCTGTTTTCTGTATTCTCTGCCTCCTCTCCCGCCAAGCCGGCCCACCATGCCGGCCTCCTGAGGCCGTGGATGTATCTCAGTGGCCTATGGGGTCCCAGTCCCCCGAGGAGTCCTGTCCACTCTTTCTGCCCAGTGCCTCCTGCCCTTCTATGCGCAGGGCAAGTAGGGGCTGTGCTCTGGCTTGTCTTCACACTCATAGAAGGTTGCAGAGATTCCTGTTACGGAATCTCCACCCCATTCTATCTCTTTAGCAGGGACTGGAAGCTGGGGTGCAAGAGGGAGCTAAGAGTCAGCATTTGGGGCAGATACTATGGAATCTGGCATTTTTAGAGTTGAGGCTGTCCTGCAAGCCAAGAACCACCGACAGCGTGGCACAGATTGACACAGACCGCAGTGCGGGCTTCATAGGGAATACCATTGTCAGCTGAGGAGCTGAAATATACTTCCCTCCCCACAGGCCATGGCCAATGCCTTCGAAAACCCCTGAGTGCTTCCAGAATGGCGGCCAATGTATATTTTCTTGCACAATACAGCAGATCCCCGTTGGTTCCTCCTACAGTGGAAGAAAGAAATGCAGCCAGGGCCTGTGACGGGCTGAAGATCACCTGAGCACAGGAAACCTGGAGAGCGAAATAGAACGCTCACTTTAGCTCTAAAGATTCTACCGTATTACCTCTTGAAAATAAATAAATGACCAGGTGCTGGATTTAGGAATGGCGATTACGATGCTTATTTGGGAGAGACATGTATCTAGACGCAGAGAAGGAAGGAATACTGTGTGTGCGTGAAGAGTAACCTCAGGTTACTTCTCTCAGTCCCAGAGGCTGGAAGTCTGACATCCGGTTATCCGCAGGGTTGATTTGGTTCCTAGATGGCCGCCTTCTTCCTGTATCTTTGTGTGTTCGTCCCTTGGTGCATGTGTGTGTCAGTATCCAAATTTCCTTTTCTTATAAGGACAGCAGTCCTACTGAATCGGGGCCACCTTAAAGGCCTCATTTTAACTTAATAAGCTATGCACAGACCCTATTTCCAAATACGGTTACATTCTGAGGCCCTGGGAGTTAGGACTTCCACATAGGAATTCGGGTGCACACAACTCAGCCCTTCCCACCGGGCTTACCCCTGCATCTGCAGTTAGCTTCCAGGTCCACTGGAGGCTGGCTGCCGCCAAGGCAATGTGAATTGTAGAGCCACGCGCAAGGTGTCCTGAGGCCTAGCTTCATAACTGGCCCCTTCTGCTGCTGTTATTGGTCAAAACAAGTCAAAAAGCCAACTAGATTCCTGAGCTGGGGAAACAGACACCACTGCAGATGGAAAGAGCTGCAGAGTCAGATCACAAAGGGTGTGATTCAGTGGGGGATTCAGGGCCACAGTGGTGGCCCGCCTCACCATCAACCACAAAGGGTATCCAGGTTCCTTCTGCCTTACGTACTTTGGGTGTGTATGAGGGGCTTAACGTAGTTCAGTGTGCCTTGGAAGACCCCGAACACTGCCTTTCAAGCGGAAGATTCTCTGACAAAAATCCGTACGGATCAAGGATGTGCTTCAGAGCCAGATCCCAATTGTTTGATCAAGCACAGCCCAGGAGCTCTGATGCCAGTGAAGTATTAGTTTTAAAATGTCATGCATGACTAGTCGTTGAGGGGAAAATAAGAATTTCTGGACTTCTTTATACTTTTCCATTTATATGGCATTGGTTATTGGTTACAGAGAGGGACGGGGACCTAAAATATTTTCTGTTCCAAAATCTAGACTTTGCCCATTCCTGGTGACGTGAAAGTCACTTGAGGTGATTGTGTATCTAGGGGCAGTAGTAGGACTGAAGGAGGGGTGAGAGAGTGCACTTTAACTCCCCGAAAACCTACTCCCTACAGCTACCCAAATAACATGCAAACATTAATAAAAACAAAGAACTTGCAAAACAAATGTAACTTCAAAGCCGTTCCCCAAACCCTCTTCCAGCTTTATGGCTTTAGCTAAATCCTTCCTGCACAGCCCCTGCCTTTGCCCACACACTCCCCAAGCAGAAGAGTGCCTCAGAGCCCCAACCAAATGTTCCTGCTCCATCTCCCCCAGCCCTCGCCCTCCTCGCATGCTCTCCCATACACAACTGCCTTATCCCTGCTGACCAAGAAGGGCCTTGCCCCTTCTTCACCTGGCTTACAGGAGTCCCTTTTGCATAATGGTGGAACTTGATCCCTTTTTTCTCTGTGCTCCCAGAATATGCATTGAACCAATGCTGTTCAATCCTAAAGAGTGCAGGCGAGGAGAGGAAAAGAAGAGTCTTCACGGCTACTGCCCAGGCGGGGCATGCTGTCTGCCAAATAACCATCACTCTAGTCCCCAGATCCATTCACACCTTCAGCCCATCGGTGTGTATCGAGTGCTCCCTCTGTGCCAGGGCCTGGGAGACAGTGCTGAACAAGTCAGATGAAGTCCCCCTCCTCTGGTGCTCCTGTAGAGGGAGACGGACAATGAGAAAATAAACAAATGAGATGATGTAAGTGCAGGAAGAAAAAGAGAGCAGGATGAGGGGGTGCAAGTGTCCAGGAAGAGGCCTGCGAGAGCCGCCCACCTCTGCCACGCAGCCCCTCACAATTGCAGGGTCCCCACCTCAATTCCAGCTGCCCTCACCCCACCCCATATATGCAACACACAGGCCCTGGGGAGGGCAGCCCCAGGGACACCTGGGCCGGAGCGTCACAGCAGACAGAAGAGGGATGGCCGCTCTGGGCTGCTTCTTTATTGATTGCTGCTGCACTCACAGAAGGCCTGTTTCCTTCTTTGTGCCCGGTGTCTGCCTAGCCCCAGGAGGAGAAAGAGAAAGGAAACAAAAACGGCCGCCACACTGCTCAGAGCAGCTCTTCTCATGTCCGGAGACTCTCCCTTCACTCCACACACTGAAGTGCGCCTCTGGAAACACTGCGGCTTGCAGGAGATCCCGCTGGACTGGGGTCAGACGCGCCTTGGCTCTGTGCCTGGCTCTGCATCCAGCTCTGCCTCTACCAGCCGAGAAACTGCCCTCTTTGGATCTCAGAGAGCAAATACCTGCCCTGCCCACCCCACGGGCTTGTGTGCAGTTAACTATGGAGAAAGTATTCCCAAAGCATTCAGAAGCTAGCTGAGATTTTAAAGTACTAAGGATTATTTTAATGACGTTAAAATACATTTATTTTCACATTAAGTCATCTTCAAACCTAATGACGTGATTTGAAGACACAGGTTTTCCACATCCTCTGTCCCAGAGTCAGAGAGCTCTGTTTAAACGTGCTCTGAGGGTTTGCAACCGCCGGTGCAACAGCGCCACCTACTGGGTGTTTGCCCTGGGAAAAGACTAGACTGAGCTGCAGCGCTTCCTGGCTGCTTGCTTTCATTCATTCACTTACTTGTTTATTCACTTATTCATTCATACACCCAACATGCACTGAGAAGGCATTATACGCTGTGCACACTCTCATGATCTGCTATCTATGCAGGTGCAAACAAGCCATGGCATTACAGGGTCCGGATGGGCTTGAGGGACGATTAGTTTACATGGCTTGGAGGAGGGGGCAAGAAAAGCCTTGGCAACCATGGCTTTCTCCTACGCACTAGAAGAGGGATGCTTAAGAAGGTGGGTGGCCCGACTGGCTCGTGGATCATCCCAGGGTTAGCGACCACAGAAGACACCAGTATCTTCCACATCAACTCCTTCAACTATTGCTACAAATTTATAGAGCCAAAACATTCCGTTTACTCTCATTTCTCATAACGTACTCCTGGAAATTTATCTAAAAGTAAACATTCCAGCAGAGGACAGTGGAGGAACTGTGTTCCCCAAATGGTTGTTGCAGTGGTATCAACACTACAAAAATAGGTAAACAAATAAAATCTTCAGCTGCGTAGGATTTGCTGACAATAATAAGTACTATACGAATATTTGAATGTATTCCTGATACATTGAGTGTAAAATGCAGAATATTAACTTCAAGGCTCATTCTTATTTCATTAATGTAACAGAAAAGATAGACAGATAAAGATTAGAAAATGTATGCCCAACATTAAAATAAGAATTGCCTTAATTATGAAGACGCTGCTTCTGATTTTTAATCAGACTGTACCACACTTAACCTGAACTGCTCTAATCACAGCAGCAGTGCCAGAGGTCCCTGGAGCCTGGGACCTTATGTGGCTACTGAGGCTAGGCATCACCCAGTTTGTAATTTTTGCCAATCTAAAGAAGTAATGTGATGTCAGGCCGGGAGTGGTGGATCACGCCTGTAATCCCAGCACTTTGGGAGACGGAGGCAGACAGATCACTTGAGCTCAGGAATTCAAGACCAGCCTGGCCAACACAGGGAAACCCCGTCTCTACTAAAAATAAAAAAATTACCCAGGCACAGTGGCACGTGCCTGTAATCCCAGCTACTCATAAGACTGAGGCAGGAGAATCGCTTGAACCCGGGAGGTGGAGGTTGCAGTGAGCTGAGATCGCGCCATTGCACTCCAGTCTGGATGGCAGGGCAAGATCTTGTCTAATAAATAAATAAAGTGATGTCATTCACTTTGCACTTTTTAAAATATTGATAGGTTTCAGCATCACTTAAATTATCTTCAGTTTGGAAACATTTTCTTCAGTAAATTAGGCCTTTTCGGGTTTTTCTCTTCCATAAATTGCCTTTTCCCCTTTTTTACTGAGGTTGCTGCCTCCTCGTTTTTGTTGAAATATAGGAGTTACTTGTATATTTCATATATTAATGACTTGTCAGTTTGAGACATTGCAAAACACTTCTCCCACTGTATCTAACTTCTGTCCGTTAACGTCCACAAGGTCCTTCACTAAACAGAAGGCTTCAGTTGTTACACACAAAAAAATGCAATCCATTTTTCCCTTGTGGTTTGTGTTTTGAGGTGTTGTTTAAGACATCCTTCTCCATTACTAAGTCATAAAAATATTCTGCTATTTTTTGTACTTCTTTCTGTTAAAGTCTTATCTTTCATATGTAGGTCTTTACTCTACATGGCGTCCACCTGTGGGCATGCGCTAGGTGGAGATCTACTTTTATTGTTTGGATCTAATGAGCTCATTTTATCACACATTCACTAAACAATTTGTATTTCTCCATTGATTTGTGGTGCCGCTATTGGTCATATATTTTAAGTTCTATGTATTTGTAGGTCAGCTTCTGAGCTCTCCACTGCATTCTATAGATTTTTTGTCTGTTCTGTGCCAATACCATAACGTTCTATAAACATGACTTTTTCTTGATATATATTAATATCTAGAAGGGTACAAATGCCTCTTTATCCTTCTTCACAAAGTCGGCTAATTTGTGGACCTCCTCTCTTCATTCACATTTTAGAGTAAGTCTATCAAGTTTCGTAAAGATCATTTTGGAATTTTTAATAAGTTTCCACTGAATGTATAGATTAATTAAGGAAGAATTGACAATTTTATTAAGCTGTTTGAATCAAAAACAAGAATATATCTACTCAGATCATTTCTTATATTCTTTATTAGAGTTTTATGGTGTGCTCCAGACAAATCTTATGTATGTTTTAAATCAATTCCTAAGCACTTTATAGACATTCTAACTATTACAACTATCTTAATTTTTCCAGTTTTGTATAGTACGTGTACAGAGAAACGCTATTGGTTTTTGTAAGTTATATTAGAAGGCCTTTTGGCCTTTTTTTTTTTTTTTTTTGAGACGGAGTCTCGCTCTGTTGCCCAGGCTGGAGTGCAGTGGCGTGATCTCGGCTCACTGCAAGCTCTGCCTGCTGGGTTCACACCTTTCTCCTTCCTCAGCGTCTCAAGTAGCTGGGACTACAGGTGCCTGCCACCACGCCCAGCTATTTTTTTTTTTTTTTTTTTTAGTAGAGATGGGGTTTCACCATGTTAGCCAGGGTGGTCTCGATCTCCTGACCTCATGATCCACCCGCCTCGGCCTCCCAAAGTGCTGGGATTACAGGCGTGAGCCACCGCACCCGGCCACGTTTTGAACTATTTCATCAGCTTGACAAGGTTGATTGTTCTAGGTAGAGAAGCATCTGTAGATGATGAGTGTCTCACCCTTCCTTTCTGCTAGTTACATGATCTTATTTCCTTCAGTTTCCTTATACATTAGGTATACCCTCCAACACAATATTAAACAGTAGTTGTGATACTGAGCATGCTTGTCTTCTTATCTGTGAGCCACTGTGCCCAACCAAGAAAAATCATTTGATTATTTCAATCCTAGCACTTGGGGAGGCCGAGGCAGGCAGATCACTTCAGCTCAGGAGTTCGAGACCAGCCTGGCTAACATGAAGAAACCCCATCTGTACTAAAAATACAAAAATTAGCTGAGTCTGGTAGCACACGCCTGCAATTCCAGCTACTTGGGAGGCTGAGACATGAGAACAGGGCTTGAACCCAGGAGGTTGAGGTTGCCGTGAGCCAAGATTGCGCCTATTCACTCCAGCCTCATGTCAGAGCTAGACTGCCTCAAGAAAGAAAGAAAAAAAAAGGATTTTTCTTGTTCAAAATGATAATGGAGTGACATCAAAGGATTTCTGGGTTGTGAAAATTCATAGTAAAACCCACCTTATCATATAATACTATTTTAATATATTTTGAATTTATCATTTTACCTAGGATTTTTGCATCTGTGCTTGTCATTAAAATAATTTTCTTTCTATGTATATCTTTGTTTACAATCAAAACTACAGCAGTCTTTTAAAATAAGCTGGGTAAAGTTCGGTCTTTGTTTCCTGGAGCAAATTATATTAGGTAGCAGTTAACTGTTCATTGAAACTTTGGCAGAATTAATCTGTAAAAGTACCTAGACCTGAATAGTCTTTGACTACCAGTTTAATTTCTCTAACACTCACTGGACTATTCAAATTCTCTCTCTCTCTCTCTCTTTTTTTTTTTTTTTTTTTTTTTTGAGATGAAGTCTCCCTCTGTCACCCAGGCTGGAGTACAATGGTACGATCTCGGCTAACTGCAACCTCCACCTCCCAGGTTCAAGCGGTTCTCCTGTCTCAGCCTCCCAAGTAGCTGGGATTACAGGTGTCCACCACCACACCCAGCTAATCTTTGTATTTTTAGTAGAGACAGCGTTTCGCCATGTTGGCCAGGCTGGTCTCAAACTCCTGACCTCAGGTGATCCGCCTGCCTTGGCCTCTCAAAATGCTGGGATTACAGGCATGAGACATCGTGCCTGGCCAAGTTCTCTTTCTTCTTATGTTAATTTGAACATGCTTTCGCCATGGGATGTGCCTGCTCCCCTTTCACCTTCCGTTATGAGCATAAGCTCCCAAGGCCTTCCTAGAAACTGAGCAGATGCCAGCACCGTGCTTCCTGTAAATCCTGAAGAACTGTGAGCCAATCAAACTTCTTTTCTGATAAATTACCCAGTCTCAGGTATTTCTTTATAGTCATACAAGAACAGCCTATTACAATATATGGGTATATACATGAATGACAAAGAATGTCTCCCTGATCAGACTCTGGACAGCCTCCTCCGAGCTCTCTGCACGACTGGGCCCAACCTGGGCATTCCTTCCTCTGTTCCTGCAGAGTCTAGTTTTAGCAAGAATCCTGCTAAGTCAGTTTAATCCCAATTCCCCACCTCAGGTGTCTGAATACCCTCCATATCTGACCAAATTCCAACACCTGCTCCACCCCACCCCCATCCCCGATGTGGATCAACTTGGCCCACCCTCAGCAGGAATCCTGTTAGGTCAGGGAAGCCAGAACCCCCACTTGATGTCCCCTTCTCAATGACTTTCCATCCACCGTCCCCCACACTGCTCCTTGGCTATAAATCCCCACTTTTCCTTATTATTTTCGGACCCCAATCTCTCTCCCCTGCTGCAAAACCTCAGTGCAGTCCCTTACATCTAAGGAAATGGTTCTGAATAAAAGTCTGTCTTACCGTTTTTAAAACGTCAGAATGTTTTCAGATACGTGTGTGTATATATCTCCATATCTGTAAATATATATAAATATAGATATAGATATCTCCGAAGAGAAGGTTTTCCAATGTGCACTTTTTCTTCTTGCACATTGCGATCTTAACCCTCAAGCACATCTGGAAAAAGCTTCCATGAGGATACAGCCTGGGATGGATTTGTGGGCGAGGTGTAGACCACGATACCGGGTAACGTGCCCTGTGTTTTCTGGACACAGAACTGTAAGATTTCAAAAAGACCCAATCAATGATTCTAACCCAACTCTACATATATTTACTCAAACACAGTATTCCTCCCTGACTAGTGGTTAACGGACTTGCTTTAGGCGGCCCCAGAGGCGGTGGCCAGTTTAGCCACCTCCCGAGGAACCTGCGCAGTCCCGACGCTCACCAAGCGCTTTCCTGGCGGTTACAGGGTTGGGGGCAGCGCAGAACCCGCTTCTGCCCTTATCAGGAGCCCGGACCTGAGCTGGACTCCACCACCTCGTCCCCACCCACCCTGGAAGCCAGAAACCCCAAGCATCCTCCCTCCCTCCCCTGCTGGCCACTACGAATAAACCAGACATACAATTCGCGCCTAACGGCTTAGCCAGAAATGCCACCCGCAGTCGGGCCCCGGGCCGGAAACCTCCCCGACGCGGGGCCGCGTGCAGGGGAAGGGGCGGGCGCAGGCTGCGGGGTCGGCACGGAAGATGCACGCGAGGCTCCTGGGGCTCTCGGCCCTGCTGCAGGCGGCCGAGCAGAGCGCGCGTGAGTGCGGCAGCCCGAGGCTGTGCTCACCCCTGCAGCCCCTAACCCCACCCCGGCGCCGGGAGCCGCACAGGCTGCCTATGCCCGGGCGGGCACTGCCCCAGCCTGCGCCCAGCACTGCGCGCCGGTGACGCACGGTGGTGGCCATCCCACCTGCAGAGCACGTCCTCCCGTCCTTAGTAGATGCCCACGCATGCACCATCCCCCCAAGGATGCATGATTTTCCTCCACCCATGCTCGGTTCCCCCCCCTCCCGACTGGTGCTTGACTTCCTCCCGCCCATGCACGATCCCCCCGCCCCACGCATGCAAGATCCCCTCGCAGAAGCAGGGGAGATGTATCCGCCCTTCCTTCCATCACAAGCTTTGCAAAGTGCTGCGATGCCAAGATGTGCTGAGCGCAAGTCTGGGGGCGCCCGGGCTCTCCCCCGACCCCCGGCCGTCCAGGGGGACCCTGCGACTTGGAGGCCGCTCGCAGAAGGGGTGGCGGGGGGAGGGGGACAGGGCTCCGCATCCACGCGGCCCTGTAGGACGGCGACTCCGCTTCGGGGTTTAGGACGGGGCGGGACGCGGCCCTTCGAGGCCACCTCCGTCGCAGGGGGAACCCAGAGCCCGCCAGCCGCGGCGGAGCAAGATGGCCCCATTTTTCGCGCCCTTCTGGTTTGAACGCGTAACTCCTTCAGTGCCGGGAGGAGCGTCTCCGCCCACTTCCGCCGGGCTCCCTGCGGAAGCTTTTTCCCGGGCAGAGTCCCTGGGGTGGAAGAGGGGGTACCCTGGGAACGCCGCCTTGGGACTTTTCCCTGAGTTCGCGGGCGTCCCCGCAGGTCCCGCTGCTTCCGAGGCGCGCCGAGCAGGACGCACACGGAGGACGCGCAAGCGCCCTGGCTCCGCGCCCCGGACTGGAAGGGCTGAGACAGGACCTGCGGGGGTCGGCACCCACCCCAGGTGTCCTCCCTTGCCCTCCAGCTGGGCACGGACTGGGTGTCAGCATTCCCCAGCCCTGCAGCACCGAAGGCTTTTCGTGCAAGGGAGGCTGCCGCAGGACGCTCGGGGTGGTGACAGCCGGACCCAGCCTGGGCGCTAAGGGCTGCCTGAGCCCGGACCCCGCGGTCTAGAGCTGCAGCGTCTGCAGCTGTACCTCAGGGCAGTTTTCCCAGTTTCCCTAAAATCCGCGGCTTGTGTTCATTCATCCACTTAGAACTTTACTATTGGAAAACCTAAGTAACAGTTGTGTGAAACGATGCCTGTGTGCGGTGCCTCTACCAGCGCACCGCCTCCAAGATCAGCCTCAGACAACCCTGAGGAGGCCGTGCTAGGAGTATTGGGGAGGCCCAGAGTTCCAGGCCAGGGAGTTCCCCATGTGAAAGTAGGAGAAAAGGGACCCCACAGAGAGAGCTGTGACCCCACAGGGACTAACGGTTTCGTAGTGCGGAGTTACTGACTGCGGAGTGCACATTCTCTCTCCACTGCGTAACCACCATCAAAAACAAACAAGCAAACAAACCAGAGAGGAGGTTTCATCGTTCTCGAGGATGCACAAGATGCTAGGCGCTTCACACATGTCGTATATTGCCCAACAGCTCTGGAAAGCCCTGACAATGTCATTTAGTGAATGCCTGTCCCTGTTGCCAGAGGCTCTGCTGGCTCCCAGCCTGCTCCTAGGAGACTCTTGCTGGTGATGGGGACACTGTGTTGGTTGGTTACTGTTTTGTTTTGTTTTGAGACAAGAGTCTTGCTCTGTGGCCCAGGCTGGAATGCAGTGGCCCAATCTCGACTCACTGCAAACTCCGCCTCCTGAGTTGAAGCCATTCTGGTGCCTCATCCATCCCGAGTAGCTGGTATTACAGGCACGCAGCCAGCAAACTTGCTCATTTTTGTATTTTTAGTAGAGAGGCCCAGACTGGTCTTGAACTCCTGACGTCGAGCAATCTGCCCACCTCGGCCTCCCAAAGTGCTTTGGTTTTGTTTTTAATGAGATAATTAGGTGTGGCCACAAGATGAGACACAGGAGAGACTCTGGAAAGCAAAGTTTGCTGTACTCACAGGTCCTAGGACAGGAGACATGGCACACCATGCCGGGCCACAGGGGAATGTCACCAGGGTGGTCAGGAGGCAGGAGACAGGAACCAGGGGAAGTTGAGGCCAGACGCTTTGCTAGGGCAGAGCACCAGCTTCAGATTAGCCCTTTGAATAATTTCTGTGGCTTTGGGGTATAAGGGTGGTCCCTAGTTTCCTGGCACTGGGCCCTGGGATGATTAAGGCAAAAGAAGATTGCCTTCTGCGGGGGTATGGGCCAGGTAGGGGAGGTCTGGCTCTGGCTAGATTTAGTTCGCATGTCAAAGGCAAGCTCCTGGCTGGGCCCTTTGCTAGCTGAAATAATTGCTAGCCTTGGGAGGGACAGTCACTCCCCAGCCAGAAAGATTTTAAGAGGTCAGAACATCATAACATCCAGAAAATGTTCAGTTGTTTAAAATGCAGGTACCCAGTCTCACTCCAGCCTTCCAACAACCTGCTTGCCTTTCCCCTTCTCACCCAGGCCTTTACACCGTGGCTTACTACTTCACCACAGGACGGCTTCTGTGGGGGTGGCTGGCCCTTGCTGTCCTCCTGCCCGGGTTCTTGGTCCAGGCCCTGAGCTACCTGTGGTTCCGAGCAGACGGGCATCCAGGGCATTGCTCCTTGATGATGCTGCACCTCCTACAGCTTGGTGTTTGGAAGCGGTAAGAACAGCTGCCTCTTTCACCTCTGGAGCACAATTGCACAAGTGCAGTGAGAGGAATCTTCTCTCCATGTGGATTCTGTCCTCAAGCTCATAAAAGTTCAGCATTGGGAAGAGGTTCAAAGCGGCCACAGCAAACCCCTGCTCTGATATTGGCATGCCCGGGTCCAGCCTGCACTTTTTTGAGCATCTCCAACCTCAGGGGCTCTTTCTCTGTGAAGCTGTGACCTTACGAAAGGCTTTTTCTTGTCTTCAGATGAAGCCCTGTCTTGCTGTTTTGATTTGTTGGTTGAGCCGTTAGTTCCATATAAAGCAACTTACTTAAGGCAGTTCCATCTGCACACCTGTCACCTTAGAACAGGAAGGTGGCATAGTTTAGTGAACCACAGACTAGACAATGAAGCCAGCCTGTTGACATTTGCTTCAAGACTTCGTCTCAGGAAAAAGTCATTTGGATGCCAGGGCTAGTTTTTTCTCTAAAGAAGTAGCCAGGGATAGTTCTGGGGCCTGGTGGGCTTATCCGTGATCCATAGACCATCACGACAGGTGAGGGCTGATTTTTTTCTACTTTGAGAACCTGGATTCAAGGAGCTATGAGAAGAGATGTGTCAGTGAGTTTATATCAAGGGCACATTTCAGCTGGCAGCTGCTGCCTCATAATTCCATTGGGTTGTTAGGTTTGTTTTTTTTTTTTTTTTTTTTTGAGATGGAGTCTCACTCTGTCACCCAGGCTGGAGTGCAGTGGTGTGATCTTGGCTCACTGCAACCTCCGCCTCCTGGGTTCAAGCGATTCTCCTGCTTCAGCCTGTTGAGTAGGCGGGACTACAGGCACGTGCCACCATGCCCGGCTAATTTTTTGTATTTTTAGTCGAAACAGGGTTTCACTGGGTTAGCCAGCATCGTCTCGGTCTCCTGACCTCGTGATCCGCCCACCTTGGCCTCCCAAAGTGCTGGGATTACAGGCGTGAGCCACTGCACCTGGCCACAGGATTTTTTTTAAGGGAGAAAAATTCAGGGATCAGAGCGGTGAAGCCCTGCAGCTCAAGTGTTCATTAAATCATAGGCACTGAGGGTTGGAAAGGTGTTCAAGGGGTCGTGGCCAATGCTGCTGTGTGTCCTAGGGGTTTATGCCTGCAAGCTATTCCCAAGACTTTCTCCGGAGGCACTGAAATGAGTGATGAGCCCCACATAGAGCATCACTGTGAGCAGGGAATGGTGCCGTCCCGCCCAGAGTAGAATCTCAGCTAGGAGGTAGAGGGTGCTTCTGAGAAAGACTTCAAGCACCCACTCTCAGTTTCACTGGACCCTCAGAGTTGGACCCTAAACCTCTAACAGCACCGAAAGCATATTTGCAGCCACAGGCATTTTGCCAAAAGCTCGGCCTTGGTGTTCAAGCAGTGCCGTTCCCCTGAAAAGACAGGGCCCTTCCTTCCATGGCGGAGAAGGCAGAGAAGGATCTTTCGGAGGGCCTCATAGGGTCAGAGCCTCTCCTGTGCCCTAGCTGCCATTGTCGTCTCCTTCCCTGATCGGCCCAGCCCAGTAATCAATCCTTAAGGGCTCTGGGTCTTACTTGGCTTTGACCATCACAGTCGTAAGGCATGAGCCCTCGAGGACAGAGGCCTGTTGAGTGAGTCAGCTACCATGAGCCCATGTTTGGCAGCCCAAAGAGAGAGGTAAGCCCAGGTGGTCACTTAGAGAAGCTTCCTGGGTAATGAACGGTTAGACAAATCTGCCTTCTGAGGCTGTGTGGACCCTCAGGCCTCATGGAATCCACTGCCTTCCTCAGAGATGAGGGCTGCCAGGGGACCACGGTGTGTCCAAATTCATGCTGCTGGTATTTCACAGTGGACCCCACACTGTCTTTCCCATGCACTCTTAATTTTCTTAAGTGATGCCATGATTTTCTGGTGTATATAAAAAAACGAACTTGAATAATCTGGTATATACTAGTGAAATCATATAGATAAGTGAAGAGATACATGAAAATTATAAATTAGGAAAAACCATTAGTCATATATATTTATTCTTGTTTTGAAAAAGAAGTTAAGATGACTTTAAAAATACACATCCTTAAAAGAACAAAAAAGAAAAGAAAAGAAATGAGAAAGGCCAGGTATCGAGATGAAATGTTAGAAAACAAGATAGAGCCAGAATGCACAGCTATCGGAAGCGGGTCACAATTTGGCCCTAAGGTTTATAACAGCCAGTGCAAGCATAAAGGCCGCAAGATTTGCAGTGTTTCTCAGGTTAAACATGAACCAAAAAACAGAAATTTACTTCCATAGAGGAAAGCTTTGAAAGTTAAAATAGACAGCAGTGGATCCATTCCTCATCCTGAAACTAGCACATAGGGTTCAAAGACAACACTGAGTGAAGCAGTATTTTTAGTGAGGCAATCCAGCTTTCCAAATTGCAATTCTAGAAAAGGACCTGTAGGGGGAGCCAAAACAATTGCGTTTGGCACAATTTTGAATTGCCTAAGAATAGGTCACTTTGAGTGTCCTCATCACAAAATACAAAAGAATCTGCTAACTGAGAATCCAGTAAAACACAAAGTTGCTTATAAAAATGCAAGGATTGAGGCCTGGCGCGGTGGCTCACGCCTGTAATCCCAGCACTTTGAGAGGCCGAGGCAGGCGGATCACGAGGTCAGGAGATCCAGACCATCCTGGCTAACACGGTGAAACCCCGTCTCTACTAAAAATACAAAAAATTAGCCGGGCGTGGTGGCGGGCGCCTGTAGTCCCAGCTACTTGGGAGGCTGAGGCAGGAGAATGGCATGAACCCGTTAGGCGGAACTTGCAGTGAGCCGAGATTGCATCACTGGACTCCAGCTTGGGTGACAGAGCGAGACTCCGTCTCAAAAAAAAAAAAAAAAAAAAAAAAAAAAAGCAAGAATTTGGCCTGGCGTGACGGCTCACACCTGTAATCTCAGTGCTTTAGGAGGTGGAGGCAGGCTGATCTCTTGAGGCCAGGAGTTCTAAACCAGCCTGGCCAACACTGTCGAAACCCCATCTCCACTAAAAATAGACAAATTAGCCAGGCGTGGTCACGCACACCTGTAATGCCACCTACTCAGGAGACTGAAGCATGAGAATCGCTTGAACCTGGGAAGTAGAGGTTACAGTGAGCTGAGATCACGCCACTGCACTCCAACCTAGGCAACAGAATGAGACTCAATCTCAAATAAATAAATAAATATAAAAAGGCAAGGATTTAAGCCATAAGTGTATTCTTTTTAACGTTCCCAATAATACATACTATGTTCATTTTAAGTCTGACTCTGTTCAAGAGAACCTGACATTGGTGACCACTTATTTAAACAAAGACCATTACTTTCTTCTACTTAGGTTTTTTACTTACACTTTAATACTGTATGTTACCAACATCTTTTTCATCTTTCTTTTTAAGCCCACAAATCCACTTGTAAATGCAGCATGAGATGACAGAAGAAGGCCTATCTCATCCTTAGCATGCACCTTGGTTTAGCAATTTTTCTTTAGTGAAAGTTCAAGGTTGTCAAAAGGAAAGTTAAGGTAAACTCTAAAGGTATGTAAGACAGGTTCAGCATAAATGGGTGGAGATTTAATATTTAAAAGTATATAAAATATAGCCCTAGCCCTGGAGGGCCCAGTCCTGCCTCAGGATCCCTCGAGTGAGGCTTGAAGGCTGTTGCGATTTCCATCAATGTAGGGAGGGAACAGGCGTTTCCGACACAGCAAGCTGCAGCCGCTGGTGCAAAGACATAGATGCGTGCCAGAAGTGGTGTATATGGGAAATTAGGATGAGGTTCTTGAGACTAAAGGGTAAGAATTTCCTAGATGGCAGGAATGTGGCAGGAGATAAATGGGCTGGACCATGAAGAAACTTTTCTACTGGATTAAGGAGTTTGGATTTTATCCTCAGGCATTGGAGACCTGTTGGAAGGGTTTGAGCAAAGGAATAATATGGGCAAATGAGCCTGTAGACAGATGGCACCAGGGACAATAAAATGCAACAGAGTTGGGAGGGACGGGGTCCATGCAGGCAGCCAGAAATCCAGGCAAGTGCTGATAAGGACCTGGAATGATGCAGCGACTGTGAGGACAGATGTCGGACACCATCTCATAGGACCTAGTGACCAAATCCCCACGCTCTCCATCCCGCCTCAGCTTCCTCCCCGGCTTCCCTAGTGGCTGTCCAGGGGTCTCAGCCTGAATTTCTCCCTCTGCAATGGGTTCGAGACAGCTCGTTTCAGAAAACCGGGCTAGTCACCTTCCCACTGGTCCTCTGTTTCTTACAAGAGTAGCCCCACAACTCAGCCTCTCCTGGCCCCCGCCTTACCAAGCACCAGATATTCGCTATTCCCAGACATGGACCTTCATTTCAGTGCCTTGTACCCTGTGCCACTGACCCCAGACACTCCTTTAGGCTCTTCCTACCATCTACCTGTCCAGAGTTTGCCTGTCCTCCTCTTCCAGGAAGCATTCCCTGACCACCTTATTCTCTCTGCCTGTGACTCTGATTCCACCACTACCCAAGCCACTCATGTTGATACTTATATTTCTTCCTCTTGAAGCTTTTCGCATTTGTATGTTTTCTTTCCACACTGAATCTTAGGTTTCTAAAAGACATCTTTCATTTCACTTCCCCCCTTTTCTTTTTTTTCACGAGAGTCTTCTGCCTCTGTCACCCAGGCTGGAGTGCAGTGGCATAATTATGGCTCACTTGCAGCCTTGAACTTCTGGGCTCAAGTGATCCTCCCATCTCAGCCTCCTGAGTAGCTGGGACTACAGGCACCCACCACTATCCCAGCTCTTTGTTTTGTTTTGTTTTGTAGACATGGAGTCTCATTATGTTGCCAGGGCTGGTCTCAAACTCCCAAGCTCAAGCAATCCTCCTGCCTTGGCCTCCCAAAAAGCTGGGATTCATTTCTCTTACTTCGCCTGTGGTCTGTAGCAGGTGGGCCTCTCAAAGCCCAAGAAAAATGCATGTTGAACAAACAAAGCTTTCTGGAAGAGCAAGAAGAGGAAACTACCCCATGTCAGGAACAAATGATTTGAGAGTGAAAAGAAAACTACTGCCTGCCCTCATGGTTACATTTTTTAGTGTCATATGTTTTTCTTAACATTAAGTTTATGTCAGGAATCAAGACACAGTAAGAAATGGGTTCACTCCAGGATTCCAAATCATGAAAAAGGAAAGTTGTTTTTCTTAGACATCTGTCCTGGGATCTCAGCACCATGAATAAAGCCATTTCAAAGAGGAGTCCCCGAATCTTCTGCTCTGGACATAGAAATGTTTGCCACCCATCAGGGTCCAGCTTGTCACCTGCCAGTCAGAGCCTTAGGGGTCTCTACAGGGAGTTTTGCAGGTGACCTTCGAGATGCATCCAGCTTGGCTTCAGGAGTTGCTAAATTGAAGTGACCTCTAGTTCTTAAATTGAACAAGACAGGGAAGCAGAATCCAGTGGGTTTGCTGGGCAGCAGGCTCGTGTGCAGGCGGCTGTGGTCATCTCCTTATTGCTGCTGCTAGGTAGACCCAGAGAGGAATTGGTGGGTGGTGGCGAAATCTGACCTCCAGGTGAGACTCGAAGCCTGAGAGCCCGCTGGTGTGGTGGGGAGTGGCTTCGTGGTCATGGGTTCTATGTGGATCTTCAGGTTGTAAGGAAGGTGGTCTGTGCCACTTTCTACTTATGAGATGAAGTTTCCAGTAAAGGTGCCTGGCATAGGCTCATGGGAAACAGACTGAAGCAAGGACATGTTCTGACTTCTTTCTTGTTGCTTGATTCCTTTTCCGAGAGCCTCGGAGGACCACCCAGGCTGGGTGAGCAGATGTGTCCCCGTGGCCCTGGGCCACCCCATCCTGTAATCCACAGTGCAGAGATCAGCAGCTCTCTCCGCTGCCTGGTTCTCGGCTTCCACCCACCCTTGCTGGTGTCCCTTTCGTATCCAGGCCCCTTAGTGGGAACAGTCCCCAGGGTGCTGTCCTTGGTCTATGCTGTCTTCACACAGTCTCTTCTGGCCACTTCCAGTCCCTCAACCACAACTGGTCATCCAGATCTCTCCTTATGGGGGCTCCACCCATCCTCACATTCCTCACTGCTGAAGAAATTCATATCGTGGCCAATCCAGCACTCCTCACCTGGCTTATTTCCGTCGGTAGCACCACCATTTCCAAGTCATTTAGGCCTGAAACCTCAAAGCCACTGCAACTTCCCTCATCTCCCCTGTTCAGTCATCAAATCCTGATCTCCAACTCCACTATTTCCTGCACCTGCTCCCTACTTTCCATTCCTAGGACTCCCTTCACCAATTACTGCTGGAAGTATTCTATTAGCTCTGTTTCCTCCTGATGTTCCTATCCCCTGTTCATACACCCACACTACATGCGTGCACACACACACACTCACACTGCACACACTACAGATACACACTGCACACATACATGAATATACACACATATACCTTCATGCACACACATATATAAACATACACACTATATATATGCAAGCACATAATGCCTATATACATATGCATATGTTTTGCACACTTGCACACACACATGCATACATGCACATGCAGATACATACACACACACACAAGCACATGTACACCACATGTGTGTTCACCCATATACACGCACATGCACATACACATACATAGACACACAAATCCATACACATTCATCTCATACCCCAGACAGTACATATTACCTCTGCCAAATTCATTTTTCCAGAGCAAAATCCAAACCCCATAGCCTGAAGTTCAGGGCCCTGATCTACTTCACCGGGACCACATCAGCCTCCAAGCTCCGCATGGTGCTCCAGCCACCTGGACCTCTGGCCACTCCCCAGCAAAGCCTCCAGATCCTTCTTCCCTGTCTGCTCTTCATGTGCCCCAGTTTTCGCAGCACAGAGTTCTACATTCTGTGAGGATGAAGACAAGGGTTTTTTCTACTTTTTGTCCTTCAAAGAGATGATAACACACAGTACCTTGCAACAGACATCTGTCGATAAATGAATTCCCATCCCAAGAGGATCCGGGGTGGGACTCAGGTCGGGGTGATTGCCGAGCTTCACAGAGCTGGCAGTCTGGGTTCCCTTGCCATGCAGCCGCTCCAGCTCAAAGAGCCCCCAGGTCAGGTACTGGGGTACCAGACGTGGGGAGAGTGTGGCCTGGCTGAGCACCACAGGACTCGGGGAACTTACATAGAAGTGACGTCTTCTGCTTGCAGTCAGAGGCTGGCAACAGCCTAACTAGTAACTCTAGGTGACTAGTAAGGGCATAGGATATTGCTTAGCATGTAGTATGTCTCTAAATGAAAGCTCGTCCTATTGAATCTCGCCACAGCCTGGCTCCGTGTCACGTGCCCTCTGCTGTTCCCTAGGCACTGGGACGCTGCACTGACCAGTCTGCAGAAGGAACTGGAGGCTCCCCACCGAGGCTGGCTGCAGCTGCAGGAGGCCGACCTGTCGGCCCTTCGACTCTTGGAGGCCCTGCTGCAGACTGGGCCCCACCTGCTGCTTCAGACATATGTTTTTCTAGCCTCAGACTTCACAGATATTGTGCCAGGTGAGTAACTGTCACCACAGAGCACAGACTGTCTGACTGCCGAAGGGGGACAGGAATGTGAGCCTGTTTAGCAAAACCCTCCCTTCGAGATTTCCTCTGCTTAGGAGCATTAGGGCACCTTGAGCTCACTGGCACAGATGATGCTTAAAACTGGCTTTTGCTGGTGCATTGAGTTTACAGAGAGTTGGCTCCCTTCTTTCTTAAGGGTCATGTTCTAAAGTCAGCCCATAAGATAGAAATTGCCCATAATCAAAATTATCCTCAAAATGCCTTGGAAAGACTGCCTCTCCATAAACTCACTGCACATGTTTTTCTTGTGTCTTTAATCATTAGAATAATTCTTGGCCGGGCACAAGTCTCACACCTGTAGTCCCAGCACTTTGGGAAGCTGAGGTGGGTGGATTGCTTGAGCCCAGGAGCTCAAGACCAGCCAGGCAAAAACCCATCTCTACCAAAAAATACAAAAATTAGCCAGGCATGGTGGCATGCAGTTGCAGTGCCAGCTATTCAAGAGGCTGAGGTGGTAGCATCACTTGAGGCCAGGAGTTTGAGGCTGCAGTGAGTCATGATTGCATCACTGCATTCCAGTCCAGGTGACAGAGTGAGACCCTGTCTCAAAATAATAATAATAATAATAATTCTTAACAAAGCCAGAGGCTTATACCTTCAAAGCCATGTGGAAACTGAGAACAACTCAGGCCCCAGCAACATTTGTCTCCAGCTCCCACTCATTTCAGGCCATTCACATTCTCATTATGTCTCTCCCTGTTTCTCTCAGTTGCTTCTTGTTTCCCTCTCCCTCTCCCTCCTGCTATCCCCTTTTCTCCCCTCCCCTTCACCCCCTTCTCTCCCTCCCCACCTCTCCCCTTCCATCTTCATCTCTCCCTTCCTCTTTGCTGAGTGTCCACAATTGCATATGCACAAATTAAATGCTTCACATATATGCCTGCACTGTCCTTCCATCCATCTTTATCAAAGAGCCTGACACCATTTGATGTTTTCGTTCTTTTATTAAACCTCCTTCATATGGATAAAACAGCAAAGTACATTTGGGGTGGAACCATGTTCAGAGCCTTGTAGAATCAGCTTTGTTATATACAGAGGACTTAGAGGATCAGGAGCTGGGACGTTTTTCTTAAAGGGCGTAGAAAGGAAGAGTCCAGCCCATTTGCTGGGAAGAGCATTTAGTACATTGAGCAGTGGAAATATTTCCTGCATATCCCCATTTCTTCCTGAATATAGACAGGTGTATTTGGACATAGAGTTGTTATGTTACCTACTGGTCAAAGTGGTGGGTTAGTAATACTCTCTGTGCAGCCAGGCTTTAACAAGAGGTTACACATCCCATTAAAGAAATGCCATGAGTGAATCTTCACAAGGTACTGTTACTTCGGAATCTTCAGAGCATACCACATCTTTCTGCTTCCCTTTCAGGGGTGAGCACCCTGTTTTCCTGGTCCTCACTCTCCTGGGCACTGGTGTCCTACACTCGCTTCATGGGCTTCATGAAGCCAGGCCACCTGGCCATGCCATGGGCCGCCCTCTTCTGCCAGCAGCTCTGGAGGATGGGCATGTTGGGAACCCGCGTGCTGAGTCTGGTTCTGTTCTACAAAGCCTACCACTTTTGGGTTTTTGTGGTTGCAGGTGAGCTGAGCTAATGATCTGGTCATCTGTTGCTGCATAACCAATCAACCCAGAAATGAAGGTCTCAAGAATAACCACATATGATCCTCAATCCCAGGCCTGAAGGCTGACTGGGCTCTCTGCTGAATGGATCTTGCTTGGGTGGCCTCAGAGATGGCAATGGGGTAGCAGATGTTCAGATTCATAAAGAGCCTTGACAGGAATTAGCAGCTGAGAATTGCAATGGCAAGGAACTGGAAACTGCTAGTCTTCTATAAAAACAGGCTCAGAACTGGCTCAGCATTGCTTCTGCTGTATTCTGCCAGTCAAAGCAAGCACAACCAGCCCAGATTCAAGAGCATGGAGGACTAGACTGCAGCTCCCGATGAGTACACATCCAGGGCAGGAAGGAACGCGTGCTGGCTGTCTTGGGAGATACTCTGCCATAGCTTAGACATCCCAGCCCTCAACACTCCCAGCTAAATCTGGAGCAGAGAACTTCTCAGGAGACTGTTCTGTGTTACAGGCCAAAATCTTTTATGTAGAAAAACTGTCACTGAAACAGGAGGGAGGTACAAGGTCCCACTTGCCTCACCTGATATAAAAATATACAGTCTATATGTCATACTGCACATAGCTTCCAAAAGTGCACCATTTCCTTTGAATGCTGAATCTTGGACATCTCCTCTGTTGCAAATAGGACAGCTCCACTAAATCCAAGCCCTCCCTCCTCCCTCAGTCTAGGCACACGCAATATGAATGGCAATGACAGAGAGTCTATCTGGCTCTGGAGATTCCCTGAATAGGGCCTGTGTGTCCCTGCCGAGGAGAGCTGTCATCTCTGGTCATCAGTGAATATACTCTGCAAGAAGGAACAGTTTACTCTTGTTTTAAGAGAATTGGAGACATTAAGAAATATTTGCCCCTTGGGCCTAGAGCAAACATTGAATACAGTTATTGGCCAAAAAGATAATTTTTTTGAAAAAAAGAACTGTGCTTCTAAAGAGAGATTAGCTATTTTGTTATTCTTTTTTTAAAAAAAATCAGCTTGAAATCCAAAATGATTTATTCGTCTTAAAATATGGGCATAAAAATTAAAGCTGCACCACATAGAGTTCTTTCCTTTGCATGTGGAGGTTTTTTGCTCTTGTAACAATTTTAAAATAATTGGCAGTCAGTTTTATAACTGCCCCTTTAAACACTTTCTGGAATAAAAAGGTCATAGGTATACAATATTTGGCAAGTGTTATTGAAGCTACTCTTTCTTGTGTCATATTCAAATTAGGTCAGATACCCTTTATAAGGATAAAATGGGATAATACATGCAAAGATAAACTGTGTTGGTTTTCTGTCCCCCTCAAATCTCTTCTGGGTTTTGATATCTCTTCTTGGATGCTGAGTCAAATGTGGTCGGAGAGCCTTCCAGCCCCTGGTCTCTGTGTCCTTGCCTGTCCCCCCATCTCCTTGCATGGACCCTGACGTCTGCACCCGGCTTCTCTGCAGGTGCCCACTGGCTGGTGATGACATTCTGGCTTGTCGCCCAGCAGAGTGACATCATCGACAGCACCTGCCACTGGAGGCTGTTCAACCTGCTCGTGGGGGCCGTGTACATCCTCTGCTACCTCAGCTTCTGGGACAGCCCTTCTAGAAATAGGATGGTCACGTTCTACATGGCAAGTGGCACTTTTCTTTATCCTAACTTTTACAGTGTATACAGCAAGTGGGGTGTGTGTGGGTGTGTGTGGGGGGTGTGTGTGTGTGTGCACCAATGCACACCTATCTATTGAAAAGGAATAGCTTAGTTTAAGAAAAATTCTTAAAGAAATGATAGTCTTGAACAGAGATGACAGGCTTTGAAAATAGTAACCCAACCTCCAGCTGTGGCCCTGCATTCAATGTGGCAACAACTGAGGCATATTTGGTGATGTCTTCTCTACATCAGCCCACCTGCTGAATATCATTACAGTTCAACTGTATAATATCATATACTCAATGTCTCTGTTAATCAACTCCATTTTTATTAGGGGTTTATGAATAAGATCCAGGCATGGCCCTAGAGAGTATCAGAAACACAAAAGTGGCCTAATACTTCTTCAGATTGCTTTGAGTCCCGTAGAGATTTCTTCATATTTGAAGAACTTATAATATTTGGTAAGTAAGTAGACACCCAAATAACCAAAATCAGACAGAACGTAGCTAGATGCCAGGAGAGAAAAAAATGTCTGGGACTCATAGGAGTAGCTGCCAGCATCACCTCTCGTCAGGATGACCACAGACACTTTTGGCAGGACAGTGGAGGTTGAGCTGGATTATAATGGGCAAAGGAGAGAAAATACAATCACATTGGTGGGGCATGGGTTTTAGAGTCAGAAAAAACTTGCACTGGAGCCCAGCTCTGCTGACTGCTACCACCAGCTGGCTTCAGCCAAGAATTTAAACTGTCTGAACCTACTTTTTCATGCACACGCTAGGAATAAGTCACCCCCCTCTCAGTGTTCCTGTGAAGATTAAATAAGATCTACATACTCTTCAGGGTTCCTGTAAAGACCAAATAAAATAATATACATAAGTAGCTGGCACAAAATAACCCATAAATTGTGGCCATTATTCATATGAAAAGGAGAGACTTCTGTGGGAGGAGTCAGGCATTCCAGGGTAGAGACCTGGGTGAAGGTAAAGGCAGGATGCAGCTCCTGTCCAGGAAAGGGAAGCGTCCTAGACACCTGCTGATTTTAGGACCCATATAGCACAGTGACCCCACAGGCTATAGAGCCAGGCAGAGCTCACAGGACTTGCAATGTTGGACACATTACTGAGCCTCACCAACCTCAGCGTCCACATCTGAACACCGAGCATAACAGCGTGCGTGTTGTAGATAGGTTCACTTGTGGCAGGGCCCAGGTCATGCATGAGCAGCCTCCCAACCAACATGATCCCCAAGTGAACAAAGAAGTGGAATATTGATTTTCTCATCCAATTTGCTGAAGTGGCTTATTCATAGGTGGACACCCCGCCTGCCAATGCCCAGATAAGCAGGAGCTCAATAAGGAGGAGTTTGACACCTGCCACCTTGTTTGCTTGCATTTGTCACACTCACATGTCAGTTGCCGTGTCATCTCCCAGGAGTTTGAGGGCTGTTAGAGAAGGAAAGAAAGCAAATCCTTCATTCTTCCCAACCATCTCATACAGTCACTAGATCACTGAGTCAAGAGCGATTAAATAGGAAAAGCAGAAATCAGACACCATTACATTTGGAGTGAGATCTACCACAGTGGCACGAGTGTCCTTATCTCTCTCGCTGTGCACAGACCCATCCAGGCCGGGCAGTCCTAGCCCGGGGGCTTGGATCCCTACAGCATGTGATGGGGAACATGGGCTTTAGGCCTTGCTGCCCGACCAGCTAAGGCTTGATACCAGGATCCTTCGGTTCTGAACTGTATGAGAGTCACCGGGGCTCCCCCTGCCCCCACACCCAGTTTTTGCATCTCTGAAATGGTTGTTGCTAGGATTGATAAGGTGATGGATAGAAAGCCAAGAGCCTGGTGCCTGGCACAGGTAGATAGATGTAGATGCTCTGAAAGATAAATAAATAATTTACAATAAATGAAACAGACATCGGGGGCAAGAGAGCAGAGAAAGAAGGAAAGGAGGAAGGAAGGAAGGAAGGAGGGAGGGAAGGAAGGAAGGAAAGGAAGGTAGGGAAGAGGAAGGAAGGTAGGGAAGAGGAAGGAAGTGGAGGGTAAAGATAGCCAATATCACCATAAAGAGGTGAAATAACACATAACTCCGAGGATAACCTATTAAACTCCTGACATTTCAAGAGTGCCTGCCAGTCACATTCTGAGGTGGGGCTGCAACCATGAAACTGAAGAAAAGGCGGAGATGACAGGTGGACATGCTCACCTCGCACTTCACCATGCACACTGCCCAGACCTGAGTCTGGGCCCCTCCCTGTGCCAGGCAGTGCTGGGCAGCCCTGGCTCCGTGGCACGGGCCATTCAGAGTGTGAGGCAGCCTCTCCCACTGTTCCTCAACACCCCCAGCTAAACTCCATTGATCCAATGTGGCTGAGTGGCCAGCACCTGAAACCAGTGCCTCTGGGCAGGTTAGAAATGCCCAGACTGTGATCTTGGAAGCCTGAGGCCACAGTGCAGTGGACAGACTGGGGCGCCACTCCCTGAGATGTGCACCCTGCTGGCACAGACCCGTGCTGCCATCCGAAAGCATTACCTTCTGCGGAGGGTGCCGGGACCCACGCAGCCCCAGCCCTCGAGACAGCAGCTCACACAGGAAAGAGGCTGCCAGACCCCAGGCCCTGGATGGGCCCCAGAAGAAGCTGCAATTCCTGTCTGGAAGCCCCAGACTTGGGCAGCGTAGCCCAGGGCCAACCCAAGCATCGCTCAGCTATGTTGAGCCTATTCCTGGGCCACTGGAGAGTGTACCACCCCCACATCCCTTCAAGAAGGAACATAAGGTGTTTTGTATTTGCTTTTGTTTTTCTGAGACAGAGCTTGCCCTGTTGCCCAGGCTGGAATGCAGCAGTGTGATCACAGCTCACTGCAGCCTCGACTTTCTAGGCTCAAGTGATCCTCCCACCTCAGCCTCCCGAGTCACTGGGATCACGGGTGCATACCACCATACCTGGTTAATTTTTATACTTTTTCGTAGGGCCTTTAACCAACAGGCCACCGCCTGGCAGTGGTTCAGAGGTTTCTGCTGGAACGGTCTGGCAGGGGCTGGGGGCTGGGGGCCTCCAGTGCAGCTGGGCCTCAGCCCTGCTGGTTGTCAGTGGCACTCAGGGGAGCTTTTATAAAGTGGCGATTCCCAGGCTCCCCCTCAGAGATTCTGTCTCAGTAGGTGTGACTGCAACCTGGGAATCCACGTCTGGAGACAGCCACAGGTGACACTATGACTGGCCTAGCTCAGGATCTACTCAACTGTCCTCACCTCCTGCTCAGAGGCGGAAGCCTGCCTGTTGATCACTTCTGAATGTAATATAAGACCCCGTCTCACTTCTTTCACCCGTTATGGGTTTATTCACATCAGCACACATTGAGCTTCCTCCTGTGCTGAAAATGGAGTTAGACACCACAGTGTGAGAGGGTCATGTCTCAGTGCCACAAAGACATAAGCAAATCCATGCAGCCACTGTGATCAGAGAAGTGACGCTATCAAAACCCTACAGGACACAAGAGGCAGAGCTTGGGAAAGTCAGGGAAGGGTTTACAGAGGGGACCTGCACGATGTGCTATGTGGTGAGCAAGGTTCACCTGAAGAAAAGGTGTGGACGGCGCTAGAACGTTTCAGGCAAAGCTGCGGAAGTAATGGAAAGACCCTGGAGTGTCTGGAAATCCACAGGAAAGTGAGTGCGCACAGCGTCCGAGGGAAAAAAAGCCCTGCGCTAGTTAAAAGCAATGAAAACAGATTGCACTGAGTGTATCGCCATAGGGAAGAGCCCTGCATGAACTGAACCCACCTTCAAGTTGTGCAGAGGTGACAGGGCTTAAAAGGGAGAAAAAGGGAGGAAGGAGGAGGAACATCCGGGGGCTTGGCCAGAGACAGGGAAGTGGAAATTTACAAAAAGCAGGAAAGTGGGATCGTAAATGTGAGTGTGCCATCTGTGTTTGTTCATTGGCGCTTGTCACTTGCTGGGAGCAGAAACAAATTTCTCATTTCTTTATGACAGGAGGCAGGAGTCAGTCCTGTTAGGGCAATGCACCCACCAGGCTTGGAGTTTGTATTTGAATAGATGGCTCTTGGGTACTTGAGGAGACAGTTCTGGGTAATAGAGGATGTATATCTCAGAGCGCAGCGAAATGATTTGCAACTGCAAGCTTTCTAAAGGAACTGCTCGGAAAGGAAGTCCAGGGTCCTATCCACCCAGCACCAAGTTTTGGCTGGAACAAACAGTACCTTCTCCTGGCAGCACTGCGCTTTCTCAGGCAGGAACTTAAAGGAGACTGAGGTCAGCATCGTAGGGGTGAGGCCTTGAGCTGCTGGAAACTCGGTCAGTGTTTGTTCAAGTCTCTCGGTGTGGGGAGGTAAGGGGAATCATATGTGCTGAGTCTGGAGTTCTCGTTGGCCAGGGTTGAAGACTCATGGAAAAGAAGGCTCAGAGAAGGCTGACTGGAGTTTGGTTGAGGAAAGACTGTTTGTCAGTGGAATGTCGTTTGGGAAGAGCATGCTGGAAGATGACCCCAGAAAGGAAAACTTGCGCTAAGTGGCAAACAGGACCATCTGCTCTGTTGAGAAGTAGGGACTGGATCCTGAAGTTAAGGTGGGGCTGTTTCAAGGTGCATCGGGGAGGAATGGCAAGATGCAATCTCTGGGTGAAGTGGGTCACCCTGACATTGGTGTGGAGGAGAGATTTCAGAGAGAGAATGAAGATAGGGGTTGCCTAGACAGGAGGCATGGGGCCAGAACCACGGAAATGGCGGGAAAGACAGGAGGCAGGTGACGGAGTTGGGACAAACTTAAGAATCTGAACCACCAGAACCACACAGCTGAGGAGTGGGGAGAGAAAGATGCCTTCTGTACTGGCTGCTGGCCAAGGCATTTAGGGCAGAAACCCTGCCCATTGCACACAGAGGGACTGGGAGAATGGATGTTCATAGGATTACGAAGCAGCTCCTCATAATTTTTTTTATTTCTCTCCTTATTTGAATTTTTGAGAGTGAAAAACGAAGCCAATGAATAACCTGGCAAATCTTTTGAAGAGTTTTAGCAAATCAGTATATAATTTAAGTGTTATTTTTAAATAAATAAAATACACAGTATTTAATATAAATATATATTAAATATATTAAAATATATATTAATTATATTTTAATTAAATAAAATTAAATTATTTTTAATTAAATTAAATAATTATTTAATTAAATAAAAATAAATTAAAATATATATTAAATATAAAACACACAGTATTTAAATATATCGTCTTTGAATTATGTCATTTGTTTACTTATTTTAATGAAGACGTATCTTTTTATATTTAAAAATTGGAAAGCAAAGTTAATAAGCTGACCCAGATGGGCGTACAAAGAGCCTTCTGGACCATCTGCCATTTTGACCAGCTGCAGCCACGGGGCCAGGCTCCTTTGTCAGCCTGCGAGCTCCCGTCTCCGGCTGCCACCTGGTGGCCGCAAAGCAATTATTTTAAGGAAACAAAATCCTAAAGTTGTTAGAAAGTTTGTGACCCTAGCTCCCTGGAATTCAGTGGCATCATGAGCTCTGCAGCTATCTTTCATTTTAACACTAATGAGTGCCTGCAGTTAGTGTGAGGATGGAGAAATATGCAAAGTAGAAAATAAAAGTCCCCTCTCAGCCCATAATGACTCTCTAAAGGCAGCCCCACAGCCATTTGAGGGATGCCCTTACATTTCCTGGGCCTTTATGATTCTGCAGACACTTTAATGAGCCACCCTGAGAACAGGGTGGCTCTCTCTTTGCCAGAGAAGGTCTCAGTGGGACATAGCCCTGCTCCTGGGTACTCCTCAGCAGCCTGGAGTCTCCAGTGGGCACTCAGGATGGAGGGGAGGGGGAGCCGCTGCAGACTCACGGGACGGGGGTCCCTAGGCAGTGTGCACCTGACGAGGTGTGGTGCCTCTGTCCTGGGTCCCGCAGGTCATGCTGTTGGAGAACATCATCCTGTTGCTGTTGGCCACCGACTTTCTCCAGGGGGCATCGTGGACCAGCCTGCAGACCATAGCTGGGGTCCTGTCTGGATTTCTGATTGGTAAGTCCCAATGTCACCTTCTTCTCTGCATCCCCTCCCCAACGTATTTTTTTTTTTTACAATGGGCTCAAAGGGTAGGAAACTGAGTTCAGATGTGGTTAACTGGAGACCAAGGAACCAGGCTCACTGCGATGTGGGGGGCAGAGCCATGCCCATCAGAGCATGAGATACTGAGCTCAGCCTCATCTGCCTTGCTTGACTGTGCTCGGAACCTCAAGCAAAGCTGGGGCTATCCCTCTCTACCCCAAAGCCCCCGTCCTCCCCGGAGCTTCCTGCAGGGTTGAGGACGTGACTTCTCTCTCCCCTCCCACCTAGGGGAGCTCCTCACATCTTCCTGACATGGCACCCCCTGCAGCCCATAGACAAGCACCCCGGGAAGTGGGTGCCCTAGCAGAGGAGGAGAGGAAGGTGAGGCACAGAGGAGGTTGAGTCCCCGAAAGATCCAATGGTTTGTAACAGATAGAGCTGAGATTCAAGCCCAGCTCCAGTGCAGGCCTGAGCACAGGCCTGGCACTGTCATCAGCCGTGTTTTATGAATGCATGGCCCCAAGGTCTGTGTCACACCCACGGTGATGACCTCGCTTCCCAGATTGGCATGAGTTCCGCAGGGATTCCGCCCCCCACTTGAAAGGTGCGAACACCAGCCTCCTCTCCCAGCACAGCAGGCTTCCACCACTGTCACTCTCAGGCCTGCGGTGGGACCGTCAAAGCCAGCACCTGCACCTCTCACGTGGGGCCTCGTGCTTCTGCAACATGGGCCAGGACAGAGATTCCCCAGTCCTCTGCAACAACTCCTGCCCTCCCTCCAGAGCCTGCTCTCTGTCACCCACACCCTGAAGAGGTGCCTGGAAGTGGCCTCGGGTTCTTTTCTTGCTCACAGCAGCCGGGGGTTGGATGTGGCCTGTGTGAGTGGCCTGGACCTGGGAAAGGAATGACCTGGACACAAACACTTAGTGAGATGCAGGGGCTGTTCACGGGTCAGAGAAATGTCACACACTGTGGCTTCGTAACAAGCATTTGAGAGCCACAGGCCACCCTGGGTTTCAGCTCTGTTCTTCTTCATGAGACGTCACGGGTCCTCACTTCTTCCAGCTTCAGGTAGCTGAGACAACCCCTTCTTTTTCAAATCAAACTTTTTAGATAATTGTAGTTTTAAGAAATAATACAGAGCTCCCCGTACCCATTACCAGGTTTTCCCCCAGTGGTAATATCTCGCAAAACGGTGGCACAACATCACAGCCAGGATCTCAAAGTAGTACGTCGAGGTGCAGGGAGAACCCTTCCATCACCACGAGGACCCTTCATGTGGCCCCCTTCCTCTCGCCCCTGCCACCTCCTTCCCTCCTGGCAACCATTATTCTGTTCTCTGTTTCTATTATTCTATCACTTGGAGAATGCGTTGTGAAAGTACCACACAGTGTGTGCACCCTGGGGATCGGTCTTGTTCACTTGGCAGAGCTCTCCGGAGAGCCTCCCGGGTTGCTCCTTGCTTTTGATGGCTGAGTCGCATCCCATGGTTTGGACGGACCACAGCTTGTTTCATCGTCGACCCATGGACGGGCATCTGGTTCATCCTTTTTAAAATAATCATTTGAATCGCAGAGCATTGATTTCTAAGCTGTGTGTGTGGATAAATGGCCTATGGGAAACTGAGGACATCGCGCTGCCCGGGTGAGAAGCACCACTCTCACCACATTGCATCGTGGTCTGGGTGTTCCTGGCATATTTCAAGCAATCCTTCCTTCAGGGAGGGGCCATGTGATACTTGGAATGAAGGGGCCTTGCCGGCCGGGAGGTCTAACAACTCATCTGGATTTTCCAGTTCACGGGAGGTATAGCTGAGTCCTGGGGGCAGTGTGGTGGGAGGGAAAATGTCCCCTCATCTACTTTCTGGATTTTAACACTGACTCAGAAAAGATGTCCTACACCACTCCGAAAACCTGTCACACTCCTGAGAGTGGATGCCTGGTTTCCTTCCAGTTCCACTCCAGTGAGAAGACATTTTCACAGCCAGTATGCTGGCCCACGGCACAGCTGGAGGGCAGTGAGTAGGGAGTCCATAGCCACGGGCAGTGAGTAGGGAGCCCATAGCCACGGGCAGCACTCAGCACCCAGGTGGCCACCGGCTCAGAGCCTTGTCTGCCGCTCCTCCTCCGGCCTCTGATGGAGCTGCCAAACCCCTGACTCCCAGCCGACCCTTGGGAATCCTAGGCAGGAAGATTGAACCCAAATTGTAGTCCAAGGAGCACAAGCTTGCATCCAGGCTCCTCCCCTTTTCCTTCCATCCTGGGACCAATATTCACTGAGTACCAACTGCGTGCCAGCCTGGGGATGCCACCAAGAACCCTCAAACCACATGGCCTCTGGAAAGATTGTGTTCACTGAATAAGTGTGCCCAGGACTTCTGTGATCAGGGGCCTTTGTTCATCTTTCCTGGCCTTGGGTGGCTGCTTGTAAAAGAAGGGTGACAATATGTCCCTCACCAGGCAATTGTGAGAATTCAAAACAGTGCAGAAACTGGCTGAGCAGGACCTACTGCAGAGGTGGCACTGAACATGGAGAAAGTCCACCTCCCTTTCCAAGGTTGGAGCCTGGCCACTAACCAGCTGCTTGATCTGGGTCTCCCAGTCCCCCAAGACACAAGAGAGGATTTGGGGCTGGGGATGTCCTTCAGGCAGTCTTTCTAGCTCTGTCATGCTGCAATCTCCTGGCCTTCTCAGGCATTACTTCAGGTTTTGTGCTGTTTATAATGAGCACCCTGAAACCAGGCACTTTATCCAGTACAACAGGAAACTGGAAATAACGTGGGAGGCTTACTGGAATGCTCTGTTAAAGAAATTATTGCAGCAGTCAACACTTCTGATCAAAATAAATTAAACTGACAACAATGTGATTAAGATGTTTATGCACAAAGGAAGTGTTGTTGTTGTTCATGGAAATTCCTTGATATGGGGTTTTTGATGAATCTGATTAACCTCTGTTTAGGTCTTACTTGTTTTTGAGGTTATTTCTTAATGCCCTCCCTTCCCCCAGCTTTGTAACCCATCAACCACTGTATTGACAGTCGAATTTGCAGTGTATGGTCCAGTTACTTGAAAGTAGAATGCTTATTTCTGCCAAACATTTTGTACCTGTGTGTACACACGCACACACACATGCATGAATGCACACTCACACACACACACGTAGATGACTGAACTGGAGCTGCCCTCAAGACAAAAGCATAGAATCAATCGGATTTAAGCCTTGTTATTCATGTTTAACTTTAGAAACATTTACAGCTTACAGAAGCTGGAACCTACTTAAATTCCCCCGAAATATCCAGTTCTGAGGCTCCAACAAGAGTCCTATTTTGGATCCCAAATTATCTTCCTCTACACAAAAGGGCCAGAACCTGAAACTGCACACCAGAGGGAGGATGCAGACTTCAAAGAACATAACCTTGTGGTCTTTTTGTTCTTTTTCAGGCAGTGTCTCACTGGTAATTTATTACAGCCTGCTGCATCCAAAATCCACAGACATCTGGCAGGGCTGCCTAAGGAAGTCCTGTGGCATTGCAGGAGGTGATAAAACAGAGAGAAGAGATTCTCCCCGGGCCACAGATCTAGCTGGGAAGAGAACCGAGAGCTCAGGCTCATGCCAAGGGGCAAGTTATGAACCAACCATTTTAGGGAAGCCCCCTACCCCTGAGCAGGTCCCCCCAGAGGCTGGGCTGGGGACCCAGGTTGCTGTGGAGGACTCTTTCCTCAGTCATCACCACTGGCTGTGGGTGAAACTTGCCCTAAAAACAGGAAATGTGTCTAAGATCAATGCCGCCTTTGGAGATAACAGTCCTGCCTATTGTCCACCTGCATGGGGGTTGAGTCAACAGGACTACCTGCAGAGAAAGGCCTTGTCTGCCCAGCAAGAGCTCCCATCCTCATCCCGTGACCCCTCAACCTTAGAGAACAGCTCTGCGTTTGAAGGTGTCCCTAAAGCAGAGGCCGACCCATTGGAAACCTCAAGTTACGTATCTTTTGCCAGCGATCAGCAGGATGAAGCACCTACCCAGAACCCAGCAGCCACGCAGGGGGAGGGCACCCCAAAGGAAGGAGCTGACGCTGTTTCTGGGACACAGGGGAAGGGGACAGGTGGGCAGCAGAGAGGAGGGGAAGGACAGCAGAGTTCCACGTTGTACTTCAGCGCCACTGCAGAAGTGGCCACATCCTCACAACAAGAAGGCAGCCCAGCTACTCTGCAAACGGCCCACTCTGGAAGGAGGCTGGGAAAGAGCAGCCCTGCCCAGCCTGCATCGCCCCACCCAGTGGGCTTGGCGCCCTTCCCCGACACCATGGCCGACATTAGCCCCATCCTAGGCACAGGCCCATGTAGAGGCTTCTGCCCCAGTGCAGGCTTCCCTGGAAGAACCCTCAGTATCTCAGAGCTAGAGGAGCCGCTGGAGCCCAAAAGGGAGCTAAGTCACCATGCAGCTGTTGGTGTGTGGGTGTCATTGCCACAGCTGAGGACTGCCCATGAGCCCTGCCTCACGTCCACCCCTAAGTCTGAGTCTATCCAAACGGACTGCAGCTGCAGGGAACAGATGAAGCAAGAGCCGAGTTTTTTCATCTGACCACAGTCATGGTGGGATAAGACAACAGGCTGACAAACCAAGCTGGCCATTTGGTACCGTGAGAAAGGAAATCCCACTTCTGACACCTGTGTCCTTGGGCACATCACTGTCACCTCTGAATCTCCATCTGCATCCCTGAAAAATGAAGAAACAGGGCTGGATGATTTTGCAGGTCCAATGCAAACATCACAGACCCCACCCATGCATAGGAGAGACTCTAACATACTTTAGAGGAGGAGAAAGAGATTCCAGTCAAAATTGTCTGCTACCTTTTATGAGCTGTAGGTTCCCTTATTTTATCTTTTTGCTGTGGCTTCTAGGAAACACAAAGGTAAAACCCAGATTCCTATTTTATTTGAGGTTCTTGTTACAATTAGCTTTGCCTCACATTTAGCGGTTATGAATCTCATTTTAATATATTCTAACTGTATTATGTTATGAAATCTCTTGGTAAGATAATTTGCATGCTTTCTGGGAGTAGGTAAGGCCTGTGTGCTTGTAATAACTAACATAACTGAAAGTGCAAATGTCATTCTAAGATTCCCATATCTTTTGGTTAGGGGACAATATTAGAGCTTTTAAAAAGGAAGGGTAGACTCACTTAGCTCAGCCTCACCCATGCTAAGGGCACATGCACACATTTTCTGCAATTCACTCTCAGACCATCAGCATCCTCCTGGCCAGCTGCATAAATGTATTTTTCTGTGAAATGTGCTGCTCCCCTTTGTGCAGGCTGGCCAGCCAAGAGTTCCCTTCCAGCTCCCACTGCTGCTTTCCACCCCATCTCCTTTATGTCCAAGCTTTGTTCCCACTTCCATTCAATGTGAGACACTATCCATGATTTAAGCCCATCCAAAAAGAAGGGAGGAAACGTCCATTCCTCTCGCACTCTCCTTCTCTCTGACTCCTCCACTCTAAAGTGTTCTTTGTGGCTAGGTATTTCCATAATTTCTTTAAGCCTTCCTTTGTAGCTGATTAAGGAAGTCTAGTCATAAACTATCAAAGAGAAAGGCACACAGAGAGCTGGATGCTATTTAGGGATGGGTATTTTTGTTTTGTTTTGTTTCATTTCATTTGTTTATTTGTTGAGACAGGGCCTCTCTGTCACCCAGGCTGGAGTGCAGTGGCATGATCATGGCTCACTGCAGCCTCAACCTCCAGGGCTTAAGCAATCCTCTCACCTCAGCCTCTCGAGTAGCTGGGACTACTGGCAGGTGGGCACCATGCCTGGCTACTTTTTTGTATTTTTTGTAGAGACAGGTTCTTGCCAGGTGGCTCAGGCTGGTCTCCAACTCCTGAGCTCAAGCGATCTGCCCATCTCGGCCTCCCAAAGTGCTGGGATTACAGGCGTGAGCCACCGTGCCCAGCCAGAATGGGTAGTTTTTATTCTCTCCAAACACTTTTGGATTAGGGTACAATATTAGAGCTCTAAAAAGGAATAGTAGAATAACTTAGCTCAGCCTGACACATACTAAGGGCACCTGCAGACACTTTCTGCAATAAGCTCTCAGACCATCAGCATCCTCCTGGCCAGCCACATAAGCCAATCGGGGATGCAGACAAGTGGCTACAAACTTTCCATACAACAGGTGAAGATAACGAGACTTTGGGTCGGATGCAGGGGCTCACACCGGTAATCCCAGCACTTTGAGAGGCTGAGGCGGGAAGATCACTTGAGGCCAGAAGTTCGAGACCAGCCTGGGCAATGTAGTGAGACCCCATCACTACTAAAAATACATAAATTATCCTGGTGTGGTGGCACACACCTGTAGTCCCAGCTGCTCGAGAGGCTGAGGCACGAGAATCAGTTGAACTGGGAGGCAGAGGTTGCAGTGAGCTGAGATCGTACCATGGCACTCCAGCCTGGGCGACAGAGCAAGACTCTATCTAAAAAAAAAGCTTGTTAATAGAACAAAATCATTCATAGTTCCATTCACTGTGCTATCCCAGCATCTCAGTCCTTCCTCCATGCAGTCTCTCGCCCAGCCAGGTGAGAGCATGAGCACTTCCCTGAGTCCTCACCAGCCCTCCCCATTTGTCCTCCAAGACTCCACTCAAACATCTCCTCTTGGTGCCTTCCTGGGCCCTCCCCAGCTCCAGCTCTCCCAGACCTACCCTCTGTCCCCAGGTTGTATTCCACTGCCCTTTGCCCTCTGGTGACCTCTTCCTAAACTTGAAGCCCTGCCTCCCTGAAGGCTAATTAAGGGTTGCAGTCCTCCTTCTGGGCTAACTCCAAGGTCCAGCAGAGTGTCCAGCAAAAGTAGGCGTTAGAGCATTCAACAGCATGAATTCACTAACGAGCGGGGCTGTGGGCATGAATTTCAGCTTGAGTGCATATCCTGGATCAACGGCATTTGTGTTATGGGGTAAAAGTAAGGGTGGGATATGGGGAATTTGCTCATTCTTTTCAAACTTTCTAGCCCTTGAATAGCCTGGAAAGCTAGAAATACTCTTCATTCATTCATTCATTTAAGGAATATTAGTTGAGTATGACAGGCACTGAGTATGCAGAAATCAAGGCATGTACTTGCTGTTCGAGGCCCTGTGGACCAACATCGGCTTCTCAGATGGCTTCCTCACTTCATGCCTCCAGAAAGCATATTGCCCGGTGATGAAAAGGATCAGAAAATATACACTATATTTATTAGAGAAGACTAATAAATGGACACTTAATTCAAAAATGCCTGCTGAGCACCTATCAAATGCTAGTCATTAGGATCACAGAGCTACACAGAAGAAATGTGACAGGTGCTCACGGCGTCAGTGGGAGAAGCAGGTGAGAGCTTTATGGAGTCCCCTCTGAGACGGCTGCAGGAACCCACAGAAGGTCAGCTTAACAAGGACATGATTGTCATCTTCAGGGACCTGACACTGTTCTGTAGCGAGAGATTCTATTTTCTTCCTGCAGTTTCTTATGAGCCATGAAGAAACTCCTTAGGGCTCCAGACAGGTTCTTTAAGACAGAGTTACCCAAAGGTGGACAAGGCTGTCCCTGCAGACAAGTGCATAAAGCCAGAAGAGCCCCTTCGTGAAATGACTAAGAAGGAACCTCGAGGACTAGAAGATGCAGCTGAAAGTGACTTTCCAGGTCCTGACCTGGAGCTTCAGTGGCTGCGCATGGGCAGCAAGGAGCCACAGCAGCTGGAGACTTCAAGTCTGTTCCAGGACATTTTCCATTTTTTTTTTGTTTTTTGTTTTTGTTTGTTTGTTTGTTTTTTGGTAGAGATGGCGTTTCATCATTTTGGCCAGGCTGGTCTCGAACTCCTGACCTCAGGTGATCCACCCACCTCAGCCTCCCAATGTGCTGGGATTGCAGTCATGAGCCACTGTGCCCAGCCCACTTTCACTATTGAGAAGAAAGGAAGAACCAGAGAATGAAAACCAGTGCATCGGGAGACCTGAAGACGAGCATGTCGGCTCCCTGCTCTCGTGGAGCCTCTATGGGTCAGGTTTTGCAATTATCCACAATAACCAGCCTTGAGTATCCATGACGCTTCACCCCAGGAGAACTCATGCCTCTGCCTGTGGAAGGACACAGAGGACCTCAGTGGGGATGGAAGAAGGGCCTTCTCCTTGTCACCAGCTCCCAGGACTGAATACTGACTGCTGTCTTGGGGAGAAGGGACTGGATGGTGCTTTGGACCTCACTAGCCCCCATCTGGATCTTTATGGCTGGGCCCATAGAGCACGACCATGACATCTGGAGACAGCTGTGCTAATGCCCTTCAGACAAAGACCACCAGGAACCCCCTGTAACTGAACCAGTTGGGTTTATGACTCTTCTCGGCAAAGAAGCACGCACACCGTGGGGGACTGCGGGGCCGCTCAGTGAAAGGAGATTGGAAAGGAGTTACAGGATTTGGGCTTTGCTGGGTGAATCTGGGTGAGTCTAGGGAAGCCGGGTCTACTCAGGTTTGGGGGCAATGCTGTGACCCGGTATTGCAGTCAGTTGCATCTGTAGGGAGGGAGTCGAGCAAGCATAAAGCTGCCATGGGTAAAGAAGCAGTCATCACTCACTTAGTGGGAAAGGGGGAGCCTGGTGTTTTGTGGTTGCATGGTGACCTTTGGTCTTGCTGTGTCACGGTCTCCAGTGGCCACGTCAGAGGCTTCTCACAGAGGTGTCCTGTGAGAAGCTTTGTGGCCAACAGGAGAACACCAGGGCCGGCCTTAAGCATCGGACCAGGTCCCAGAGTTCCGGGACTGCTCTTTTCTTCATCATATTAGTGGTAGTTTTATAGATGTTTGGTAGCCTAAATATTATCTATTGGATCACAACCAAAACAGTAGCTTTTCCTGAGTCCCAGCGGCGGGTCACTCATCTTCCAGCTATGTCTGGACCCGAGTTTGCATTTCAGCCCATCCCGTCCTTAGTGCAGAGCGGACCTCACGTAGACCGGCTGCATTTGTCCACAGCGTACACTGATGTCCGGAGACAGCGGAAACAGCCATGTCTATCACAGAAGCCCAAGGTCACACAACCGTGACCCACCTGCCCGGGGGCGAGGCTGAGCCAGTGCAGATAGCCGGATGCTCCTCACAGGTCCGCAGGAAGGACAGGGGCCGGCGCTGCCCAGGCTGTGCCACGTCCAGTGCGTGAGAAGCTCCCGCTTGAGTCACCACGTCTGTCCCGACAGAGGTACGACCTCCTCCTTTCCCTGACACAGGGAGTATGGGAGGCAAAGCCATACTCGTGGGAGAACTCTCCAAGTCCACAGTGAGCAGGACGCAGATTCTCCCCGTATTTCCACCAGATTCACCCTCCATTTCCACCAGACTCGCCCTTCTTTCCCAACCAACCACCCTCCATCCCCACCCTTCACACCCACTCACCCCCATTCCCACCCACTTACCCCCCATCCTCACCCTCTCACCCTCCATCCCCCCGCACTCACTCTTGTCCCATCCACTCACCCCGCATCCCCCACCCCCACTAGGTCCTTTCCAGCCTCCCCCGCCATAAAACTGTGCGCCCTGAAAGATCGCTCCTCGCCTCAGGGACTCCTCCCTCCACTCGTGCGCCGTGGCTGCCCTGACTTGGTGCCGCGGAGATCCATCCTCAAGCAAACACCAGGGAACTTGTGGGCCGTTCTCCTGGGCTGCAGTCTTCTCCTGTCTCTGTCTCCTCCTCTGATGCCTCTTCCTCAGGAGGTGGCCGTCACCCACAGCTTCACAATGGCATTTCCCCTCAGAGCACTGATCCTCCGTCTGCTGCGGCAGCTACCAGGTCGCCTCTCTTCATTTTTTAAGTCCACGTCACCCCCCTCTTGTCCCGTGCAGGTACCCCTCTTATGCCCTACACCACAGACTGCACTGCACCGCTGTCTCCACCAAAAGCAGGGAACCTCTGCTATCCAGGACCTGTGGAAAATTAGGCTCGATTTCAATGAATGTTTCCATACCGATTATAAGCTCCTTAGGGCAGGAAATTTTGTTCAACTCTCTGTCCCCTTGAGACCCTGCTTGATAAATGGCTCATGGCAAGCACTCTTACCGTGGAATTCGATTTCCAGGCTTTTCTGAATGACTCAGGATTTTACCTCCAGAAGCAAAGCTTCTGAACACCCATTTTGTAGGCCGGTCTTTGTGGAAACATTTTCACTCCCTCCCCTGTCCTCTGTAGCGGAGAACTCTGACATCTCAGAACATGGCCGCTTCTCTCTTTCCTGCTCAGAGGAGCTGTTTACAAAGTGTGGGGTAGAGTTAGGAAACCCAGGAGGAATGGCAGAGCGCTCCGCCTGCATCCCTGAGGGCGGGCGTGGGGCTGCTGTCGACCCCCAGAGAGAGTGCTCGCCGCCCTTGGTCCCCCGGGTCTGGGCGGTGCTGTTGGTAAGGACTGCAGCCAACCCCCAGGGACCTGGCAGGAGAAGATACCTGCCCTGCCCTTCTGCTAGGGCCACCAGCATCGGCCAGACCTAACCAAAGACGTGGAGTCTCCAGGCAGTCTATAAAAACCAGCTCCCATGGCCCGGGGCAGGGCAAAGAGTCAGTCTGGAGGGGAGAACTGAAGACAACTGGCACTGCTACCGTGCTGAGATGCCTCGGGGACTTGTCTTACTCGCCGCCAAGCACTTGGCCCCTGCACCAAATGGCCCCCAAACTGTGGCCTTTTAAAATTTGTGTGTCCACTTCTCACAGTTTCCTCTCTCTTCATGCATATGAAAATAAAACTATTTTATGTATCTAGGACTTGGATTCTGGACTGCTGGTGATTGTCTTTCTGTGCCCTTTGCAGGCGCACGCAACATAACTCCTTTAGACACTTCTATTAAGAAGCAGAAAAGAAGGAACGGAAATTTTACATCTTCTGTCTCCCTATGACAACAGAAGAAAGCCTAGAAAAAAAATATAATTTTGAGACCCTTTTGCAGTTATCCTATAGGAGCAGCGCGACTGAAGAAGAACCAGCTACACCTCCTAATTGAATTATGTTCACTTTTTAAAGATGGATCTATTAACAGCATAAACAGCAGATTGAACAGCATAAAAGCTCATGGGCGTAAAACAGCGAGCACGCATTTTCCACTGGGGTCTGCATGTCATCTAATGGGGCTGTGGCTCCAGTCACCTCTGCGCACATCCCAGGCTTCGGGGCAGTGGCCAGACTGGAGGCAGAGGTTGGAAGTTCCCCGAGGGGCGAGTGGAAACTCTGCCATCCTGCCTCATGCATGGCCTCGACAAGCCCAGCTCCCATGGGGCAGGAAGCACACTCCTTCCATGGCGGTGGGTGAGATGGGAGAATGTTCTGTCACACAAGGTCAGTAGCTCCATGTCTGCCCTTTTCCTCCATCTTATGCCCCTGGAACTCATAGCAATAGAAATTACAGCCGCAGAAATGGCTCACAACACAGTCACCGAAGGCCCAGATCCAGAAGTGGATTCTATACATACCCTGAAGGTCAGGATTTATAAATCCACAAATAGATTCAATATGTATGTCCTGAAGGGTCTGTTTGTAGAAATCTATTTGACTTACATTTTTAAATTGATAGAGATGTTCTCCTGCCACTCTACAGAGTTGTCAAGTTCATCAGCTGGTGTTTTTGGCCATTGCCCTATTCTTGCCTTCGTTTTGATTCTGTATTCCTTCCTTTCTTTTAACCTCACCCAGTCCCCCAATTCCTAAAAGTCGGCCATTTTCACAGTACTTGGAAAGGCAACCAGAGCAATCTGAGAGCTTCATAAAAGGAGAAGATCCAGAAGGCAAGGCCCCTTGAGTGAGGCAGGATGTGGGGCCTGGACAGGAAGCTGGAGCTCCACAAATCAGCCCCCACATTCCTTCTTTCCTGCGCCCTTTCCTTTTCAGCATAGAGAAGAGGTTTTGGAAGAACAGCCAAGGGCCTATTAGGTAGGGCTTGCAGAAGAAAAACCCTCAGCAGTAGCCTCTGGGGAGGGCCTGATACCCGTGAAATGTCTCATTCTCTTCATGCCTCCAAATGGCCAGAGGATGGGTTAACCCATGAAATTGTTGGGCAGAACAATGACTTGTCTGGTTTTCCATATGACATTCTGCCATACCAAGCAGGGATTTTCACATTCCTTCTGAGCCCTTTCCTGAGTCAGCTCTCAAGCTAATGCCGCTGACACTAAGTAGGATTTTCGAAGCACCAAGAAAGAATTTTACTTGAAAACTCAAGTCCGCTTGCTCTCTTTAACACGGACTGTTATAACAGCAAAAACCACAATTACTTTCACACCAACATAATACTCGGCTGTCCTCCTAACTTTGATTCTATTTTCCATAGGATGTGGGATGGCCAACTGTCCTGCCTTCCCCAGGATGGAGGGATTTCCTGGCTTATGAGATTTTAGTGCCAAAACTGGATGGTCCCAGGCCAGTTGGGATGGTTGGTCACCCTAATACCAGTTAGCCATATTCAGCCTTTCTACTTTCGTATTAGACATCATGTCAGAAAAGAAAGACAGTATTTCCTGGTTAAAAAAATCTGAAAGGCAATACAAGCTTACCTAAGTTAGCTCCTACACCACCAAACCCCAACCCCCCAACTGCCATCAGTCCTGCAAAATATCAATTTGACTAACATCCCGCTTGCTAATCATGACTACCAAAGTCTATATAATAGTTAACTTCAAGCTATAGCAATGCCAGGAGTGATCCTACTCTAAAGTCAAAGCTACCATCCAGATTTTAAGTTAACATCTCTCAGGGAGGAAATCTTCCATGGAAAAATACCATGGAAAAATCCACTACTTTGACCACACAGATACATTCATTATGGCACAACCGTAATTACAACTTTGCCTGTCAGGGTTTCCATTATAAATGGGATCTGAATCTTGGTGGAACGCAATTCTTTCCAGCTGGAGTGAACCATGGACAGGTTTTCAGCCCGTTGGGGATTTTTCTGATTTGTCTACAAATTGGCAAGGCTGGGGTTGGGGAAGGGAAAGAGGGGGAAGATGAGATTGGGAACAGAATAAACCATATGGAATTTTGTTCTTAGTGTGCCCTTTAAACTGAAATAAGGGAACACAAACAAACAAAAAGACAAACAACCAAGACCAATTAAGGATATCTTTCAGACCCTAAAGTCTTAGATTCAAAGGGATGCTTTGTCTTTAAGTTACTTTAAAAGATAGAGCATTTAGAGAAAAGAAGGGAGATTTGTTCTTTCTTCGTCTTTGTTGTTGTTGTTTCTTTTTTTTCTTATACCTGAAGTTTGGCCAAGTACTGAAGACATGTACTTTTTTGGCTCACTGTGCCTTTGAGGGCAAAGCAAAGAACTGTGGAAAGCGACGTGGGATGTGAGACCTGGGTTCTCTTCCAGGTTCTTTTTCCAGCTAATCCTGTGACCAAAGATAAATGACCTAATCTTTCTGAGACTCAGTTTCCTTTTCTGTAAAACAGGGATATGATCATTCGTCTGGCTAGGTCATGGAATTCCCATGCATATCTACAAAGGCAGTGGATGTGAGCTGTCTCACCCATGTGGTAGGAGCCTCCTTTTGGCTTTTCTGGTTTCTCAAGCTGAGTCCCCCAGGTCCCTCCCGAGAGGATGGAGTCATCGTCTGCAGTCAGGGGTCTGTTGTTGACTGGGACCAGGGAAGAAGGGCGGCACCTGTACCCCGTCCTCCCTCCCCGATACTGCCTCACCTGGTTCATCCCAAAGGCAAATGCACACTGCACCCTGAGGAGGGTCAAGCTTGCTTTTGTTGATAGTTTTACAGTAATTATGCCAAAGCCATAAAATCATCTAAGGAGATCTTGCCTTCATCTGGTGACCTTGGAGGCTTCCCAAGGGCAACAACGTCATCCATGGAATGTGAGATCCCTGTCTTCCCCTCTTACCCCTAGAACTTCTAGGAACAGTGAAGAAAAAGGGATCAATCTTAGTTGTTAGTTTTGTTGTTGTTGTTGTCATTTGTTCTTTTTGTTTGTTTTGTAGATGGAGTCTTGCTCTGTCACCCAGGGTGGAGTGCAGTGACATAATCTCGGCTCACTGCAACCTCTGCCTCCCGGGTTCGTGATTCTCATGCCTCAGCCTCCCGAGTAGCTGGGACTACAGGCATGTGCCACCACGCCCAGTTAATTTTTGTATTTTTAGTAGATACAGGGTTTCACCACGTTGGCCAGGCTGGCCTTGAACTCCTGACCTCAAGTGGATCTGCCTGCCTCAGCCTTCCAAAGTGCTGGGATTACAGGCGTGAGCCACCGTGAGTGGCCTGTTTGTTTGTTTTAAGTAACAGCCCTTGCAGAATGAATGATAAAGTTCCAGTTAGATCATCAGACCCAACGTTCCATTCTCAAATGTCTTAAGAGTTTTGAGGTCAATACACATATATTTTTTGCTCCAGCAGTAGGGAGTCATGTGACAAATCTGAATAATGGAGTTAGGTGGACAAAAGCCTAAGGTGAATTTCGTAAGGTTATCAAAAACGTTCAGGATTTGTAGTCATTTATTTTCAGTGACTGTCAGCGAAAAGCTTAGTCTGGCTTAGTTTTGACTTCGTCTTGAAATAAATGTTCCACGGCCACCTTCTCTCACTTAATTCATGGTAACATTGAGCCGTAATTCTACATTGCAAAAAGCCGTTCTTTGTGGACATCATCATCACACCGACATCCTGTTGACTCTCATAATAAAGCCGTTCTGCGGTGAGCTAGCGAAATAGGCGTGTGACGGAGTTCAGCGTATTTCACGTTCAGGCTTGGCTGCAGGAGCGGCTGGGGCTGCAAGCTCACTAATTCTCAGCCCTGTGGAATGATGGGACTGACCCTGAACTTAGAGCCGCCCCCAGGCTGGAACCTGGGCTCCCCGGCGCGGCCACCAGGTGGCACTGGCGCCCTCCCTCGCGGACCCAGGCTGGTGCTCTCGTCCTTTCAAGCACAAGCTTGGAGGCCTGATTTTCAATCAGTTGCTTTCAAACGCACAAACGCCGGTAAGGACCCCACCAAGGGGCTTGTGAAAAGCTCAGCAGTGCAGGACATTTTGCATTTTCCCAGCAAGTTGCCGGCCTGCCCTGGTCAGAGCGCTGTGTGTCGGGGTTTATGAAGATAATTAGGTGTTCAGATGCAGTTACCAACTTTCAGTAAGAAGGAATACGACAGCTTTTCATTTGCAACAGCAGGTGCCCTTAAAGGTGAAGTGAGCATTGACGAAGCGTCCAGGGCTCTCTGCTTGTTCATCCACGGGCGGGTGGTTACTGTGGGGACGGACACGTCAGCCTCCAGGTGCTGTGGTCATTAAGGAAAATAAGGTCACCTTCTGTGTCTCTTCAGGGACAGTGAGTTCTGGAACGGGTCACCAGGGCTGCCCATGTTCAGCTCTAAATTCTATAGATCTAGAAAGTGCTTTTCATTTCTGTGAGGTGCCCCTCTCAGACACTGGGACGTTACTCAGTGCTAAAAAGAAATGAGCCTTCAAGCCATGAAAAGACAAGGAGGAAATTTAAACGCATGTTACTAAGTGAAAGAAGCCAATCTGAAAAGGCTGCATATTCCAACTTATGACATTCTAGAAAAGGCAGAGCTATGGAGACAGGAAAAAGAGCAGTGGCTGCCAGGGGTTCGGGATGAGGGAGGGTGAATAGTTGGAGCACAGAGGATTCTTAGGACAGTGAAAGTCCCCTGTCTGGCAATGTAGCCAGGGATGGATGGCATGGTACATGTGTCAGACCCATAGAACGTGCAACCCCAGAGTGAGCTGTAATGGAAACGATAGACTCCGGGTGATGGTGATGGGTCTGTGCAGGTTCACGGACTGTAACAAATGCACCACTCTGGGCCGGGCCCGGTGGCTCACGCCTGTAATCCCAACACTTTGGGAGGCCGAGTTGGGCAGATCACCTGAGGACAGGAGTCCGAGACCAGCTTGGCTAACATGGCAAAACCCCGTCGCTACTAAAAATAAAAAATAAAAAATTAAAAAATTAAAAAAAATTAGCCGGTCGTGATAGCAGGCGCCTGTAATCCCAGCTACTCTGGAGACTGAGGCAGGAGAATCGCTTGAACCCGAGAGGTGGAGGTTGCAGTGAGCTGAGATCACCCACTGCACTCCAGCCTGGGCCTCAGAGCAAGAGTCCATCTCAAAAAAACAACAAAACACAAAAGACAAATGCACCACTCTGGCGATAACAGGGGAGGCTCGGGAGAGATGGGAGATCTCTGTACCTTCCTCTCTATTTTGTCTAAACCTATAGCTTCTTTAAAAAATTAAAATCTATTTTTAAAATTGTTAATTATGCTGTCTCAGCCACAGACCAAAGCCTGTTCTTATCCAGTGAAACTACATGCATCAAGGCCTGTACCTAGTGCTAGAAATACGAGGTCCAGCTCTTGAGCCCAGTGGAAGAAAGTTGCACAATAGCCCAGTATCCCCTTCCCACGGGCTGCTGCGAGTATCCGCGAGGCCCACCCGTGAACACACCAGCACAGGTGTAGCCCGTGACGGGTGCTCTGCACGTGTTTGCTCCAATCCTGTGGGTTTGTCTGAAGAGGACCCTGGCTGAGTAGGTTGAAATGAGAAGGGCTCCCAGGTTTCCCGGCCACCCTCCTTGGCGGGGCATCTCTCTCCGATCTAGTCTTGTGATGTATAGCAGCATGAAGGTGCAATCAACCTGCTCTGTCCCTGACCAGGTGTGTGACTTCAGCAACTTACTTAACTTTCCTGGGTGAAGTTTCCCTCTCTCTAAGATGAAGGTGATAACAATGGCCTGTGCCATAAGCTTGTGTGCAGGATCGAGTGAGGGGACACCCACAAAGCTTCTAGCAGTAACTGGCCCAGATTAAAAGCACAACGTGAGTGAACATTATTTTTCCGGTTGGCAGGCATGTGGGGAAAGGTGAGCGAGCCACGAGTTTACTGCCTTTGTGACTACGTGTAAGTTACATCTTTCCTCAAAAGCGCTTCCAGCACCCACTGAGCAGCCTTGCTCTGCCGTGTGCTCCCCGGGAGGGGCTTGACCCACAACAGCGGCAGGAACCAAAACAAGCTTCCTTCGCCCCTCACAGGACTGCCTGTCACCCCTTTTGGCAAGAATGCTCAGATTTTCGCAGCCCCTCACAGGACTGCCTGTCACCCCTTTTGGCAAGAATGCTCAGATTTTCGCAGCCCCTCACAGGACTGCCTGTCACCCCTTTTGGCAAGAATGCTCAGATTTTCGCAAAGCAAATGTGAAACTCCCATGAGGTCTCTTTGGGTCAAAGGTAAACAGAAAGTCTTAGAATTTTCTTTAGAAAAATAAAAGGTTCCCGTTTTTTTCTGGTTCAGAGAGTTCCTGGCGTGCTTCTTCTTGTTTTTCTTCATACTTAGGGACGGCAGAAATGATACATGGCCTCCCCACAATTGAGGGGTGCTCTCCAGTGGACCATGATATATTTACTGAGAAATTTTTAATAAGTAAACCACAGACTTGAACTCATGCACCCTCATAAACCAGCCCGTTCTCATGGGGAGAGTTCAGGAGTTTTTATGGAGCAATACTATGTTCTCATGAGAATTTTATTAGAAATCAGAGACTTGAGATGCATCAAGCAGGAAATTTATGAGGTTACATGGGAACCATCCTTTCATTTTGTCATTCTGGGTTAAATTACTTCTTTGTATTCTGTTGATTTACTTTGCAAATTTTAGTTGTGAACATTGTTCTGAATTCTCAGCAAATTCAAGCCAGCTAACTATCGATTTCTTGAACTTTCCACTTTTATCCTTCAAATAAGATAAATAATTGAGAGTCTAGACCCCAAATCTATGGGAAACACAGATAACTCATGAAAAACGTGGCCAAGAAGGTCTTTCCACAACATCAAGAAATAAACAAGAAGCTTAGGGAAAAACACTTTTAGAACCACCGACAATTCTTTATGCCTTTAACTTTTCCACTTAATAGTTTCTTCAAATTTATTTAAAAATTGTTTTGCGAAGTACCCAGCTAAAATTTTACTCGCCAAAATAACCTGTTGTTTATCATCATATAACCCAACTTGGAAAATAGCCCAAACCCAGAATAGATGTTTGTACCGGTGAAGTGGAGAGGAAGTGCTCTAAACAAGTTTTTTCTCTGGGCTTGTTCCAACATCTCATTAGTTGTCTGTGTTAATGGTGTGAGGAAAGACGCCAGGCCAGGCTGGCCTTGGCTAGCATGGAGAAAGTGAGAGAGCCACACAGGAACCAGCCTTCTATTAACCAGCTGACCCCATTGCCGCTATTTGAGCTGGATTCCTGGGTAAAGTCCCAAAATTAGGTAATTTGTCTTCATCTCTAAATTTAATTCTTACATTGGAACTGTGTATTTTTCCAGCTGAATTCTGGCTTTGGGGTTTAAGGCTGCTTGGCTGCCACCATGGGCCAGTTGGTTGGTTTTAACCTTTTCTACCCATCATCCAAAAGCTCCTAGCCATCTACTTTGGAAAAAAAATCGTAGTACAACAAGGCAAGAAGGCACCCTAGTTGCCAGGCTTCACGTTTCTTGGTACCAAAGACTGGTATGGGCTGTCCTGCCCAAAGTCAGCTCTTCTCTGGACTAATAGAATTTGGTCATCCCTCCAAAAGCAAATTGAATAATCATTGTCACCGTTAACTAACCTTTTCTAAGTTATTTCTCATGTGCCAGGCTCTATGCTGCTAATGAGCATTTACCACTCAAAACTGCTCCATGAAGCAGGTGCTCTTGTTCTCCCCATTTCACAGATGAGAAGCTTGAGGCTCAGAGAGTTAACCGCAGCCTCCATGATCACACAGTGGACTTGGCTCATACTCACCAGGCTGTGTCCAGAGTCTTCAGGGAAGGCCATCAACCCAGGCGGTGGGAGCAGACAGGAAAGAAAAGCTTCTGTCCTCAAGAAGCCCATGCTCTAACTTCAGGGATCCTGAGAACAAGGCTGGTGCTCAGATACCAGTGACTGCCTCATAGGACACTGTCATTGTCTGGGGAACAAGTGCCCTGGGTGGCAAACAAGCTGATGGAAAGATGTCAATGTCCTAGGTGATCAGGGAAATGCAAACTAAGCCATGAGATACCACTGCACACCGAGTAGAGTGGCCAGAACCCTGAACGCTGTCCACACCAGATGCTGGGGAGGCTGTGGAGCAACAGGACTCTCACTCATTGCTGCTAGGCACATAAAATGGTGCAGATGCTTAGGGAGAGAGTTTGGCAGTTTCTTGCAAAACTAGGGTGGAGTGGTGCATGCCTGTAGTCTAAGCCACACAGGAGGCTCAGGCAGGAGGATCACTTGAGCCCAGGAGTTTGAGGCTGTAGTGTGCCATGATTGTACCTGTGAAGAGCCACTGCACACCCGCGTGGTATCTGTTAAACACACACAGACACTAAACTAAACTTACTCTCACCATATGATCAAGCTGGTGCTACTTGATATTTACCCAAAGGAGTTGAAAATTTAGGTCCACACAGAAACCTGCACACAGATGTCTGAGGCAGCTTTACTCATAGTTGCCAAAACTTGGAAACAACTCAGGTGCCCTTCAGTCAGTGAATGGATAAATACACTGTGGTACATCCAGACAATGGGATTTGTGTTTTTGTTTGTTTTTGAGATGGAGTTTCACTCTTGTTGCCCAGGCTGGAATGCAATGTCATGGTCTCGGCTCCCTGCAACCTGCACCTCCCAGGTTTAAGCAATTCTTCTGCCTCAGCCTCCCAAGTAGCTGGGATTACAGGTGTCTGCCACCACGCCCGGCCAATTTTTATATTTTTATTAGAGATGGGGGTTCACCATGTTGGCCAGGCTGGTCTCGAACTCCTGACCTCAAGTGATCCTCCTGCCTCAGTGTCCCAAAGTGCTAGGATTACAGGTGTGAGCCACCGCGCCCGACCCAGACAATGGGATATTATTCAGTACGAAAAGAAATGAACTGTCAAGCCATGAGAAGACATGGAGGAAACTCACTGCAGGTTACTAAGTGAAATAAGCCAGTCCGAAAAGGCTGTCTCCTGTATGGTTCCAACTCTATGACACTCTGGAAAAGGCAAAGCTATGGAGACAGAAAAAAGACCAGTGGTTGTCAGGGCTTAGTGGGGAGGGACGGATGAACACAGGACTTTTAGGGCTGTGAAACTACTCTGCATGATACTGTAATGTTGGGTCCATGTCGTTATACATTTGTCCAAACCCACAGAGTGCACAACGTCAAGACTGAGCCCTAAGGTAAACTGGACTTGGGTCATGATGACAGGTCAACGGATGTTCATCAGTTGTAACAAATGCACCACTCTGGTGGGGGAGGTTCCAGGGGGTGCAGGGAGTCTGTGGGAACTCTCTGTACCTTCCTCTCCATTTTGCTATGACCCTAAAAATGCTTTTAAAAAAAAGTATTAGGCCAGGCGCAGTATCTCACGCTTGTAATCCCAGCACATTGGGAGGCTGAGGTAGGTGGACCACCTGAGGTCAGGAGTTTGAGACCAGCCTGGCCAACATGGTGAAACCCTGTCTCTACTAAAAATACAGAAATTAGCTGGGCATGGTGGTGCCTGCCTGTAATCCCAGCTACCCAGGAGGCTGAGGCAGGAGGATCACTTGAACCTGGGAGGCAGAGGATACGGTGAGCCAAGATCACACCACTGCACTCCAGCCTTGGTGACACAGCAAGACTCAGTCTCAAAAAAATAAAAAAGAATTGTTTTAAAACCCTAAAAGAGCAAAATGATGCCCTGAGCTTAGGAAATATTCATCCCAGCACTTCTGGAGCAAATTGCTTTAAAAGTGGGCTGCACCATCTTAACAAACACAAAATCCAATCAAATAACACATCCTACTCACTGGCGTGAAGCACACATCCCATCCTGTGGGGACAGTGTTGATTAGGAGATGGAGGACAAGGAAGGCTTCCTGGTGGAGGAGGCTCTGCAGAGGACTTGAGGGATGCGGGTGAGTGTCTGGCTCTGGGCAGGACACAGATGCAAGGCCAGGGGAATGGACAGGGGGCTCTCACTCAGCCTGTGGTCTTTGCCCTGGGATTTTGCCTCTAGATTCTCCCCAACGGCTGCCCTCTTGTTCCTGAGAATTGTTACGTTGGTTTTCCTCCACCTCAAGGCAAGTGTTTTGGTGACAGGCCAAGGAAAATACCCACTGAATACAAAGCAGGCTCCTAGAATATGCCCAGACAGCACCATAGCAAATGCTCTGACTCACCAGTGCCGCACCACAGCAGCCTGCCTTGGTGGCGCCTGACATCCCGGGTGCTGGGGCATGTGGCAGTGCCACATTGCCAGGGGGTTCAGCCTCTGCGGGGCTGCTGGAAAGGACAGACAGGACTGGCGGGCCTCCTCCAGCCCCAAGTTGGGACATTTCCAGCCACCACACTACGAAAAGTATCTTCCAGCCTTGGGAACCCCGGTCCCTGGGGTGAGCTCCAGAGGGCAGCTGCCTTGATGCTAGAGGCAGGAAGGCGTGGGCCGCCCAGGAGCGGGGGCCCCTCAGTGCTGTCAGAGGAAAACATGAGTCCAGAGGACCCTGACTTAGCTCAAGCCTCCCCCAGCCTCCAAATCCCAGCTGGCTGGATGGCTGTGGTCCTGCAAGATGAAGGAAATATACTCATCACCTGAGATTCCAAACAGGCACCCCTGGGTGGGCTGACTGCCAGCCAGTCCCCAAAGCCCCTGTTATAAGCTGGGAAGGTGACCTCCAAACCAGGTGGCCCTGCCCCACCTTTCCCGATGTGAAGGACTGAATATTTGTGCTCCCAGATTTATCTGCTGAAATCCTAACTCCCAGTGTTTACTCTCAGGAAGTGGGGCCTGGGGAGGTGGTGTAGTCATGAGGGTGGAGCCCTCCTCAGTGGCATTAGTGCCCTTATAAAGGGGGCTAACAGTGAGAAGAGGACACAGGGAGAAGATCCCATCTGTCATTAAGGAGACAGGTCATCACAGACACGGAATCTGCCAGTGCCTGGATCTTGGACTTCCAGCCTCCAGAATGGAGAAATTTCTGTGGTTTATGGGCCGCCCAGTCTGTGGCACTTTGTGACAGCAGCCGGGGTGGACAAAGACACACTGTCTCCTTTTTTTTTTCAGACGGAGTTTTGCCCTGTCACCCAGGCTGGAGTGCAGTGGCGTGATCTCAGCTCACTGCAACCTCCGCCTCCCAGATTCAAGTGATTCCCCAGCCTCAGCCTCCTGAGTAGCTGGGACTATAGGCATGTGCCACCGCATCCGGCTAATTTTTTTTTTTTTTTTTTTAAGTAGAGATGGGGTTTCACCATGCTGTTGGCCAGGCTGGTCTCGAACTTCTGACCTCAGGTGATCTGCCTGCCTTGGCCTCCCAAAGTGCTGGGATTACAGGCATGAGCCACCGCGCTCGGCCCCTGTCTCCTGCTATTAACAGTTACCGTCTTTGGCGGTTACTCTGCGGAACGCCTCCCAGGGTGCATCTTTTTATTTTCCTGAAACATCTGAAAAGGGTACGGCAAAGCCAGAGCAAAGGGGTTGAGCAGCTGAACAACTGTCTCCTTCCCTCAGGGAAAAATAATGACTCAGGACCAGCAGCCATGGCCTCAGATGACCGGGATATTCCAAATGGGGATGGAGCCTTCAGACTCTGCCCTCCCACCTCAGAAGATCAAGCAGAATGTAGGAGCACACAGATCAAAGGCATCGGGCCTGGAATCTCTGAGCCTAATCAAAATGGAAAACAGCTTCATCTCGGAGTGAGGAGCAGAAAAGCTGGCCAGAGTCCAGGTAGATGACGGAGCCCTCCACGCTGAAAATCAACCCATCTTTTCAGCTGTGTTCCTGCTCCAAAAGGAACTAGCATTTGAGCACGTATAGCAGCGGGTGTTAAATCTGCTAAAATGTGAGCTCCTGGAGACCAGGGTCCTCACCCACCCTGCCCCCCACTGTATTCCCAAGTCTGAGTTTGTTTTATGTTGTGCTAACAGGATACCACAGACTGGGTAATTTATAAAGAACAGAAATATATTGCTAAGGCTGGGAAGTCCGCGATCAAGGCCCTAACAGGTTCGGTCTCAAATGAGGCTGCACCCTCCAGAGGGGAGGAAGACTGTGTCCTCAGGTGGTGAGGACAGGAGGGCCTGTCCTCATGCTGGACCAAGCCTCTTCTAAAAGGGCCTTAATCCCACTCACGAGGGAGCATCCCTCACGGCCTAATCACCTCTGAATGCCTCGCCTCTCAACACCATCCCATTGGCAACATCTGAATTTTGGAGGCGACACATTCTAACTGTTGCACCCCAGGACTTAGAGCAGTGCTTGGAAGATCACATGTACTCAATACATGCCTAGTAAATACTGTTTATGCCTTTGTCTCTGCAATGAAGTGGTAACAAGGCCTCAGCTCCTCCTCTTTAGTCATAATGAGCCCAAAGTAAGGAGCACTCCTGGAGTGTGTGACAGAAGAATAGGGAATTAAGGGAACGGGGCTCAGCAGGTGCAGCCAGTTCATAGAAGCAGGAGAGCAGCAGGTGCAGTTTATAGGCTACATCCTCACTCACATAATAACAAGCCACTTCAGCCTCTGATTGGTCGCAGGCCAATCCTTCATGGGGTGTAGCCAATTGGAGGCCTCTAAAGGGCACGGACTGGTGTTGCTGAGTTTCTTTAGCTCAACAGAAACCCCTAATTAAGGAGGCTCTTGAGGCACTTGCTCGAGTGCGCTCCCACCCTGAAATGTCTTCAATAAATCTATGCTTTCATTAATCTGTTCTTTTATTGCTCTGTGCATTTTGTTCGATTCTTTGTTCAACGCACCAGGAACCTGGACAATTCTATCCAGTAAAACGAGGATGGATTCTTGGTATTTGAAGCGAATTGCAGGTCCCCAAAACAGGTAAAATAGGCCGTGTGCTGGACGGGCCCACCCCACAGCAAGGAGACACAACCCATTGCTGATGGGAACAGAGCCTCTCCCTACCCCATCCAGATCACAACAGGCCACATTGTGACTCATAAATCAGAGACATGATGGCAAGTTTAACCTCATGCTTCAATAATAACCATTTTCTAGGATCCAGGAGAAAAATCAGCAAGGCAGGACATGAATTTCAGTGTAAATGCACCCTCTTCATTCTGAGTGGGGCTCTTTATGCTTTTCTGGAAATGCTTGATGCATTGGCCCTTAATTCCTCATGTTCCCCCATGGCATTTGCCCCACACAGTGTCCTCTGTGCTTTCCCTGAAACTCCTGCTTAGCTGGGAAGATGGAACCCATCCGAGTGGAGCTCCGTTAACGCCCCACATTTCTCATTCACTTCCCCATCTACTGTCTCCTGCTCCCACAAACACCCATCTCCCTGCCCGAGCACCTTTGACTCTCCCTGCGTCCTCCCTCCCTTCCTCCGTGGTTTACCCCACCTCACTTTCTAGATGCTTCCCCCAAGACTCCAAACATCTCTGAGGGTCCACCAGGAAGAAATGGCTCTTGGGACCCTCCTCAAGCCAAAGCCACCTTTCTCTCCCTTTCCTGCATCTTCACCAATTCCAGCTCCACCCCTTGCCTTGGCCTTCATCCTCAGGGCTCTCCCCAAACAGCCAGTGACCTCCAGTTGACACAGAATAGGTATGATCTAGAAGAAACCCCAGAGGCATCCAATCCAACCCCCCCCCCCACCGCTTTTAAGGTTGACGGAGCTGGAGGGGACACGACCTGCCCAAAATTGCAGGAGTTAGGCAGGGCTCAGGATCGGGACACTGATCTCCTTTGTCATGTTCAGAGCTCTCTCAGCCCCTAGACAGCTTTTTCATCGCAGGACCACTGACCAGATAGTTCCTCTTACGATGCCATCAAATGCCCCTGCCCAGGCTCACCACACTCTTGGCACAGCTGGCCTCCACTGTCCAAGCTCCCCCATCCTCTCCTGTCTCTCTGACTCTCCTACTCTGGCTAATCTTCTCCCCAGCCCTCAAGATGCTGCCCTCCGCCCACTGACCCCCTCCCTCAGCCAGCGCACTCCAGCCCATCACTGTACCGATGACGGCGTTGATATCATCACCCGCTGACCCCTCCCTCAGCCAGCGCACTCCAGCCCATCACTGTACCGATGACGGCGTTGATATCATCACCCAATGACCCCTCCCTCAGCCAGCGCACTCCAGCCCATCACTGTATCAGTGAGGCCATCGATATCATCGCTTCTTCTCTGCAATCCAAGGCGTGGTGCCAGTTCTCTGTGGTTCATTTTCTAGGCTTTGCTGTTGATATTCAAAGCCAAGCTCAAGCAATATCTTGTAGCATTTTGGCAATAATTTTTATTTTCTTTTTTTATGAAACTTGGGATCTAACTATCTTGCTTAAGCTGGTCTTGAACTCTTGGGTCAAGTGATTCTCCCACCTCAGCCTCCCAAGCAGGTGGAATTACACGTGTGAGCCACCGCACCTGGCCATTTCTGCAATAACTGCGAAATCAGAGACTACAGAAAGACTCCTTGCTCCTTGAATAGTAGGAGAAACAGTAGAGGCAAGAGATTTTTAAATGATTTACTATCCAATTATTAGTTTGCCACATGTAAATATTTTCATAATTTCCTTTAAACAATATCTACTTTTCTTTTTAGAGGACAGATTCACTAATCCTCTTCAAATTCTTTTTTTTTTTTTTTTGAGATGGAGTCTCACTCTGCTACCCAGGCTGGAGTGCAGTGGTGTGATCTTGGCTCACTGCAATCTCCACCTCCCAGGTTCATGCAGTTCTCCTGCCTCAGCCTCCTGAGTAGCTGGGATTACAGGTTCATGGCACCACACCTGCCTAATTTTTGTATTTTTAGTAGAGAAAGCGTTTCACCATGTTGACCAAGCTGGTCTCGAACTCCCGATATCAGGTGATCCCCGTCCCCCACCCGCCGCCACCACCCTCCGCCTCGTCCTCCCAAAGTGCTGAGATTACAGGTGTGAGCCACTGCACCTGGCCCCTCATCAAATTCTTTAGCCTCCTTCTAAAGGAATTCTTGAGTTAAAGCACCCCTGTTGGGTTTTGTGCCAGACACTGGATACAGTAGAATCTACTTGACAATTAGCGTCAAGATTCTTCTGCTCACCGAATCAGTAGCACATTTTTTAAAAAACCGAATCCTCTTTTCACAAGAGTGACTTCTGTCTGGATGTAGCACAGGTACTAATGGCATAACACGTGGCTAGCCTGTGTCGGGAGAAGCTAGTCAGAGAAATCTTTTTCTTTCTTTTCTTTCCCAAATATCTCCAAGTTGGTCCTTGTGCAGAAAAGGGAAAAAGCAACTTTAGGACCTGTTCACTGCATCGTAATGAGAGATAACTATAGCACTTTGTGCAATAGTGTCTAATGATGTTATTTAAAATGCCATATTTGTAAGACTTAGCCACTTTCAAGGTACTTTTTCATCATGCTTTTGCCATTTCACAGAAAGATACTATTTTGAAAATTTACATAATATCTATGAATGCAGGTGGAAAATAAAATGCATCATTGAGCAGTCCTTCAAGAAGGACAGAGCAGTCAATGTGAAGGAAAACCCGTGATTTCAAGTCGAGCAGGCCTGCTGCTTGAGCACCTACCTCTGGTCAGGGATCCGTGGCTCCGTCTCCCCCTCCATACAGTGGGCCGGATGCTAGCATCTGTCTTGCAGGGAGCTCATAAGCAGTTTTCAGATTATATAAGTAAAATGCCCACCGTGGCATTTGCCATACTAGACTCTAAGTACATATTAGTTTCAAGAAAAGAGAAAGAAACTAAACTGAAATACTATAGCAGTTGATGCAAGAGAAACTTCAGCTGAATTAAATTTAAAGTTTAATTGAGCAATGATCGATTTGAGAATTGGGCAGCCCCCAGAATCACAGCAGGTTCACAGAGACTCCAGCACAGCCAGGTGGAGAAGATTTATAGACAAAAAAAGGTGGGGGGGGGGGAATGATGTACAGAAATTAGAAGTGAAGTATAAAACAGCTGGATTGGTTACTGCTTGGCGTATGCCTAATTTGAACACTCAGCAGTGTATGGTTGGTTGAGTATGGCCACTGGGGTTGGCCAAGACTTAGCTATTGTTGGAGGTGCATACTACCAGGTTATGTTTGCAATTTTGTCCGCCTATTAAGCTAGGTTACAGTCCATCCGCGAGGACTCAAATATAGAAGTATGGAGTCCTTCTCAGGCCATATTTAGTTTGCTTTCACAGTTAACGTGCTGCTGGATGTTAGTCTCTTCCCCTCTCTAGATTGTCCATTCCTGTGTACCCATCTCCACATCTCCACACTCACTGCATGGTAGAGCCTCAGGTTCGAGCCACCACTTATGGCCCTTTGTACAAGTCAGAAAGGCTTCCCTTTGTGGGTGGATTTGAGCTCCCCAGACACCTGCTGCAAAACACAGCTCACACAATTGTGCACAGTGGCCCCTGACTCTTGCAGTCTCACTTAGTTTATAAGAATGCTCGATGTTAGTGCTCACTCAATCCCTTCCACGGATCTGCCCATTCTGTCATCTAATCAGCTGGTCTCATGCCGTTCAGGTAGGTAGTTACCTCTGGGGCTTAATTTTCCACCATGTCCCCAGTGCAAAAGGCCTCCATGGAGCCTGGGATCTTTGCCACATATTCACAAAAATAGGCCTTTGAATTGCTCCTGGTGGAGGTCTGGATGCCAGTGCAACACAGTCGTGTTAGCTGGGACCCTAGCAGACCTTAGGAAGAATGACATCAGCTGGAAAAACTCTACAAGGAGCTGTCACTGTGCCAAGTTGAACAGTTTTGCCAGGAGGAGTGAGGAAGCAATTACTCTGAACTTGATTGAACACAGGAGGCATCTCAAGTGGGTGCTCCTGCAGCTGCAGGCACTTTTCCTCCTGTCCCTCCTCCCAGCAGCTCAGCATGCATCCTGTCTCCCGGCCACGGGACAAGGCTGTGAGCTGCAGCTTTGTGCACTCGCTGTCTTTGCAAAGTGTTTTGGAAGTTCTGTCAATTCGTCTTGGCCTGGAAAATGGAAAATTGGAACAGTGAAAACACATCAAATGGTGCCTGTTTCGTGCTTGGGGAGGCAGACAAGGAGAAACTTCATGCGGTCAAGGTGTGGGTGGCTGTTGGCTTAAAGCCAGTGGAGAGCTTATTTATCCCCTTGGAGGAAGGGAAGAGCAGATTAGAACTATCAAAGCTTCTTAATATTAGCTCTGGGTTTTTGGTGGAGGGTGGCAAGTGGAGGGAGGAGGGTTAATTATACGGCTGACTGTAAGCAAGCAGAATCTGATCCAATCGTGGCTGTCATTGATTGAGCCAGGTGCTGTGCTAAGGGTATCACGCGCATCAGCTCAATCTAATCCTTGCATTGCTCTTATTATTTCCATTTTACAGATAACAAAACTGCACTTTAGAAAACTGAGGGATTCAGCCGGGGACGGTGGCTCATGCCTGTAATCCCAGCACTTTGGGAGGCTGAGGTGGGTGGATCACGAGGTCAGGAGATCAAGACCATCTGGCTAACACAGTGAAACCTCGTCTCTACTAAAAATACAAAAAATTAGCCCGGCGTAGTGGCGGGCGCCTGTAGTCCCAGCTACTCGGGAGGCTGAGGCAGGAGAATGGCGTGAACCTGGGAGGCGGAGCTTGCAGTGAGCCAAGATCACACCACTGCACTCCAGCCTGGGAGACAGTGCGAGACTCCATCTCAAAAAAAATAAAAAAGAAAAAAAGAAAACTGAGGGATTCACCCAGCATCCCAGACTGGCAGTTGGCAGAAGCAGGCGTGGAATGGGCTCTGTCCAGCCTGGTGCTCCTATCTACTCCCCCACCCCACCCAAGCATCTCCTAAGGCTGCTTCTGGGGTGCCTCATCTCCCAGACACCTTTTCAAGGGTTCCTTTACCCACTACAGACCCTGCACTCACTCTCCTCTCCAAAGTCCCCCGCATTTCCCCGGCCACGCTTTGCTGATCTTTTGACTGTGCTCAGGAATCCTCCCCACCTAGGACGAAGCACTTGCCGAACCCAAATGCACACACAAATCACCTCTTGCCACCAAAACACTGGCTGTCAACTGTGCTTCTCCCATACCAGGAAAGGGTGCCAATTATGCAGATGGTGTTAGCAATGTTCCTAACAAAGACGGTAGAGTAAGGTGATAGTATTTGGCAAATTGGAGAATCAGGATGTAAAACAAAGATTTGAGCATCTGCACCCTAAAACATAAAATGTTGATACACGTTTTATAAAAGTGCTAGTAATGGGATCCATTCTCATTATGATGCCATTAGGGCCTTTCACAAATATTACATGGAATTATTGTACTTTCTGTCCCCTTTGAAGTTAGGCCTGGCCATGGGACTTGCTTTGACCAATGGCATGTGAAAGCCAAGGCTGCACATTGCCTCTGGGGGCAGTTTTGAGAGTCTTTGCTACCTTTCCTTTTCCTGGGACAGCCACCTTGGGAGTACATGTTGCAATGGGCTTCCTTAAATGTGGGTCCCTAAAGGTTGTAATAATCCTTAGGGATACCTTGCCAGCCCCTCTGGCCTGGTAGCTGTAGCAAACCAACAAAAACAAAGATCAAAAAGCCTTTTTTGTTCATTTTCTGAGACAGAGTCTTGCTCTGTTGCCCAGGCTGGAGTGCAGTGGCACAGTCATGACTCACTGCAGCCTTGACCTCCCAGGCTCAGGTGATCCTCCCACCTCAGCCTCCAGAGAAGTTGGAAACTAGAGACATGCACCACCACACCCGCTAACCCTTTTTTTTTCCTAATTCCTGAGATTTTGTGTTTTTTGGGGGAGTTTTTTGTTTGCCACCATAACATACCTAGCCCACCTGATTAGTACTATCATATAGACACATTTATTCAAATATGTAAACAAATTTGACATAATTCAAAGATGATATATTTAAATACGGTGTATAAAACATTGAAAATAACACTTAAATTATCATACTGATTTGCTAAAAGTCTTCAAAAGATTTGCCAAGTTTATTCATTGGCTTCATTTTAACACAAAAATTCAATTAAGGAGATAAATTTTAAAACTATGAGGAGCTGCTTAGTAATTCTATGGATGTCCATTCTCCTGGTTCCTCTGGGCTCAGGCAGGGTTTCTGTACTGCATTGGTGCGGAAGAGCAAAGTGCTCCACAGTGCCCCTATGCAGATGAGAGGGGATAGCACACACAGGGAGGGCTTGGTGTGGCCAGCACAAAAAGGTCATCCACAGATGCAGGAAAGAAGTTGGATAGAACAGGTGCACTGGCTCTTACGTGTAATCCCAGCACGTGGAGAAGCCAAGGTGGGAGGATCACATGAGCCCAGGAGTTTGAGACCAATCTGGGGAACCTCTATCCCCCTGTCCCTCTAAACATAGGAAGGTAGGCGGGGAACGGTGGCTCACGCCTGTAATCCCAGCACTTTGGGAAGCCGAGGCGGTTGGATCACTTGAGGTCAGGAGTTTGAGACCAGCCTGGCCAACATGGTGAAACCCTGTCTCTACTAAAAATACAAAAATCAGCCAGGCATGGTAGCAGGTGCCTGTAATCCTAGCTACTCGGGAGGCTGAGGCACGAGAATTTCTTGAACCCGGGAGGCAGAGGTTGCAGTGAGCTGAGATCGTGCCACTGCACTCCAGCCTGGGCAACAGAGCAAGACTCTGTCTCCAACACAGTGAGACACATGCAGGAAGAGGAACAAAGGAGTGGATGGTGGTGTGGAAGTTCCTCTTGGATTGCTCCCATGGGATGGTTCATTTTCTGGGTCAACTTGACTGGGCTATGGGAGTCCAGATAGCTGGTAGAACTTTCTTTCTGGGTGTGTCTGTGTGGGCGTTTGCAGTGGAGATGGGCATTCAGATTTAGAGACTCAGGAAAGAACATCCACTCTCACCAATGTGGACGAGCATCCAATCCACTGAGGGCAGGGATAGAACAAAAATCAAAGGAAGGGGGAGTCCTCTCTCTTCTTGAGCTGGGACATCAACCTGCTCCATTCCTTGAACACTGGAGCTCCTGTTTCTCTGACCTTCAGACTTGGACTAAATGATACCACCAGCTTTCCTGTGTTTTCAGCTCGCAAATCGTGGGCCTCCATATGAACCAATTCCCATAATAAATCTGTTTTTCTGGAGAACCCTGACTAGTAATTACAGTTTTCTTTTTTCAATGAAGCAAAATTCGAGGGTGTCAGCTGAGTGGGATGATGGTGGAGGAGGTGCTAGACCAGTTTGAGGAGCACGTCCTGGGAGAGGGGGCAGTGACTGGACCAGGAGCATCTAACATGGTTTCTGGGCTGGCTCAGGGGCCTCCGGGGTTTAATGATCGAGACCTTATGGGGAACTGGTCACCATGGCTGTGCAATGTGCCCCAGCCTTGTGGGGTTAAGCAGGTGCTGAGTGGAGGGTGCATTTACGTGGGGACCTGACTGCTGCGCTACAGGGCACTGGAGAGGAATTCGAAGCAGCAACCTGAGTGGCTGCTATGGGATTTAAGCCGAGTCAGAAGGGAGGAAGTCAAAGGGTGAGGAAGAGTGAAAAGGAGCTGAGGCCAACCCACTGCAGGTCCCCAAATGTTGAAGGATTGTTGAAAGCAGGGTGGTAGCAGGAGTGAGCTGGAGAGAAAGAAGCTTGACAGTGGGATATTGGACATTGGGATTTGGAACGATTGCATTTATTACAGTAATAAGATCAGGCTTTAACCACTAGCATGAGTGGCTGAGTGGGGAGGGGGACAAGCCCACCAGGAGAAAGGGCTGAGGCGGGAGTTCAGTGCGTCTTCTCCATTCTGTGTTCTGTTTTGCTCCTGGCGCTCACGGCAATTCATCATAAGAGATTTGCCTGTGTGCTCAGTGACTTAAACAAGTAAGCCCCTCAAGAGCAGGGGCTGTGTCTGATTTATAATAAACTAGCATGGCATGGAACACATAAGAAAGAGTTTGGTAAGGCCGGGAGTTGTGGTCACGCCTGTAATCCCAGCAGTTTAGGAGGCCTGGGCGGGCGGATCACGAGGTCAGGAGATCGAGACCATCCTGGCTAACACAGTGAAACCCCACCGCTACTAAAACTACAAAAAATTAGCCGGGTGTGGTGGCGGGCACCTGTAGTCCCAGCTACTTGGGAGGCTGAGGCAGGAGAACGGCGTGAACTCAGGAGGCAGAGCTTGCAGTGAGCTGAGATCGAGCCACTGCACTCCAGCCTGGGTGACAGAGCCAGACTCCGTCTCAAAAAAAAAAAAAAAAAAAAAAAACAAAAGAGTTTGGTAAATAATTGTTCGTTGCATGGATGAAACTCCACAAAGGTAGATTAGTGGGAGGCAATGGTTTGTCATTGTTCAATAATTGAAGAATTATTTCATCCTAACAATAATAGACTCTGTTAGAATGAAGAAGTTAAAGCCTCAGAAGGCAATAGCAGTTTTTAAAATCTGTTTGAGAAAATGAATGCTAGCTGGACTGGCCGAATCACGTTCTCCCATCTTGCTAGTGACCTACGTTGTCCTCTGGAGACAGACATAATATATTTTATATCAGTTGTACAATGCTTAATGTGTATATATGTATGTATATATACATTATGCATCCATATATACATAAGCATTGTACAACAAAACTTCATATACCTTTTTTCCTTACTTGTAACCCCCTAGATATTTTTATTACCCCATTTTATATAAAAATGCATGGAGGTGAGAAAGAAGAACTTTCTGCAGATCACACAGTCTGTAAAACAGGATTTAAAACCAGGTTTTCTGACCCTGAATCCAGGGCTCTTTGAGCCATGTTGCCCATGCAAAGGCTAAATTCTGTTCATTCCTGGAGCCGTAGTACCAGTAATGGTAATGGATGGGTATCGTACCAGCAAGGTTTTCCAGTGGCTGGGGTTCAGAAAAGCTCTGGTTATATCAGACTGACCTTCATGTTTTCAACAGGTCAATGCCTTTTGCCGCTGGGACTTCAGGGCAATGAAATAGGAAGTGCGCCTGACCATCACGAGATGTGAAGGATTCCATGGCCGTGATTCCCATATTCAAATGGGATTTTCCAAGTGGAAAGACAGCAGTCACTTAAACACAGGCCTCAGAGGCCAATAGGACCCATCCCCGCAGCTATGCAGACATCACCCATGGAAAATTAGCCTGCATCAGTTTGTCCGGTCCCGGGAGGGGCATTCTCTAATGGTTTCGTGGCTGCAGCAATGGAGCAATTCTATTTCACGCTGTCCCAAGAGAGGCCTTCCAATGTAATGACTCCCCACAGTTGTAATTTTCCTTTCATTCATTTGCTTCCTTACATTTGGGGAGGTTTCTTTTCTAATGAAAAACTGAGCCAAAAAAAGAAAAATAAAACAATTCTTGCTTTTAGCCTAAAGTTGATAGTTTTCGACGAAAAAACCTCCCTGTTAAAAATTTACATTGGGCATATACCCAATAATGACATTGCTGGTCAAATGGTATTTCTGGTTCTAGATCCTTGAGGAATCACCACATTGACTTCCACAATGGTTGAACCAATTTACACTCCCACCAACAGTGTAAAAGTGTTCCTATTTCTCCACAGCCTCGCCAGCATCTATTGTTTCCTGACTTTAATAATCGCTATTCTGACTGACATGAGATGATATCTCACTGTGGTTTTGATTCATCACACACTGGGGCCTCTTGAGGGTTGGAGGACAACGAGAGAGAGAGCACTGGGACAAATACCTAATGCATGCAGGGCTTAAAACCTAGATGATGGGTTGATGGGTGCAGCAAACCGCCATGGCACATGTATACCTATGTAACAAACCTGCACATTCTGCACATGTATCCAGGTCTTAAAGTTAAAAAAAAATCTACATTGATTTCCTGGGACTTCTTTGAGTGAGTTCTATTGTCTTCAGATAATAATTGCAAACTTTATTTAGCACACGATGTGCCAGACATGATACACTCTTTCACTTGATTTTTCCAACAAGCCACAGGAAAAGGACTGTTACCGTCTCACATTTTGCAAATAAGAAAACCAAGGCTCAGAGAGACTCACCCAGTAGTAGCAGGGGACCTCAGGCTCTGCCAAAGACTCATCTGGCTCCAGAAACAGCTCACTCGGCCACAGAGCTCTTCTATCCTCTGCCAGCTTCGATCAACCTGGAAATGGACACACTTTACTATTAATAGTAAGCCCAAGAATAATGATCTAAGCATCATGTTCATATGTGGGACTATGCATATCCATAGAGACGTGGGCTCAAACCACGTTTTAATAACATTCCACAGCACATTTCTTCCCAAGACCTTCTTCAGACCTTGCCATGTGCATTCAGGAGCATTATTTCTCATCCTGTGAAAGCAAAGGAATGACTGGAAAGAGAGTCATGTGGGACATTTTCTCCATGTCTGTGGCTTCTGAAATCCCCAAACACCACAGGACTCAAAGGCTTGGGGTGCTGTGATGCCCCTTCTCTGCAGCTCTTGGACACCGTCTTTTTGGTTTGTGTTTGCAGCAAATATCTTTCCTTGGGTGCCCAAAGAGAAAGCAGAAATACCTGTTTTTGCGAGGAGCAAAAACCGATTCCCCCACCATGTGTCGGCTCCATCTAAGCCATTTGTTGGGGGGACATCCCTTTCTCCTCAGAAAGCCCCCAGTCATGCAAAAGACAGTCATAGATCGATGGGAAGGACTGACCCAAATTCCTGGGCTGTGAGATTGGGGAAGTGTGACATGGTACAGATGTGTGTCCCCTCCAAGCCTCATGTTGAAATGTGATCCCCAATGTTGGAGGTGAGGCTTGGGGAGAGGTGTTTCGGTCGTCGGGGCAGATCACTCATGGGTGGCTTGATGCCGTCTTTGTGATAGTGAGTGAGTTGTCACTCTGAGTTCAGGCGACATCTGGCTGTTTAAAAGGGACCCCTCCCGCACTTACTCCCTCTCTCACCATGTGAAGCGCCAGCTCCGCTTGCCTTCCGCCATGATTGGAGGCTTCCTGAGGCCTCACCAGAAGCCAGGCGGATGCTGGCGCCACACTTCCTGTAGAGCCTGCAGATCTGTGAGCCAACGAAGCCTCTTTTCTTTATAAATTACCCAACCATGGGTAATCTTTTATATTGACACAATGACTCACTGACACAAAGTGTGTGCCCTGGCAGAGAGTGAGATCGATGATAACAAACAATACTCCAAACACCCACATTTACCAGTCGGGGCCATTTTTCCTCCCCAACGGGCTCCTCCCTACGTGCAGCCACCACCTGTCTCCGAACCACCTGCCAGATACAGTAATGAAGCTTCTGGGCTCTCGGCAGGGGCACTGACTCAGCCTCAGAGGATGGACCTGAGAGATGGGGACAGTCTAGCCCTATCCTCTGCCCTGCTGGCAGGGAGACGCCCGCAGCTGAGGCACCTCGGACCGAGAGCGGCTCTCATGCGCTGGGGAGTTGCTCTCCATGCCGATGGGAAAATTGAGTTCTGTTCTCACAGCAGGCAGTAGGCAGGAGCAGAAACCGGGAAGGTGGAGGATGGCACCAATCACCCCTGAGTGAAACCAGGACACCCTGCTCACAGCTCGTCTTCTAAAGCAGGGCCAGAGATAGAACTGAAGACCTCCAGCCTGATGGGGCCTGGCTGCTGGGCAGTGACACTGTCCTCCCGAGAACCTGTACAGGACAAAACCACGGACCCGTTCCCGTGAGCAGGACGCACATGCGTGCGGTGTCTGTAGTTGTTGCTGCTTTTGTTTTCTGATCTTTGTATTAATTTTTTATTTGTATAAATTTCAGGGGCACAATGCTATTTTGTTACAGGGATATCTTCGATAGTGGTGAAGTCTGGGCTTTTAGTGTATCCATCACCTAAAAAATGTACTTTGCACGTATTCAGGAATTTCTCATCATCCGCTTCCCCCACACCCTCCCACCCTTCCGAGTCTTCAGTGTGTGCAGTCCGCACGCTATGTCCCGTGTGCACATCCCTTAGCCCCCACGTATGCCTGAGCTTTGTATTCGAGCTCACTGCTTAACAACTTGGATTGGTACCTGGCTATTCAAAAGCTAAGCTGGCAGCTCCTTGCTCGCCACTAGATGGTGCCAGATCCCAACTGTGGTCTGCAAGAGCTTCACCCATTGGAAGGGGCCTGTGTCCCACTTTAGCCGGGAGGCAGTTTAAAGGAGAGAAACTAGAAGGGAAGTCAAACCCGGAACATTTCAAAAGGAACTAGGAAAAAAGGGCCAAATATAAGTGTACTAAATTTGGAAGGCAGTCTAGGAAAAAGCTGGGTGCCCAAATAATTAGTGGGTCACAGAAGCTGGCCTGTTTCCGTGAGAATCATCACAAGTGTTCCCCCAGCCCCCAACAAAACGCAAAAAGTGTGCATGAATCCTGGCACCCCCAATGAGAAGCCTTAGAACAAGAAGCAGCAGCTCATGCACTGGACCCACTAGAGTGCCAAGGGCTGCCCACCAGCTCCCTGATGCCCTCATGCCCTCTCTCCATATTGAGTCACTTTTTTTCTTTTTTTGGTAAGAGGGAAACAGGTTCTCTCTCTGTCCCTGAGGGTGGAGCGCAGTGGTGCCATCTCAGCTCACTGCAGTCTCTACCTCCAGGGCTCAAGCGATTCTCCCGCCTCAGCCTCGTAGCTGAGACTACAGGGGTGAGCCCCCACACCCAGCTCATTTTTATTTTACTTTTAGGAGAGGTGAGGTCTCACTCTGGTGCCCAGACTGGCACATGGAGTCACTTTCTACCCAAGAGCTCTGGATCGGAAATGGGGCTGTTTTTTTTTTTTTTTTTTTTAATCAGTGTGGCCTTTGGGCTGCTCCACACCCCCTTAGGAAGCTGGAGCTGTTTACCACCTGGGGAGCCACAGGAGGGGCCTCTTCCCATCGGACAGACCCCAAGGAGCAGCTCCGGCAGCGTTTCTGAGGCCAGTTGTAAATCCTTTAATACCACAGGTGGATGCACCCTTCGATGGGCAGAAGAGACGCCCCCTTTTCCACTCGTCCTGTGGAAACTGTCTTTCCGGCATGTCGCTGTGACTTTTGACTTGGGACACTGGGCTAGCAGGCTGGCGGCCTGCGAGCAGTGAGTCCACATCCACCCTCTCGGTACCTGCAGGATGCTGGTGGCTGGGACAAACAGGAAGGCCTGGGAGGAGCGTCAAGGAACCACAGGCCTGCTTCCCTGAGTCTATTTTGATCACCTTTGAGAATGGTCTTCTTGTCAAGTCAGGGGTGGTTGCTTTGCCTCACTCCCTAAAACATCGGGGTGAGAGGCCTTACCCGTTATTGTTTTTCCTGCCTCTAGAGTAAAATGAACTGAAACAATCAAGCCCCAACTTAAATAACACAACCTCCTCAGCTGCTTCAGGCTCTCAGACATGGTCTGTGGCATCTGGGCAGCTCATTAATTTAACCCAAGCTTAGGGAAATCTTTAGGAGAGGATGTCCAAGCTCTGACCAGGTGCTGGGTGCAAAGGTGAAAGCCCCTTAGCTCCAGAAGTTTCCATCTAACAGGCCAGTGCCTCACTAGGGCTACCACAATCCCACACCACAAGCTGAGCCCCTTCAACGGCAGACGTTTATGTCTCACAGTTCTGGAGGCTGGAAGTCCAGCTTCAAGGTCCAGGCAGGGCTGCCTTCCGGCCGTGTCCTCAAGTGACACAGAGAGAAAGTTCTGGAATCTCTTCCTCTTCCTGAGGGCACTAGTCCCGTCATGCGGCTCCACCTGATACAGTTTGTATGTTGCCCCCTCTAAGTCTCATGTTGAATTGTGATGCCCAGTGTTGGAGGTGGGGCCTGGTGGGAGGTGTGGGGGCCATAGGGACAGATCCCTCATGATTTGGTGCTGACCTTGCATAGTGAGCAGGTACTTGCGAGATCCGGTTGTGAAAAGTGTGTGGCACCTCCTCCTTCTCTCTTGCTTCTGCTTTCACCATGTGACGTGCCTGTTCTCACTTCACCTTCCACCATGAGTAAAAGCTCCTTGAGACCTCCCCAGAAACTGAGCACAGGCAAGCGCTATGTTTGCTCAGCCTGCAGGACAATGAGCCAAGCCAACCTCGTTTCTTTATAAATTACCCAATCTCAGGTATTTCTTTAGAACAGTGAAGAATGGCTTCGTACACCACCTTCACAACCTCATCTAAACCTAATCACCTCCCAAAGGACCCGCCTCCAAATCCCATCACATTAGGGGTGAGGGCTTCAATGTGTGAATTAGGGGTGGGACACACATAGCCCATCACACCCTTGTCATTGGGTTTAACAAGTGATTGTTCTAAGGATGGGCTGATCAGCTCAGCTTGTGGAGACAGCGTAGCCTTCAGAAAGACAAACCCTCGGGTTGGGTTTTGAGAAGTGAGTAGGAGTTTGCCAGGGGAAGTGCATTACAGAGCAAGGAAAAGGGGATCCTGCCCAAGAGTTTAGGTGTCATCAATCTTTCTTTATAGTTCATAGAGTAAAATAATAACAAATGCATCCAATACATCACTCATTCAAAAAGCATTTAATTCAGCTGTTACTAACGTCCGTGTGAGAACGTGCCTGCGGAATCGCTGGTGATCGTTCTGCTCTTATGCCTTTTAAGAGCTCTCTAGACAGATGGACACGCACCGAGTTGCTTTGAGAATGTCAGACGTTAGAGGCGTATAGATCACAGTAACTGTAGGAGGGAGGGGAGATTTAAAGCATCCAGGTTGTCTTAATTTACTTCTGTCTGGCACAGGCTTTGTGTGTACTTGACTCTCCTGGGAAGCTTCCTGAGCTGGGGCCTGAATACAGGTGTGGAGGGAGCTCTGTGGGCAGAGACACCAGAGGGGCCTCACCAAAAGCCAAAGGCCCCACCCGCATCCAGAGTGGGGAGTGGAGTGGTCAGAGGAGAGGTGTGTGACTTTCCCGACGGAACACATCACGTCTTATGTGTTGGCATCTCCTGCTACACAGTGATTCTCAGAGCTTAGGGGTGATTTTGTATCAATCTCTTTATTAGTTTGCTTGGGCTGCGATAACAAATATCACAGAGTGCATGACTCAAACAATAGAAATTGATTTTCCCACAGTTCTGGAGAGTAGAAGGTATTGGCAGGGCTGGTTTGTCCTGAAGCCTCTCTCCTTGGCCCCTAGACGTGTGTTCTCCCTGTGTCCTTACAGGATTTTCCCCCAGGTGTATCCTCGTCCTAAATCTCCTCCATGTGTAAGGACCCAGTCAGATTGGATTAGGGCCATGTAATGACCTCGTTTTACCTTAATTACCTCTTTAAAGTCATATCTCCTTCTGAGTATTAGGGGTTAGGACTTCAACAGAAGAATTTTAGGAGGACCGAATCCAGCCCGTAACAATCTCCATGACCCCAGAACCACCTGGCACAGGGATGTGTTTTGCACATGTTTACTTGGTCAGCCTAAAGGCCTTTTTACTTCTGCTAAACAGCTTCAGGCCCTGGAAAACAGGGCTAACTTGTTAACTGGCAGGTTGAGGGCAGGAAGATCTGTGGATTGGGCTCTGCCAGGCAAGGCTGGGCTGCAGGCTCGGGCAGATTTTGAGTGCCATAAGAGGGTGCTGGGCAGGGCTGGGCTGCAGGCTCCGGCAGATTTTGAGTGTCATGAGAGGGGACAGCCAGGGGCTCTCTGGACTTCAGCAAGGGCTCCTGCCAGGGTCTGAGCACCCAGGTGGAACAGGTTCCCTAGCGGATGCCTCTCAGCGCCTTCCCAGACTCCTCCATTCCATGAACAAGCCAGGACCTGCTGAGGGGGACCAGGAGGTTCACACCTCAAGTGCAGTGGATAATAGCCTACTCACGGCTCACCCCAAATCCATCCTTTACCCTGATGTCACCTGTGGCAAATAACAACAGAGCCAACTCCCACTCACTGTCCAGAAGCCTGCCTGGTAAGGGCTTTGGAACCCAAGGAAAGACACCGAGAAACACTGCAAGAGGCTGCAGCCATCACAGCCCTGCGCCTTCAGAGTTCGGCACTGCTTGTCCAAGTCACTGTTCCCTTGAAGGAAGACACTTTGTAAACACAAAGAACAATGAGAAAGCATCGAGAAGAATAGAATCTTTGTCAGGAGCCAGGCTTCAGTCCTGCCCAGCAGGTCCCTGCCATGGGGGAGGGAGGCCACCCCTGTTTCTCCAGGGAGGGGCGGGTTTCAATCCAGGTCCGCTTGTCCAGCTTGCTCTGTGAGCAGTTTCAGCCACACACCCACACAGCATCGAGTTAAGGACTGGAAGTTACTGTTTCTATAGCTGGAAGGGAACGTGAGGGTGGTCTCCATCTACCCACTTTTTCGTAGATGAGAGATTCCGGCCCAGAGCGGCCGGTGTCTCGCCAACGCAGACAAAGATCGGGAGCAGAGCCACATTTCCAGCCGGTGGTGTTTCTCGATGCCTCCCTTTGGAGCTGCACCAAAGGCTCTGAGGCACGTGCAGAAAGCCCTGGTCTGGGGATTAAGCAAATAGATTTGGACTCTCCTATTCTTTCAGTAACTTTGAATCGATTATTTAATCTGTGATGTGTGAGCTTCCTTGGCCTCAGCTGTAAAATCAGGAGGAGTTTCTGTTTCACAGGGTTCTCGTAAGGAGCGGGCAGGATAACGACACCAAGTGCCGACACATGGCCAGGTGCACATGAGGCAGGACCCAGTGTGTGGTCGCTCCCTTTCCCCAAGCGGCCTCTCCTGCCCCACACCTGGACTCCTGCTAGACGCACACACCGCGCTCTTCCCAGCCATAGTGAGGCCTTTCCCTGGGTGTTGTCCCGGCCTGCAGTGACCCTTCCTGCTAGTTCATCTGTTTTCTAGAGCTCCGTAGACAATTACACCTATGCTCACATGGCAGCACTTCTAATGGTTAGGTCTGTGACCTTGGGCATCTTCTATCTGTTCTGGGATTTTGTTTCTTTTTCTGTGCAGTGGGAATAGTGACGCCAACTCTATACAATTGCGAGGGTTAAATAAGGCAGGTGGCAGGCTGGGGTGCAGTAGGCATTTGAGCTATGACCACTCATTGCTGTGGCTATTGCTGCTGCCTCAGGTCTGGTTTGAGACCTGTCTTCCGGTTTCTCTACGGAAGTGAGAAGCCGTGAGACACAGTGTGACCTGTGGCAGTTCTCTGGCCATTGTCCAGGCAGCGTGTGCACCTGTGTGCTGAGGGCTGGAATCATGGCTCAGGTGGCATGGGGCAGAGTCGGTGCTAGGGATATGGGTGGGGGCGCTAATCTGGGAATGTGAGGACATCAATACTCTGGGTCATAGCTTGCAGGATTAATTGTGGCTTGGAGGTCAGGCCCAAGGGGTGCTGCTGATGGCAGCCAGCATGTCGGCTTTCAAGAGTGTGGTCAGGAGTTTCTTAACCATCCAAAGATCTTCAGCCTGGGGAAGAGGCATCAGCATGTCCTTCCCTTTATTCAGGAAGACACCAAGCACATGCTGACCTTCGAAGGACAGTGATTTTGGCCAAGATCGCCCCTCCACAAGGACATAGACAAGGCCAGGACCTTAGAGTTAGAAAGAATTGAGTGTGCCTTGTAAATCCCCTTTCTCCCTTCCTCAAGTTTAATATAAATATCCAGCCATGGCAGGAAGACAGGCCAGCCCAGCCCAACTCAGCCCAGCCCAGGCAGCTGCTGCAAGAGATGACAAGCACCAGGACTGCCCCGGCCTCCCCAGAAGACAGGCTCCACGCTAGTGGCAGGGGCAGGCAGGGCTTGCAGGTGAGAGACAGGGGCAGCTGTGGGGGTTGGCAGCTCTCACTGCCGCTGCCCGGGCTGGGCTGGGTCGGGTTGGTCTGGGCATGTGCCAGCTGCCAGTGCCTGCTTATCTGTGACTCAGCTGCTACAGCATCAGGCACTGAAGTTGGTTCCTCATCATCAGTGAGCTGCTCCCACCGCCCCCAGGCCTGGTTGAGGCCTTGGGGACCTGCAGAGGACCCCATGCTGCCTCTAACCAGGTGAGCCCAGGGCCACGCTCTCATGCTCTCTAGCCTCAGCCTCCATATGGGAAAGTCTCTCTGCAGGTTCTCTCTGCTCCATGACTCAGGTCCTGTGAGACCAGGGAGTGGGCTGCCCGGACTCTGACTGGCCTCCAGGAGGTGGGGACAGGCTGTCCAGGCCCCCGCAGAGATCCCCGGGATGCTGCATCGGCCGTGAGTTTATGAGCTTGCCCCCAGAGAACATGACCTCACCTAAATGGAGCTGACACGTTTTACAGGGGACTGGAAGCACATCTGAAAGAGACCGTTCCACAGAGCTAGTTTTGCTTTTTTACTGCCCCATTAGAAGGAGTGGGGGTGTTTCTAGCTGGGACCGAGCTCCAGCTTGAAGGCAGTGGTTCCCAGTAGGGAATGCGACCCCACGGGGGAGGGACGCAGCCTGGGGGAAGCTGAGCGTGCACACAGCGCGGTGGGCTCACGGTTTGCGCGCAGGCTGGCACAGACTCACGTGAGGACATTTTTAGGGCGTGTGCGGCGATGAATGCAGCAGAGATGCGCTTGTCTGTAGGCTGGGAGTGGGAGGGAGGGGATACTGGCAGCGTGTGCTTCCGGCTGCAGGACTGTGCGGAGGACTCCAGTGTCTGACAGCGGCCTGGGCGTAGAGGGATTGAGTGTGGTTCCCACTGGGGTCCATCTCCCCTCGTGAAGTGCCGTCCTGCCACCAGGCAGCCCCCAGGGGTGGACAACACCAGAGCTCAGGGGCTTGAATGCTAAGGGCTTCCCGCTTGCTTTCCCCTTCACGCATGTAACCCTGAATTCTTACCTTTCACCCAGCGTGGATGAACGCAGGCGCTGCTCCTCATCTGCGGCTGTCCAGACAGGCTTTCAGGTCACGCTTAATGAGAAACCTCGGGTGTCTGATCTTGTCCGTTAGCTAGGCCTTTTCTCATCTTCTATGGTTTCAAAATAAAATACCAGGAGCTTCTTTTACCCCTGTGACTCTAGGCTACCCTTGTCATTTCAGTCTTTAGAGCTGGCTTTCTGCTTAGTGTGGCCTCAAGCATGTGGGGCAATAATAATATAAAGGTGAACAGCCAGGCGCAGCAGCTCACACCTGAAATCCCAGCACTTTGGGAGGCCAAGATGGTCGGCCTGCTTTAGGCCAGGAGTTCAAGACCAGCCTGGTCAACATGGTGAAACACCGTCTCTACAAAAAATGCAAAAATCAGCCAGGCATGGGGGGTGCGCCTGTCATCCTAACTACTCAGGAGGCTAAAGTGTGAGGATCGCTTGAGCCCAGGAAGTTAAGGCTGCAGTGAGCTGTGATCGCACCATTGCACTCCAGCCTAGGCCACAGAGCCAGAACCTGTCCCATATTACGTATATGTAAAGGGTGGACATCTGGGCTTTGCTGTCAGACAAATGAGAGTCGCTTCTGTCGCTTCCCTGTGGGGTGACCTGCGCCACTCCCTGGGCTTCCCTGAGCCTCTGGATCCTCAGCACTAACTGGGCCTAACAACTGAGGCTTGGCCAGGCACAGAGCCTCGTGCCCCATGTGTGAGGGCTTGGATGTGTGAGGCCGGAAAGGGCGGTGCTGGGCTGATTTCTCAGTCTCTCCCTCTCCATTCCCAGGGGTATAACTGCCAGAGGCAAAGGTGCCTGCTCCTAGCACCCCAGTCCTCCCCTACCGGCCCATGAGACCATGGAAGCAGAATAGAGTGCAGGTCTGTAAAATAGACCTTTCCCCCAAACCTGGACAGAAGTCATTTTCTCAATTTCTTTTTAACTCCTCCCACATCAGCCATTGGCTTTTCTAGCAAAAGCAAGAACATCCACCTCCCTAGGAAGTGGTTCGAGTTTATAGCCCCTAAAAAGACTTTAAGATTTGTGTTACGGGCCGGGTGCGGTGGCTCACACCTGTAATTCCAGCACTTTGGGAGGCTGAGGTGGGTGGATCGCATGAGGTCAGGAGTTCGAGACCAACCTGGCCAACATGACAAAACCCAGTCTCTACTAAAAATACAAAAAGTAGCTGTGTGTGGTGGCGGGAGCCTCTAATCCCAACTACTTGGGAGGCTGAGGCAGGAGAGTTGCTTAAACCTGGGATGCAGAGGTTGCAGTGAGCCAAGACCGTGACACTGCACTCCAGCCTGGGTGATGGAGCTAGATTCTGTTTCAAAAAAAAAAAAAATTGTGTTATGAAGATGGGAGAGGGCGTCTATGGAGCACCCGTTATGTGCTGGGCAGTTGTGCTCTGTCCTTGTACAACACTTCATTTAATCTGCACAGTCACCTGCAGCAAGTAAAGGATTACTGATTTCTCTGTTGCTGATTTCTCCTAACCACTACCATACCCTACGTAAATTCTCACAAGATTGTGTGCTGGTCTTTGCCCAGGGTGTCACACTGTTTGACTTAATCCCCACAACAACCTCTGCAAAGCAGGTTTTCCCCATCTTCAAATGTTTCTTGGGTGAGAAAACAGGTTCACTCAAGTTGGGGGAGCTGCCGCCAGTGACATCGAGTTCTCAGATTTAAGTTCTTCAGCCCATGGGGCACAGCTGCCTTCAGTTTTTGAAACCAGTGAAAAAAGCACCATGTGTCTTTCCTAAGTGACGTGGGGAGGACCCAGCACCCATCCATCCACTCTACCTCGCTGTTAAGGATCTCTACTCCTTTCAACCCTCAACCCCATCCCGTCCCCCACCCCATGGGAGGCCACAGGGGGAGAACTGGGGAAACCATGGCTCCCAGCACCGGAAGAGAAGGCTCTCTGCTCCCAGCCCCCACAGACACACTTCATTTCTCTTATGTGGCACCAAAGCAACAGTCAGGTGTCTCCTAGGACCCAGTTCTGCTTTTGGATGATGAGATTGTTATTATTTATTATTCAATATTATTATTTTTGAGATGGCATCTTGCTCTGTCGCCCAGGCTGCAGTGCAGTGGCGTGGTGGTCTCTGCTCACTGCAATCTCCGCCTCCCGAGTTCCACTGATTCTGCTGCCTCAGCCTCCCGGGTAGCTGGGATTACAGGTGTGCACCCCCACACCGGGCTAATTTTTGTATTTTTAGTAGAGACAGGGTTTCACCATGTTAGTCAGGCTGGTCTTGAACTCCTGACCTCAGGTGATCTGCCCACCTCGGCATCCCAAAGTGCTAGGATTCCAGGCGTGAGCCACCGTGCCTGGCTAATGATGAGATTTTTAAAAGGTAATAAGCATTCATGGTAGGGCATTGGGGGACCCCTATCTACTTCAAAGGGCTTTTGTGAGAATTAAAGTAGCATCTGGGTAGAGCAAGGCAGAGAACCTTGCACATTATCTATTGAATAGTGAATACTCACCAAATGATTGCTAATCTGTTTTTAATGCAGCTTTTATTTGAATGTGGGTATGGCTGATGCTCTGAGAATTTTGTCAACTGTAAAATATTAGGTTGGTGCAAAAGTAATTGGAGTTGTTGCCATTGGAAGTAATGACAAAACCCATAATTACTTTTGCACCAACCTAACACTTATTAAACAAGATTATATGAAGACCTATCACTGTCCCAGTCCAGGAGAGACAGATGGACATGGCATGAGATGCATGTAATGCTTTAATATGATTTCTAGAAAGTGTTCAGAAAGATTGTAATTGGGCATGTATGGAAATTATGGAACACAAAGGATATGCCATTTATCTCAAACTCAGCTGCCTCCAAATTAACTCTGAGGCCACAAGAGTTTGGTTAAAGATGTCATTGTGTGCTGGGTATATACCCAAAAGAAAGGAAATCAGTCTATCGAAGAAATACCTGCACTCCTATGTTTGCTGCAGCACTGTTCACAATAGCTAAGATTTGGAAGCAACCTAAATATTGCAGATGAAAGGTTAAAGAAAATGTGGTACGTATACATGGTGGAGTACTATTCAGCCATGAAAAATGAGATCCAGTCACTTGCAACAACGTGGATGAAACTGGATATCATTATGTTAAGTGCAATAAGCCAGGCACAGAAAGACAAACATCATATGTTCTCACTTATTTGTGGGATTTAAAAATTAAATTAAAACAATTGAACCCCTGGAGATAGAAGAAGGATGGTTACCAGAGTCTAGGAAGGGTAGATGGGGGTTGAATGGCAGGTGGGGAAGGTTAATGGGTATTAAAAAATAGAATGAATGAATAAGATCTACTATTTGATAGCATAATAGGGTGATTATACTCAATAATAACTTTAAATTTAAATTTTTTATTTAAAATTTAAAATTGGATTGTTTGTAACTCAAAGGATACAAACACTTATGGAGGTGGATACCCATTCTCCATGACATGATTGTTTCACATTACCTGCCTGTATCCAAACATCTCATGTACCCTGTAAATATATACATCTACTATGTGCCCAGAAGAATTTTTTAAAAAAGATGTCATTGTGTCACTGAGTACCTAGAGTCGGAAGTCAGCCACCAATAAAACACGAGGGATACTTCCAAGATGACCACCTAGATCCTGGGTTTAACACTGGAGATGGGCAGAGAGGCAATTCAGCATTGTCTGAAAAATTATTATCAACTGAAAGTCATATATATATATATATATACACACACACACACATGCATGCACAAACACATATATGAGATATACTTCAAATATATGAAATAAGATTTATTCTATATATACAGCTGACCATTGAACAACACGGGTTTGAACTGTGAAGGTCCACTAAGACATAGATTTTCTTCCTCCTCTGCCACTCCTGGAGAGAGCAAAACCAACCCCTCCCTCTTCCCTTTCCTCCTCAGCCAACTCAGCACAAAGGTGATGAGGAGGAAGACCGTTAATGATGATCCATTTCCACTTAATAGTAAATATATTGTCTCTTCCCTATGATTTTCTTAATAACGTTTTCCTTTTTCTACCTTTACTGTGAGAATACAGTGTGTAATACATGTAACATGCAAAATATGTCTTAAGCAACTATTTATGTCATTGGCTTCTGGAAAACGGTAGGCTATTAGTAGTTAAGTTTTTGGGGAGTCAAAAGTTTAATGAGGATTTTCAACTGCATGGGAGATTGGGCCTCCTAACCCTAGCATTGCACAAAGGTCAACTTTCTTTCTTTCTTTCTTTCCTTCTTTCTTTCTTTCTTTTTCTTTCTTTCTTTCTTTCTTTCTTTCTTTCTTTCTTTCTTTCTTTCTTTCTTTTTCTTTCTTTCTCTCTTTCTTTCTCTCTCTTTCTTTCTTTCTTTCCTTCCTTCCTTCCTTCCTTTCTTTTTTTCTCTCTCTCTCTTTCTTCTTTCTTTCTCTCTCTCTTCCTCCCTCCCTCCCTTCCTTCCTCCCTTCCTTCCTTCCTTCTTTCTTTTTTTTTTTGAGATGGAATTTCACTCTTGTTGCCCAGGCTGGAGTGCAATGGCACGATTTCGGCTCACTGCAAACTCCACCTCCTGGGTTCAAGTGATTCTCCTGCCTCAGCCTCCCAAGTATCTGGGATTACAGGCATGCGCCACCATGCCCAGCTAATTTTGTATTTTTAGTACAAACTGGGTTTCATGATGTTGGTCAGGCTGGTTTTGAACTCCTGACCTCAGGTGATCTGCCCGCCCTGGCCTCCCAAACTGCTGGGATTACAGGCGTGAGCCACCGTGCCTGGCCCAACTGTATTTCTTTTATACATAAATAAAATACTCCTTATAATAAAGTCACATGATGGTCACCCTTCTGTCTCTACCGCTTCCCACCTCTACACCTCCAGTGTTAGATATTTATATTTATGAAGTCATGATATTTCCTCTTGCTATAGTCATTGTGGTTTCCTCCTCTGTATGGTGAAGCCCACTGTGCTCAACTCCCTCTCTGAGGCTTCCTCCAAGTCTGTTCCCAGTTGTATCACTACACTGAACTATTTAGACATTTATCTTACACGTGACTATTATTCCTAACCTAAAGGGCCAAAACTATTTCCTAGATTACAAGAGCATTATTTTTTTTTTTAGACGGGGTCTCACCTGTTGCACAGGCTGAAGTGCAGTGGAGCAATCATAGCTCACAGCAACGTCGAACTCCTAGGCTCCAGTGATCCTCCCGCCTCAGCCTCAGGAGTAGCTATAAGTACACACCACCATGCCCAGCTAATTTCAAGAGCATTCTTTTAACAACACAGGGAGAATTATTTTTTTTTTCCTGTGCACATCTTGGAATTACCAACTGCGACATTGCTAAAGTAGCTCAGCTTGTTCTTTTGCTGTTGGCACACTTTAGGGTTTTGTTTGTTTGTTTGTTTGTTTTGCCGGAGACCGGAGTTTTATCGTTACTCAAATCAGTCTCCCTGACCATTTGGGGAGCAGAGTTTTTAAGAATAACTTGGTGAGTCGCGGGGAGCCAGTGATACAGGAGTGCTGATTGGTCAGAGATGAAATCCTAGGGAGTCGAGCTGTGTTCTTGCGCTGAGTCAGTTCCTCAGTGGGGGTCACAAGATCAGATGAGCCAGTTTGTTGATCTGGGTGGGGCCAGCTGACCCATCAAGTTCAAGGTCTGCAAAATATCTCAAGCATTGATCTTAGGAGCAGTTTAGGGAGGGTCAGACTCTTGTAGGGGTCCAGCTGCGTGACTCCTAAACCATAATTTCTAATCTTGTGGCTAAGTTAGTCCTACAAAGGCAATCTAGTCCCCAGGCAAGAAGGAGGTCTGCTTTGGGAAAGGGCTGTTACCATCTTTGTTTAAACTATAAACTAAGTTTCTACCAAAGTTAATTCAGCCTGGGCTCAGGAATGAACAAGGACAGCTTAGAGGTTAGAAGCAAGATGAAGTCAGTTAAGTCCGATCTATTTCACTGTCTCAGTCATAATTTTGCAAAGGCCGTTTCAATCCCTTCCTTCGGATTTTATAGCACCTTAATCTAAAGATGTGGGCTAGGAAGATGAGAAAATGCCATCGATCGCTCTGGCTTCTTTCTTTAGGTGACTTGTGAGGCCACTATAAACGCGCTGTCTTTCAACACAGTTCATCCCAAGTAATTTCCTTTGGGAAGAATGAAAGGAGTAGACAGAAGCAACAAAAATTTAGCTCTTCATTATAAGCAGATGCAAGAGCAAACAGATATTCTCAGTAATTACTATTTGGAATCACAGTACCATTAATTGATTACATTCATTGAAATACACCAGTAAGAAACAGGAGGATTTTTACAATTCCTTGAAGATTACAAGCTTTAGACAGATTCCACCCATACTTGAATTAGTGATCAAAGAAGAGTGGTGACATATTTAATTAGTAACCATAATACGGTATGGAATCCGCTCAGAATATTTTTAGACAAAATAACTGATATGCCTAGTTGACAAAATTTTTTAATTCGGAAAAAAATGTAAATATACCAAAACAAAACCAAAAAACCCAGAGAATAGTATAACATAGTATTCAGTATAAGGCCAATTCAGAATGAACACATTTCAATATTCTCATATTTGCTTCAGATCTTATTTTTTGATTGTGCTTTTTCTTGAACTCCAAGAATTCCTGGAATATTCTTTGAAATCGTAACTTCCATATCATTTATTAAATGTTTATTGATTATGCCATTTACTTTTTAAAATAATCTATTGACTTCGGACTATAAAATTCAAACACAATTGCTTTAGAAAATCTTCAGGTGGGCCGGGGGCGGTGACTCACGCATGTAATCCCAGCACTTTGGGAGGCCGAGGCGGGCGGATCACGAGGTCAGGAGATGGAGACCATCCTGGCCAACATAGGGAAACCCCGTCTCTACTAAAAATACGAAAAAATTAGCCGGGCGTGGTGGCGGGCCTCTGTAGTCCCAGCTCCTCTGGAGGCTGAGGCAGGAGAATGGCGTGAACCCGGGTGGCGGAGCTTGAGGTGAGCCGAGATCGCGCCACTGCACTCCAGCCTGGGCGACAGAGAGAGACTCCGCCTCAAAAATATAAAATAAAATAAAATAAATAAAATAAATAAAATGAAATAAAATAAAATAATCTTCAGGTGATACTTAATGATATAACTATGATTGAGGTAACCCTAAAATGTTATCTCAAATTATGCCTACTGAATCAGTTAAACAAACTGTTGCTGATTGCCTAATCAGTGCCAGGAATCACGGCAGTTTTGAGACACAAAGGTTGGGGTGAAAGTTCCTCGCCTTTAAGTCATCTTGTACATCAGGTCTGCCCTGTGGAGATATAATGCCATATAGCGAATATTAAACCTTCTAGTAGCCACATTAAAAAAAGGTCAAATTAATTTTAATATAGTTTATTGAGGACAATATGTCCAAAATATCACTCAAATATGTAATCAACATGAAGATTAATGAACTATTTTATTTTTTGTACTTATTTTTCCAAGTCTGGCATTGTACACTAACTTCTCTGATTTCAAGGACTCTATAGCCACATGGGGCTCCGGCTGCCCTACTAGGAAGTGCTGATGTGGAGGGTGGGTTTGTGGCTCACAGGTCCTAACAGAGCAACTGGGGAAGCTGTTGGCTGCATTGCCTTGAGCTCAGTGGTAATGGACGTTGGGGGTGGGGAGGGTGTTGAGCGGGTGAAGATAGAGGGGAAGCAGATGGAGGTGGATGAAGAAACCACCAAGTAGACTTGCTTAGAGAGACAGGTGGTAGGGGTGGTTGAAGATACCCCCAGGCATTGGGCCCAGGTGGCTGGCACAACACCGGGGAACAGCATGCAGAATGAAACTGTAGGATGGGAAGGTCTTTAGCAGCCACGTCCCAGGGGACGCTGCAGTCCAGAAAGAAGAGACCCACTGCTACATACTTGGGACCCGACCGCAACTCTAGATCTCCTGACCCTCAGAACAATGTCGTTGTTCACTGTACCACTCTGAGGCCAAGCTCAGTTTAAGTTCTATTGCCAGTTTTATGTCAGACTGGAGCTGCCAGTCAAGTCATAAAATACACCAGGAACCAAAATCTATCCACGAGCCAGTGAGAGTGGGTGCAGGAATAAAAACCATGTTGGAGAGAACAGAGCCAGAAATTACCAGGTACTTAGACACATGGAGGCATACTTTATATTGGATTTATTTCTAATCTCATTATCTTTCATTTATGTCAACTTCTAGAAACAGAAAGAGGGGAGGAGATATGGAAACAAAAAGGATAAAGATGTTAGTACACAAGAAGAGGGGGTACATCGTTTATGGGTTTTTTTTGTATACTTCATTTTACTTGAAAATGTCTATTTTGCATTTGTTACATGCCCTATTAGAGCAACATACCAAAAACCTAAAATGTAACAAAGTTATTAGCTCTAGTATAAGGCAGAATGCCCTTATGGACGTGTGTGTGTGTGTATGTGTGTGTGTGTGTGTGTGTGTGTAACAAAAGTTGCTAACATTTGCGCACTCAGAATGTGACAGGCACTAATCCAAGTGCTTCACATAGATGATTTCGCTTAATTCTCACAAGCCTGTGAGGTAGGTTCCATCACTGTTATTTTCATTCTGTATTTCAGGACATTGAGGCACAGAGATTAAGAAACTGACTACAAGGCCCGGCACGGTGGCTCATGCCTGTAATCCCAACACTTTGGGAGGCTGAGGCAGGTGGATCACTTGAGGCCAGGAGTTTGAGACAAGACTGGCCAATATGGCAAAACCCCATCTCGACTAAAAAATACAAAAATTAGCCAGGCGTGGTGCCGCACGCCTATAATCCCAGCTACTTGGGAGGCTGAGGCAAGAGAATGGCTTGAACCCAGGAGGTGGAGTTTGCAGTGAGTCGAGATCACGCCACTGCACTCCAGCAAGGGCAACAGATCGAAACTCTGTCTGAAAAAATAAAAATAAAAAATAAAAAACTGACCACAGTCCCTTGCTGACCAGTGGCAGGGCAGGGCAGGGACTCAAACCGAAGTGTCCTGGCTCTAGAATCCATGCCCGTAAGCCCGGCTCTCCATCTACTCCCAGCCACTCCTCCCCAATCTCCTTCCCAAACAAGAAACACTGATACACAGAATGAGTTATGAAGAACCTTGTGTTTTGATCATCTGGACAACAGAAAGCCCCTGTTTTAAGAGAAACACAGTGTGTTACTGATGGTGTCATCAGTGACGTGGCCCTGATGTGCCGCCATGCTCCAGCTCAACTACACCGGAGCAGCAACTGTTTTCACCCTTCTGGATTCAGCTAAGAATCACCGACCATCGAGAACCAGCTAACACCGAATGCATCAGAAAGAGCCAACTTCCACATAGATCCCTTCCTGGGCATATGCTTAGGGGCTCTGCCAAAACCTGAACAAGGCACATGGTAGAGATGACACAGCTCGGGTGCCTGTGCAGTAACGTGTCCTCACAGGAAGTGGTGATGCCTTGCTTTCATTCCCTACTATATCTTTGGCTTCACTACAGTCTTTGTGAAGCTTTCTTCACACCATACACAGGAACCTCTGGAAATAACTGTGCTAAGCTAAGCCCCTAGCACAGCGCCTAACACAGAGCAGGAATTCAAATTTGTGAAGTGAGTGCACAGCTCTCGCTGCCGTTTTAGAACACCTTGGGAACACTACCTTAATCCCAACCTCAGAAATCTTTAAGGAAGATAGCTATTAACTTCTTTCTCATTTTCTACTAGATGACCAAATTCCAACGATCACAATTCTATATTGAAAATTATTTCACAGTAAAACCAAATCAACCAAGGCAAGGAAACAATAACATCATAACATACGTATGGTATTTTACTGATGTATTCATTCATTCCAGGACACATCTCCCAGCTTCTACTTACATTTGCTAAACAGTTTGACACAGAAATTCTTTAGTTCTAGTTCTCTTCAACTGATATTTAATTTGAAAGTGTTCTTTAAGAATCCAAATACATTGGGCCAGGCGCGGTGGCTCGCGCCTGTAATCCCAGCACTTTGGGAGGCCAAGGCGGGTGGATCATCTGAGGTCAGGATTTCGAGACCAGCCTGGCCAACATGGCGAAACCCCGTCTCTACTAAAAATACAAAAAATTAGCCAGGTGTGGTGGAACACGCCTGTAATCCCAAATACTTGGGAGGCTGAGGCAGGATAATTGCTTGAACCAGGGAAATGGAGGTTGCAGTGAGCCGAGATTGAGCCACTGTACTCCAGTCTGGGCAACAGAGCAACACTCCGTCTTAAAAAAAAAAAAAAAAAAGAATCTAAATACATCAGTTCTCTGATCTAAGCCAGGTTCTTTCCTCATCTTTGTTTCCATTATATAAACAAATGATCTCTCACAGTAGTTACTGCTATTTTCCACTCTAGCCAATGATAAAACATGGGGATGGCAGCGGTGGGTGGGAATTCCGGCTTTTCTCCACCATCTTCTCTGCAATAAACTGAAAGACCTTATAAAAGATGGGTGCAGTTGAGGAAAAAGAATAAAGGTGGTCATGGGCAAATGAAAACTGGTTAATTGTCCGAAAACTATCAAGAACTGACCTGTGACCCAGACAGAAAGTAACTCTGCATGTCTCAACAGAGCACAGTATACACGAGCTTGAATAACCAGAAAGATGTTTAGCAACAAATCCTCCTCACAATCATGTGTTGAGTTCCAAAACACTTCAGAAAATAATGGACAATTACTTATTCACACATTTTAGACAGCAAATAAAACTGAATTGGTTTAGCAAGAATAATAATCTCTCACATTGGTGTTAAAATTATATAAGAATGTATTTTTATACCTAGAATCTCAAACTAGTGAGAGTCATTTCCCTGAACTCTTTGAAGTAAATACATATTCTCCCCTCTTTACAGGTAAGGGAAAGCTCAAACAGGAGAGGAATTTTTTTTTTTTTTTTTTTTTTAATACGGAGTCTCGCTCTTGTCGCCCAGGCTGGAGTGCAATGACGCCATCTTGGCTCACTGCAACCTCCGCCTGCAGGATTCAAATGATTCTCCTGCCTCATCCTCCCAAGTAGCTGGGATTACAGGTGCCTGCCACCACACGCCTGGCTAATTTTTGTATTTTTAGTAGAGACAGGGTTTCACCACGTTGGCCAGGCTGGTCTCAAACTCCTGACCTCAAGTGATCCACTTGCCTCGGCCTCCCAAACTGCTGGGATTACAGGCGTGAGCCACCGCGCCCGGCAGGAAATTTATTTAAAGTTATGCATGTAGTGACACAGCACCAACTCTTTTAGAGTCTGGGATTTACCTTGATAAGGTAACTGTTGGTACAAACTATCCAAAACCTGGCAGTATGCTTGCAGATGCATTACTTTTAGTGGTCAAGCTACGCTGTGGCATGGGGTTTGTGATGACAGTGAGATGAGATGATGCCCGCAAGAGGCTTAGTGCACTGCTTGTTTACTATCACTACAAACTGAACCTTTAAAATATGACGTAGTATTTAATAGCCGTATTTGGCAATACAACATATATACACAACATGTAAACTTTATCACATATACAAGAAATAACTTTTTATCACCAATTTTTGAGATGCATATTTTCCTTTATTGCTGAATTAATGAGGCACCAATAATCTCAAAAACACAAGTCAGACTTTATTCTGAAAATACCATAAAGAGACAAAAAGAGTTAGTCAAGTATTCTTGCCTGCTGGAGACACAGAATTTCAATAGCACCTTTTTTAAAAAAAGACATGAACATTTATAAAATTGCAGAACATATCTTACATATTCACATATAAAATCATGAACCAATAATAATCCGGATGGAAAAACTGATCTGTTTCATCAACATCAATAAACATTTTGTTGAGAGTTTGTTCCACATATTATACTTCCCTCAGTATATTAGAAGTACTTCAGCTTTCTATTTGAAGTGGTTTTCCTAAAAATAACCTTTTCCCCTGCTCAGGATAACCAGCTATTATTATAGTATACATATTATAATAACAAGGTATATGTCTTTGACCTCATATATGACTCCCCAGTTGCTACAGGAATAGATTTACTTTTCATACACAAATTGGAAAAGATGTCAAATATTGATGATAGTATCGAAGAGTTGTAGCTACTCTAAACTGAGTAAATTAGCGATTGTACAGACGAGCACTTCATAATAGTTGAAGGTTTTAAATTCAGTTAATTACATGAATATTTGACAAGTATGTGAATGTTGTAAATATTTTGACCAAAGTACTAATTTTGATTCTAATGATTGCATGTTACATAGTCTCTATATAATGTCAATTATACTAAGTGATAACGTAATTTCAAGTTCTTTAATCAAAAAGTGTGAGTTACTCGTAATGAAAACTGGCCCAAAAGGAGGGAGAAAAAATCTTGTTTATAAAGCAAGCCATGCAAAACTACAACGACATTGCATTGTAGCTTTCCACCAGATACGGAATATCTGCCAAGAAAATATTTCACTCAATCTTCAATCTAAACACTACTAAAAACAAATTAAGGTTAAAATTATTTTACTATGCGCTTGCAATTATACACACAAAATACTGCTTTGGTAGACATTTCTCTCTCTTTTCACATTTTTTGTGGTACATATCTGGGAGTTACTGTGTGTCTATAATAAGCAAATTTTATATTTCTATATTTCCTTTTCATTTTCTAAGAGTTGGGGTCTCGTGCTGTTACCTAGGCTGTAGTGCAGTGGTATGTCCATGGCTCACTGCAATCTCAACCTCCTGGGCTGAAGCGATCCTCCCACCTCACCCTCCCGAGTAGCTGGGACAAACTACTCAGTGTACGCCACCATGCCTGGCTAATTTTTTTTAATTTTTTTGTAGACAGGTTCTCGATATGTTGCCCAGGCTGGTCTTGAACTTGGCCTTATTTCCTTCTATCTATGATCAGTCTAGTTAGATCACTTGATTGACACAGACCTATTCAAAGAATATAATTATGAACAAAGGAAAAAATAAAGCTTATGTAACCCATATTAAGCAAAATTGTTGCCACTCTAAATTTTAAAAATCACATGGAAATGAAACATATGAAAAACTATCAGTATGTATGGTGTAAGAGTTAGCCAGATCGGCACTTTTATTCACCAACTTAGTTAATTTAAGGCATTTGACATGTTTCACTGAGATCACTTAATGATTACAGAATTGCCAAGCAAATTAACATCGGCCATGCATCTTATAAATTGCAGATGAATTTATATAACCAAACTAATATACTGCTTAACAGTTTTGATTATTTTAGTGTATTTTTTTAAAACTTTGCTCAAAGCTTAGGGAAAAATATTGTGAAGAATGCAGGGCCAGTCATTAAGCCTATTTTATGTACTGGGAGACTGTTGGTGAATTTTAGGGTCAAAAAATGTTAAACAGCACAGCCATTAGAGACAGTGAAAGATTTTATTTTTTTTTTTACTTTCATCCAAACACACCCTTTTCTGAAAAACATAAAAGCATGCACATCGACGGCATTCTTATAAAGAAAAATTAATAACTAAGCTGTAAATCAGTAATAATACAAACAAAAGTTTAAATGATATGTGAAAAGACTTACAGGTAGGTATACGGCTCTTAATTTTAGAAAATAATTCAAGTCAGTATCAATACAGGTTAAGGAGAAGCTTCTAATTTTCCAAACATTTTGATACAAAATTTTTTTCAACGACTGTATTTTATAGACCTTTTGTGAGAAGATTAGTATAGTTCTATGAAACCTAACATTCAAGTGATCTTATGCAGGTCAGGCTACCTTGTTAAAATGAGTTAGAATCCACATAATTCCAACAGTATTGCCTCTCAAAGTTCAAATTTAGAACATACCCATTATATTCAAAATATATTAAATCCCTGTACTTAACAAAGACATGGAATTGATCTAAATTTTACTTTACAGGTAAGAGAAAATTACAATTCAGCATGAGGAAATTTTCATAAGTTTTACCCATGCCCCGATTATTAGGCCAACTATATCCTGAGTGTCCATGGATGTGTGCATACATTCTAATGTACACAAACCAATTCACACCACACGACTCTTCAAAGATGATGCTTGAAAGAGTTTATTCTCTGGCATGGGAGAAGCAGTGTAACACAGTCACTTAATTTTCCCTTAATCATTATTTCTTTCATTTTGCTTATCATGATCCAACTGGTATGTTTAATGTGGGCCACTGATATATTTCTGCAGCAAAAATCCAGTAGCAGTAAGCAGAAATGTCAACTTAAAGGACTATGAGGAAATCGAAGTTTAAATTATAACACAAAAATAGAACAGTTCACACTGAAAGGTCTTCTCCCATGGGATATATTGTTCCATGGCTAAAAATCGTGATCTGGTTCCTGGAACACAGCTCTTGCTCTAAGGCGATACATATTAATGTGTAGCTCCACTAAACCTAATGGGAAATAAACAAATTCGTTCAGTCATGACAAATTAAGTCTGTATTTCACTGGCTTGAGAAGGTGAACTTCTTGACACAGACAAATGCAAAATGCCTCTGCAGTAGCTGGTGAAGCCCACTCACAAGGGCTTAAAGAGTTCAACTCTGAAAGTGGGCAGCACAGGCTGGCTCTGCATTTCTTCCTAGCAAGTCTGCGTGCAAGCCGCTGAGCAGCACCACTGACGGGATCCAAGGGAAGGACCAGAGCCCAGTGGGAATCCACCACACTACAGAAACGCGACTTCTGAATGAATATTCTGTGAAATCAAAGAGAAGCAGGCAAAAGGCACACGCTAGTAAATCTAGGCAGAATGTCTGCAGGCTCTCATCACCTTAAAAATCTTGTGAACTTGGGGTCCAACCAAGGTTCACACCGACTCTTTTGATATTAAAAAAACAAAACAAAACAGAAAACCTTAACGTTTTCAAGCACTTATGGCACAGACAAAGGGAAGTACTAATAGTGTAGCTTAAATCTTCAAAAAGCTGGGAAATTTAAAGTTCTGCTATAATGAATCAGAGTCACAATTTTAAACTTCGTTCTCATATTTTATACCATTTTCTGTGTGTACAGGGTGTGCAAATTAAGCAATTTCAATAAATATTAGAAATTTATTTTGCAAATATAAAATGAGTAAAATCAGCTAATAACGCAATACAATAAAATCATGTGCTAAACAGAGCTTTTTCCCCATGAACACTTTTTACCCTTTCCTTTGAACATCCTGACACTTCCTAAATACAATTTATTTCACTGACTTGTAGAAATAAGCAAAAGATGAAATATTAACTAGCTGCAAGATACTAAATACTTTAGTAATAAGAGCTTGGAGCTGTCAAGTTGTAATAAATTGAAAATAACAGAAAAAGTGAAATACGCTGCAAATTAATGCTCAAAAATGCAGCCATCTGACTTGCAAAATACACAATCCTCCCAGCCTTCTCAAGTTGTCATTAGTTCATAGGAAATGGACAGAGCAGGAGAAACTCCATTTAGCTTTTACCCTTCCAGCAGCCCCGATGCTAAAGTTGTACAACCAGGTATGTTTGCCCAAGACCATTGCATATCAGCTTTCGTCACAAATTCTATTATCCAATCTTCAATCAACAAGGCTTTATTTACACTCCTTAATAAATTCAGGAAACAATTTGATGTCATGTGCAGCCGCCAAAAATAGACAATGTAGCACATCCCACTGTCTGGAGACAGCTACTTGTCTATGCTTTAATAGTAACCCACAGGCAGCCAAGTAGGGTTCCATATATCCAGGTGTTCACATACAGCTTCCTTCCAGCATCGGTCATAAGCATGCCTGCAGTCAAACCACTTAAGATCAACATTGATGGTAAAGTCTTCTTGATACTTAATTTGGAATTAACACTTTTCCCAGGAAATCTTTTTCTTCTTTCTGGATCTGGTGACTCATAAAATTCTATAAGCATCCTATGGCCAGAATGGAAAAAGTTTAGATTTTAGTCACTTCAGTATTTCAATTCAAAAAATATCAATCAGGTAGCTATTACACGCTGGAAAAGTTATGCAGGTCCCTGGAAAATAAGGATGAATACGGAAACATCCAGAAACTTGGTTTAATAGAAGTTTCTAGTCTTCTAAAATATCTTTAATATGCTCTATGATTAGTATACATGAATTGTATATGTAATATTTCAACAGGTGGTTTTAAGGCATTTTATGAGGATGCTTTTTGTCTTTTAAACTTTTGATAAAGTTTTACAGTGACCTGACTCACAAATGGCTAATAACCCGCTGCAGCTTCTCCTCCTTTTTACATGGAGCTCCTATTCCGCCAGAAGTCAAAGATAGGACCAGCGGTTCTTAGACAGCGGTCCCTCTGTATCGACAGGGGGCTGGTCCCAGGATACCCGGCAGAGACCAAGATCAAAGGATGCTCAAGTCCCTGATATATGAATAAAATGGCATGTATTTGAATATAACATATGCATATCCTCCCAAATCCTTTTTTTTTTTTTTTTTTGAAAAAAGGCACTCTGTTACCAGGCTGGAGTTGGCACAATGATAGCTCACTGCAGTCTCAACCTTCCAGGCTCAGGTGATCCTCGCACCTCGGCCTCCTGAGTAGCTGGGACTACAGGTGCACGCCTGGCTAATTTTTGTATTTTCTGTAGAGACAGGGTTTTGCCATGTTGCCCAGGCTGTCTTGAACTTCTGGGCTCAAGCAATTTGCCTGCCTTAGCCTCCCAAAGTGCTGGGATTACATGCATGAGCCACCACAGCCAGCCCCCTTTTTTTCTGAGTATTTTTGGTCTGTGCTTGGTGGAATCCATGAATGTGGAATCCATGGATATGGACTGCTCACTGCACCTGGGCTGTCTCAAAAACGCCTTTATTCCCACAGAATTAGAAAGGCAGGTAAAAGAAGGAAAACAGCATAGTTAACTCATTTTCCCATATTACATAAGATTTGTAAAGTTATGATAGCAGAACATACCCGATATAATAATCTAAAACACAAACAGAAAGGGAAAGCGCTTCTATTGCTTTATAAATCACACACCCTAGCAATAATCATTGTTTTAAAATGTCCAGAGGTATTCTAAATACTTATAAAATAAGTAGGACATTAAATACATTAGTCTTTTTTCTGAGAACATATTTTCATGTCAATACATGTAGATCTTACTTTTAAATTTCTTCCATGGGCCAAAGTGGTCCTGAATGGCTCGCTGAATACATTACATCATGTACAGTTAAGAGTCAATGAAAAATAGAAGCTTAAAGTTTCATTGTTAACCTATTACACTTTTAATCATTTTCACCTGGTAAAGTTAACCCAGGAGGGTTAATTAAAAACACTGTACTGTAAAACAAGGAAAAGAAGAACAATGATAGTTTCTTGAGCAGAAAGTACATATTTAGAGAATAAAACAATTGGCTAAAATTTCTGAATATAATTAACCACAGAAGACACTTTGGATATAACGCTGTCAACTGCCCCCTTCTATTTCCAACAAATATAACAGCATCATGTCCACCTGCACGTCCGCATAGTCCTCTACCCCTCCCTTGCTTTTCTGCGCACACTGGCCCAACAGCCAGACCTCACACAGTAACACCACTTTATGTGACCTGACAGGTAGGTCCGGGCATCTGACACTGGAAAGTTTTTTTGTGTGTTTGTTGTTGTTTTTAATTTAATTTGCTATGTTATCACGTAGTATTGTCCAAGAAATACTATCAATGCAAGTAGATGGGCCCACTGTAACAAGTTCTTTTAGACTGATTTGTACAAGTAAAGTTTAAAACACGATCAGACATGCATAAAATTTGATTTGAATTTATAAAATGTATTCTTGAGACAATATAACCATTTACATTGGTTTCAAATTGTTGACTATACTGAAATCTAGTTGAACCGAAGTTCCGGAAGTGCTGGAACTGTTGTTACTCACTTATCTTTGATTTCGAAACGTTCATGCAGCCATCTTCTCATATGTTCTTGTTCTTCTGGGACATCTTTTTTGTCGATACGATCAATGTGAATATGAATTTTTGGACATTCTTTGCAGAGAAATTCTAACAAAGAACAAAAATAATTCTTTTTTTTTACTATTTTAGAACTCATGGTCATATAAAGTAAAAATGAAAATAAGGTAACAGGACAAAAAAAGTTGTAAAATGAAGAAAAAGTACAGATTCCTTAGGAAAAATAAACAAAAGTTAAAAAAAAAGGATTATAAACTGGTGGTTGGGGGTTTCAAGCTGAAGTAGAAGAGCATGTTATAATTTCTAAGTCAACTACAATTACATAAGTCATTAAGTTAAATCAATAGTACCAAATGTTATTTTTCATGTGACAACTTTTAGTGCTATAGACAGCCCAGGAATAGGAAGCTGGAGCCTCCTCTAAGTCCATACTCACCTCTCTGAAGGGACCCGCAAATGCCTACCACCACCAGCCCCATCCTAGTGTGTCACCTGTCACCATGGTGACTGCTGCCTCCCCACCAGACTGCGAGCTCCACAGGGGCCGAGAGGAAGCTGGTCTGGCTCACGATGGCACCTCCTGACCTGGCACACAGCTGGGCACTCACAGGCGCCTGATAATCCTCAACTTTGCTTGTCGCCTGACACACAGCTTCTCGTCACTGACTGCTACACAGCCACAACAAACTTGGGGGAGCAATTGCCCCTCCTCTCTAACTTGGCCATTGGTTTCTAATCATTGCCACTCCTTGCTTTCCTGATACTTGCCATATTTTAACATATTATATAATTGGTAAAAGAACCAAAATTATTACTGTGGAATAGCCATGAGCCCTGTAAACAACTGTAGTTTCTAAGACTTGCTTATTTGAAAAAAGGAGACAGTCTTTTTCAGCCTCGATTGCACAAGGTATGAGGCTATTATTTATTCCAAGAAAGAACGGAGACTAGAAACTCCCTTCTTTGTAGGGGGCTCCCTGTGGACAGGTAAGAATGTTAACATATTTAAGTTCCTTGAAGAACAAAGAAATATTCCTAAGATTTAAGAGCTGACTAAGGTAGGGAGGTATGCCGAGTGGGAGGCTGAGACCTTTGGCCTCAAATTGAAAATGCGTTCAAAGACGTGTTCTGAGAAATGATGAATTCTACACTCCACCGTCCGAGGAAGACTTGTCTTTGCTCCTTCAACCCCACACACTTCCCGTTTTTGCTAAGTACTCTCTGCAACTGCTCTTCTTGACTTCAGTGTCGAGCTCTTAGTAACATGCAGCATTTAGGTGATCAAAAATACCCTGTATTCTTACACACTTCCAGGAGTAAACTGGCTTTAATAATACATGTGCAAAACACTAAAATAAAGATTTTAATTTTTCATTATTTTTGTCTTAATTTTCCTACAGTACTATCATCTGAATAATCAAAGAACTGCTTAAAAAGTATTTTTAGCAGCACAACTGTGCCCTAGGGAAGAGCACACATGGTGGAGTCAGGTAGCCTGGATCTCCACCTCTGGGGTAACCTTGGACAACTGTCCGCCTCTCTGTGCCTAAGGGTGCAAGTCTATAAAGTAGGGATAATAATAATAGAAGATTTCAAGCACCTACAGGAGTGCTTGGCACACAGTATGCACTATGTGTTAGCTATTATAGTGTTTTAGCCACAAATTACTTCTCACCCTATCTTATTTCTATTTCTGACACATAAAAAGACAGATTCCGACACCAATTTTCCTGCCTTCACTGAATTATCTAGATCTCCACCTCAACATTTCCATAATTAAGTAATCACCTGGTCAACACTGCAGATACCCGGTATTTCAAGTGCTGGCATACAGATTGTAAGGAAGATGGAACAGACTGCATTTCGAATGTCAGAAATAGAATGCTTCGTGGAGTACAGTGCTCAGGACGTGGCAGGGCCTCTACTAAGACGTCAGCTTTGGAAGAAGAGGCAGTGCTGCTGAGACAAAAGCACTCCGAAATGTGCATGGGTCCTTTTGTTTTTCCTAAAACGTACATGTGCTCAGAATGTGTTTACGGCATGCTTTTGAGTATGTTAATTATTTCATTTGATCTCTGCAATTCTACGCAGGCAGGGGCTGTTATTATCTCCTTGTAAGATGAAGAAACTAAGTCTCAGAGACGACCAAGGCCCAGCGTAGCCATGGTGGGGCTATAACAGCCAAGTCCCTAAGGTTCAGGACCCAGGTAGGGACAATGAGAGGAGCATGCGACAAAGTGGAAAGCAGTTCAATGTCAAATGCCATTTAGGAGGTTCTAACACTGAAGGGAGGAAATAAGTGGTATAAATACTTCCTATAGGTTTAATAAAGTACTTATATATCCACATTTGCAAAAACTATCTTAGTTGAAGGATAGTTCATGTTACATGAGTAAAAATCACCCTATAGCACCTTAGGGAATCTAGGAAAAAATACTCTAAGATATTATTGTTTTTCTACCCATAAATTTCTAGTAGGCACTAAAGTATACTGATACACTTGGGTAATAGAGAAAGTCTTCCAACTATTCGTACAGGTCACAGGTCTACTTGCTGCAAAACCAAGCCCCATTTGCTCTGAAGGCAACACACAGGACCCACATTCCAACAAGATGAAGCCGGGGAGATAACTGCTGTTAAATCACATCAATGAACACTATATAGCCTTTAAAAAAAAGTTACGGAAGTATATATACTGACATGTACAGCTGTTTATAACACACAAGAAAATATGAAGAACAGGAGATATAGACACACACAGAAATCTCATCTTTAAAAAATACGTAAAGGCACATACTCTCTCCAACATATAGACATTATAAAAAAGAGGATTTAAAGGAAAATATCCAAATTGTTAAAGGAAAATATCCAAATTGGGGTTACCGCTGGACAGGTGAACTTGTGGAGATTTTTCCTTCTTCTTTGGGTTATCTGTAATCCCCTCTTCCCTGATCCCTTTTTTTTTAGGCGGATTCTTGCTCTGTCAGCCAGGCTAGAGTCCAGTGGCACGATCTTAGCTCACTGCAACTGCTGCCTCCCGGATTCAAGTGATTCCCCTACCTCAGCCTCCTGAGTAGCTGGAATTACAGGTGCCTACCACTGTGCCCGGCTAATTTTTGTATTTTTAGTAGAGATGGGATTTCACCGTGTTGGTCACGCTGGTCTAGAACTCCTGACCTTGTGATCCACCCGCCTCAGCATCCCAAAATGCTGGGATTACACGCGTGAGCCACTGTGCCCGGCCTCCATACTTTAAATATAAAAATATTAATAGAAATGGAAAGTAAATATGTTGTAATATGAAAATACTGGTAGAAAAAACTTAACTAGGATCATACACAATACTCAAATAGAATACCAAAGGTTGTCCTTAAGCACACAATTTATTACATTACAACAGCCACTTCAGAAAAATAATTAAAAAAAAATCAATAGTAATCAAACTACACTGTTTCGTCTCTGCCGCAATGACATCTTCCATGATTACAAGAAGCAGTGAACCATGAGAGAATGCCCAGGTGGGCTTTGATTTATACCTCCCTTAAAATGAAACTTACACCATAAAACGGGAAGGACAAGGGACACTACTGGCTGCCTCTCCTCAACATAAGACCTCATGAAGGTGACTACAAGAATTCCTGTAGCATTTGTTAGCACTGCAGCTTCTACAGCTTCCCAGCTCTCACCTGCAGAGCGTCCTGGTAGCAACGTGGAGTGGAGCAGAGGCCCTGCATGTTCAACAATCACTGCAGCTAATTCTGACAAACAGTGATCCCCCAGAATGCTTTGAGAAACACTGGGCCATGGCATATCAACAATCTACCAACTTCAGAAAAAAATTATTTCTTAATTGCATCATAAAATATGAATATTAAATAGCCTACTATATATAGAGATAATATTTAATACTAATGAAATGTGGCCACAAAGTACTTACAGTATTCCAAGTTACAGAATTTTCTACCTAACACAACTTATATCAGATGTCATATAATTTAAAGTGACTCTTAAACTAAAGTAGATTATAACCAGACCAGAACACCCATCAATTCATATAAACAATTGAAAGCAGGGCTGAGCCAGTGACAGAAAACAAAAAAAAACAATGAAAGCAGAGTTTTTTCAAGCTACAGGTTAAAAGCAACACACTAGAAGGAAAAACGTGTTATTATTATATCTTATGTGCACACGTATACATGTTGAATAATGTCTCAGAAAGCGGGAATGCTAAATCTAAAATGTGAATGCATTTGTACATCTGAGAGACATTTCCAAAGCAACTTCTACAAAGGTTTGTACTACATTGCATTCCTAACAGCAAAGTATAAAAATGCCTGATAATACTTGAATCTCACCCACTGAGCCTATGATCAAACCTTGGGATGTTTGCCAATCTAATGGATTAAAAAAAAAAAAGGTATCCCCTGTAGTTTTCATTTGCACTTACCTTATCATGAATGAGGTTAAATGTGAAATGTCTATTGTTGTTCTTTACCCATTTTTCTTTCTAGTTATCAGTCATCTTCTTATCAATTTGTAAGTGCACTTTACGCAAGAAGGAAATGACCCCTTTTCTATGATCTAGGTTGTAAATAATTTCCCAGTTTGTCTTTCAGTCTTGATTTTACTCTGGTGTATTTTTCCTTTAATTCAGAAATACTTTATCCTTGACTGAAGTGATAAGATTTTATTTTCTTTATGGTATCTGGGTAAGTCAGAAAGGTCAATCTTTCAAAAGGAGACAATTTGTAATGAATACACATAGGCAGTGACCACCCCAAAGCCACAGTCAGCTCACATGTAGCAGAGGATAAGCAGGGCAGTGGGAGGTTGGAACCCAGGCAATGCAACTCACAGAAGGTTTTGGCTTCCTCAAGGCACTTATGATGCGGCTGGGAAGAGAGAAAGGCAGAGCCCTGTGCTAAGTGCCAGCACTGTAACACACGCCATCAGTGCCACAGCAGTACTGCAAGAGCAGGGGCAGGAGAAGGCACAGTGCTATGCTGGGAAAGGTGCCGCCTGTCACTGTGGGAGAACAGTAGCCTTGGATGAGGGCAACAAAAGAGAGGGTGGTTTCCTGTGGAAAGCAGGATTGGCCACACAAAGCCTTCAACTACTGAATATGCATGGGGTGCAGGAGGACTCAGTCAGCCAGCTTCACCACGGCCGAGGCTTCACGGCACAGCACAGGAGGAAGCGAAGGCAAGGCAGAGATCACGGCTGGAACGCATTCCTCCGATGGCAGGCAACAGAGGCTGGCCTTACCCATGAGCTCTGCTGAACCAAGGGGTTCTTAGACAGGAGGGGACATGATAAAAGTAGCAGCATTTAAACAAGGTTATTATGGGGAGTCTATCTGTTTTTCATTGGTTATAAACACTTGTTTAATCTTAAACTATGTTTAATAAACCAACGACAATCTTGATGAACTGTCTGTTTTCAAATGCAAAAATAGGTAAGTAACTCCTTCGATAGTTTAAAAGAGAAAAATATTAATATGCCACTTTTCTGTAAGAAGGGAGGGATGGTAGAATAAGAAGATATACTTAAATTTGCACATACAACGCACAACAAATTAAGAAAACTGGTTATCGCTAGGAAGGAGAAGGGAAGGCCAGGTAGCAGGGTGGAAAGCAAGGAAGACGTTTCACTGTGCATTTCGTACAGTTTTAATTTTTAAACTGATGCATTACATATTCTAAACATTTACATCTAAAATGAAAAACACCTTAGTTTTCTACTTTACAATTACTCTGTGTTATATACAATTATGAGAACAATCATCTTTCAGATATAAATATGTTACATTTTTTTTTCCTTCGACCATAACCAATTTTTATACTAGCTAGCCCCTGGGCCTCACTCCTCCAGCCTCCCTCCCTAACTTTCTGCAGTAGACAGCTGCTCTCTCTTTCAGTCAAAGAGCTTTTCTTTTAAAACCTGAGTGACCCTCATCTTATCATTATTTAACAGACTAATCATTTGACAACTATAATCTCACTGAACTTTGGAAAAATCCCTAACATCCAAAGATGACACACAGACAGTGTTAGATAATGTAACGGTGCACAGTACTACGTCTAGAAGGCCTACGTGTAAGGTTGGGCAGAATAATTTCTATCCTTGCTCACTTCTGAATGCTTTAATAATGTCTACTTTTATAAATGTTTTGTTGTAGTTAAAAATATTACTCTATAAAATTTCCAAGGCACATCAACTTCAGACGAATGCTTCAGGTGAGGGTTTCCATGTAAAACGTGCTGGAGGCTCATATTTTGAACATCTGCCCTCAGTAGATCCTACTGATACAAGCACACTGACATACATAGTGGCTCAACCCCAAACAGCTGATGAGGTAAAAACACAAAGCTCATTTGGGAGGCCGAGGTGCGTGGATCACCTGAGGTAAGGAGTTTGAGACCAGCCTGGCCAACAAGGTGAAATCGCATATCTACTAAAAATACAAATATTAGTCATGCATGGTGGCACACGCATGTAGTTCCAGCTACTCAGGAGGCTGAGGCAGGAGAATCGTGTGAACGTGGGAGGCGGAGGTTGCAGTGAGCCAAGATTGCGCCACTGCACTCCAGCCTGGGCGACAGAGCGAAACTCTTGTCTCAAAACAAAAAACGAAAAACAAAAAAACCCCATGAAGCCTAGTGTTCTCTCTCAACCCCAGCTCAAACAGATATTTTGAAAAGGAAACAGAAACTCCACACACTTCCCTGTTTGCCTATTTCCATGTTTACATTTCTCTAACAGCTAACACTATGTTTGGTTAGTTTAACTAAGTTATCCTGCTCACTTAAAATTCTATTTTTTTCTGGTTATATCTGACAATAGCTCAAAGGTTCTTAAAACCTAACATGTTTGGGGAAAAAAAAAGGTCACACTTAACTGCATTTCTTCTTGTCACAATGACACCCAAATTTAATAAATATTTTACGAAAAATACAGCAAAAGGGCAGCACTGACTAATAACGTGCACTCAGTACTGCCGGGCGTGCTCCTTCTTCACGTCTTCCTCCCTTTTACAGAGCTTTCCTTTTAAGTGTGAACTTTGAGTAGAAAGAGGCTGGATTAATGATAATTGGTGAGTCCACAGGACTCACACGACAGCCAAGAAATACCACACTTTGCAGGACTAATGAAATCTCCACTGTTACATCTTAATAACATCTTGAAAAATATACCGGGTAAATGTAATGAAGGAAAAAAGTACACTTAACCTACTTTGTAAAACTGAATTCTACATAAACATGTGCACTGTATATACCGTGTACAGGCATTTCAGGTGCGTGAACACACTTACCCGTCATGGTCGGTGACTCTCTTCGCTGCCCTCCATCGTCTTTCCCTTCATAAACCACCGTAACATCATAAATTGCATCTAAATAATTCTTCATGCAATCAAAAGCAACGTGAGTTGCCTTTATTCGTGGTGTTAGCACATGTTTTAATACTGCAAGGCCTAGAAGTCAATTCAGTGCCGTCATTAATTAGTTACAAAACACCTCCACAATATACTGTTTAACATCTAAATTATTTTTAAATTCCCTCAAACACACACAACAGAATCTATTAATTCCACAACCTCATATATTTAGGGCTCTAAGTTTAGAAAGCACTCTCACTTGCCTTTTTCTGTTTAAATCAATATTCATTTGCTATATATTGATCAAATATCTACATGTACAAGTCACCGTGTTGGAAGTTTATGGCCTAGCGGAAACGCTTCAATCTAGTAGACCCCGGCAAGGGTAAATATTAGTGCCCTCGCTTCTGGCCACTGAACAAAGGTGATAGCATCTTGCCCATGGTGACTCAAGATTTCCTAGAAATACAGTCACACAGCACATGGCCTCCTGTTTCTGGCTTCTTTCGCTCAGCATGGATCTGAGGTTCATCTGTGTGGCTGCAGGACTCAGTGCTTCATTCCTTTTTATGGCTGAATAGTTAGTATTCCACTGTGTGAACAGATCACATTTTGTTTACCTATTAATTGCTTCATGGACATTTGGGTTGCATCCATACTTTGGCTATTATGAATAATGCTGCTATGAACATTCATAGGAATTGCATATGAAGGCTGCAGGTGAACAAGCTTTTGTATGAACATACGATTTCAATCCTCTTGGGTATATCTGACATATTTTTAAAAGGTTCTTTAGCTGGGGGACTACTGCAATTATCCAGAACAAATCCCATTCATTAGGTTCCTACTAGGGTTAAGGATTTGTTCTTCTCTCCTTCCTATTACCTCCCTTTTCCTTGATTAAAATATTTACTGACAATTTAACAGAAAACAGTAGCTCTCAATAAGTGACATGAAAATAGACTATAAAAAACTAGTCTAGATTTTCTACTGGCCTCTCTGGAGGGAAAGTAGCTGAGTAAGGAAGAACAGCTATTACATGGTGGGACTGTCCCACACAAGAGGTTTTAAAATGCAGGGTGGTGTGGGAAAGACAAAGATTCCCACAAGCACGTATCTGACTTTAGTCCCCAGGGCAGGGGCAGTTAAATTGATTCACAAACTTGCAACAAAAATCTCAATCGCACACCAAGCTGGGAAGCATTTATTTGTCAGTTAAACTAGTTAACACTTCCTTCTTTGCTACTGGAGCTCATCCAACTTTATGAAGTCCAAAGTTTCAAAATATCACTCTGTGGTGTTCACTAAAACAACTAATTACTGGCATCCAAGTAAGTTAGTAAGGAAATAAAGACAGAAAGCTAGTATTTTTAAAACATAAAAGGAAATGAATTATCATGAATGTTTTAAAAAAATAGCTTTGTGACTAGGCTTCTGCTCCAGAACGCGTAGATAAAGCCACACCATAACTAGAAGGGGAATGGCCAAGAGGAAGACATGCAGAGCATGCCTGCGTGCACCCACCTGCCATGCAAAGATAAGTGGAAGAGCAGGAGGCAGGGAAACAAAGAGAACACGGAGCCGGGCGCGGTGGCACGTGTATGTCTGTAGTCCTAACTACTCAGGAGGACTGCTTTAGCCTGGAAGTTGGGGAGTGGGGGAGAGAAGGAAGAGAGGGAGGGAGAAGAATGCAGAAAGAAAAGAGAGAGAGGAGAGAAAGCAAGCAAGCAAGAGAGAACGAGTGAGGGAAGGAAGAAAGGGAGGGAGGGAAAGAAAAGAAGGAAGGGAGAGAGAGCGAAAGAAAGAAGGAAGAAAGAAGGGGGAGAGAGAACATGAGTTCAAATTGGGCATACTGAGGCTGAAGGAACAAAACATTCTAGAAGTAGTTGGAAATATGGTCTGTAAAATGGCAAGAATCAACCGAAGCTAAGCATGTGGAAACCATGGGAATGGATAACTGAAGTAATGGCAGTGGCTGAGAATAATAAAGGGCAGAAGATGAAAAGGCAAGAAATACAGACTCCGGAAACATCCACATTAAAAAAAAAAAGGTAAAAATAATAACAGGGAATACGACAACCCAGGAAATAAAAAAAGGGGGGAAACCAATGTAATACAAAAACAAAGGGAAGAGATGTTTAAAGGAAGAGGAGGTGATATTTATCTTCAACAAGAAAAATTATACTCCATTGTTTATTTCTACAATAAAGTTAAAATTATTTCCTGGTTATAAAGGTATAAATAATGTCAAAAGTTATGTGAAAGTTAACAAATATGACAACTGACACAAATGATACGATGCTTTGGAGGTCAGTGGTTAAGTGAGAAGTGGGATTCATTTCTGGAGAGTGGATGGAGTCAAACACAAGAAAGCAAGGGGCCCAGACTTCTCTTTGCACAGCTATAGACTTAGTTATTTCAGAATTGGAGTACATTTGCAAGCTGGGAGAAACCCCTGCAGAGAAGTAAGGCAGATGACTGAGGCAACGATGGAGACAGGGTAGACGGAATCAAGAGCTTAGAAACTGTTGACGTTGCCATGTCTAAGAAGAAAATTTTTCTCCAAAGTTTTCTTCTTAGACATGGCAGCTTCAGCAGTTTCTTCCAAAGAAATCCAAGTCAAGAGACTCCACATTAAGATTTTGAAATCAAAAGGGATATTGGGTGCACTCTTTCCAGAGAAATATAACTTTCTGAAAGCAAAAAATCCTTGAATGTGAAGAGAACAAAAATCCGTGAAAACCATGAGGTAGTCAAAAGGAGAAAAATAAAAGAACTGCTCCACACAGACTTGGCTCGGCTGAAATGAAATGGCCTGGCTTGGCTGCAGAAGGCAGTCAGCATTGATCTTACGATGTTCTCCACTGCTAAGGAAGGGAGAAAACAAACAGGGTTGCCAAGGGCTGAGGAAAGGCAGGGCAGGAACAGAACAGCCCAGCACTGGGATGGGCAGACCCCGGGGCTGGGGCAGACAAGAGCTGCAGAAGGCCCTGCAAGCTGCAGAAGGGCCAAGGAAAGAGAGATTAGAAATCAGCCAAAAACACAGGTTTAGAGCGAGTGAGGAGGAGGGAGAACCAGAGTCAGCTATATGGTGTGGGCGAGCCAGTGCCATTTCCAGATGAACTTCAAGGTGGTAAAAGCAGAGCACTGGACCCAGCACAGGACCTCGAACCAAGCACAGGATCCCAGACCAAGCACAGGACCCCGAACCAAGCACAGGACCCCGTACAGGAGAACAAGATCCCCCCAAGCCTCCACAAAGGACTGCAGCCCTGCCAACACCTTGATTTCAGCTGAGTAAGACCCATTTCAGACTTCTCAAATGTAAGAGAAGAAATCTGTGGTGTTTTAAGCCACCAAGTTTGTGGCCCTGCCTGAGAGCAGCCACAGGGAGCAAACACACCTTCTTAAGAGCGAGAGTGCCGTTACCACACAAAGCTGAGCACTAGCTTTCTTGTTTGCTATGCTTTCTCAGAAGTTGGCTTCAAAGTATTCATTTAATTTCTACTTCTTTGATTATGAGAAAGAATAAACATTTGTTCAAGTGTGTGGGTCATTTGTATCTCTTGAATTTCTTATTCATGCCCTTTTCCCATTTTTCTAGTTTATGTCTTTTCTAATTATGAAGCACTTTTGTAATATTAAGTATATTAATATCCTATATTATAAAATATTATTAGCTTGCCATTTGCCAACTAAATTTGTTCATATGATGTTTGAGACATAAAAATAATTTTTATTCAGTTAAGTCTACAAAGAAAAAAATTGCTTTGTAGCTTATTCCCTTTGTTCTCCTGTTTTGAAAGAACTCTCAAATCTCTACAATCGCCAGTGTTATTCACCCTATGAATAACATGGAAATTCTAGGTATCTGGTTTGCCATTATAGACACATCATTAAATTTCTGTTTTCTTTTAAGAGAGTTCAAAAAGCTTAAGTATGTCACCTTCGCTAGCAACTATGGTTTTAACCATGGCAATTAAAAAAAAAAAACCACCATAGGGGCTTACTTTAATGGGTCCAGGTGGCAGATTAAGATACATTTAATTCCACATCCCTTATAACCATTAGAAAGCCAAATACCTAAAACAAGTCTAAGGAAAATTAGTTAAAACAAAACCCTTCGAACAGCTGAGAAAAGTTTAAATATTACCACAGTGCCTGCACTTCTGCAGGACCCCATCTGAACAGCTTCTTCCTCCATGTCTAAGTTTCCTATAAGAGGTATGCAACTGCTATCAATTTGTTCTTTTTGTGAATAAAACTTAGGCAAAAAAACTGAATGATGGAGTTACCAAGACAAGAAATATGAGTGTATGCATGGAAGGATAAATTCTATCTTCAATATGCTGAGTTTGAGACATCCTTTTGGGCCAGTCAAGCGAAGCTCTCTAATGGACAATTGTACAAATGGGTCCAGAGTTAGGCAGAGAGACATGGAGGGGAGGAAGCTTTTGCGAGTCATCAGCAGTCAAGGAAACGATGGCTAAAGCCATGGATTTAGAGGAAGGCCACCATGAGAAACAAAAAGTGAAATTAATCAAACACCAAAACCTGACACTGGAAATAACACATGTAGCAGGGAGAAATGAAGCAGAAAGAGGCTGGAAAGGAGGCTAGGAAGTAATCGCCAGAGAGTTGGGAGGATAATGGAGAACAGCCCCACAGAAGTCTAGGGAGAGAATTTCAAATCAGACCAAAACAAATTGAGGGCAGAGTGAGTACTGGAAAAAGTGCTTACAACAAAGGTAGACTACAGATTCGAGAGTGGTTTTTGTTTTGTTCTGTTTAATAAATGTGAAAAGGGCAAAAGAGACAATGGCATTGCAAAAGAGCAACTGAAATGACAGAACGTCATGTCTATTAGACAGAGGAAGCAATGAAAGTCAAAAGAGAGCTGGCAGATGGGGAGACCAACTGAACCCTCCTATTCTGAAACACTCCTTACTTAATAGGACATGTGTTTAAAAACAAACTGGCATTTTTTAAAAGTACTGTTACAAATGATGTCATATACCTATGACATATCTGCTCTTGTAAGCACCTTGTAAAAACTCCCCCTTATTTTTAATTAAACTAAAATTAAATAAAATTAAAAATTAGTTTCATGCACTAGTCACATGTTGAATGCTCAAAAACCACATTGGTAGGAGCCAGCACACTGGACAGAACAGATGAAGAACTTTACCATTATTGCAGAAAGTTCCATTAGACAGCACTGTCATAGGCCCTGCTGTAATGTCACCAACAAGGTATTTGCTCAGTGAGTGACTATCAACATATGGAGATCACACACTAAATCACAGTCAAGCTTCAAAGACACCTCTAAGAACATAGCATAGCCACTGTTTTCTGTATACTTCCCAATTTGGTTAAATTGCATAGCTTATTGGTGTACCAATTATTCAATTTTCTAAAATATGGATATTAAGAACATTACCATTGTTGAAGACATTAACAGCTTCCAAGCACTGTGGACCAACTTTGTGTAACTTCTCCAATAGAAACTTGACATATTTTCTAATCTAATCCTCACACAGATTTAGATCTACTTATAAGGCATATGTTCTTTTAAGAGATGAAGAAGCAAGCTCAGCAACATTACACAACTTCCAAGTTGCAACCATACAGCTAATAAAAGTACGAGTTTGGACTCCAACTTAGGTCTGTCATCTTACAAAACAGAAGCTCCATTACATATAACCCATACACTGTAGAAAAAGCTTCCATCTACATAATCATGTACTTAGATAGATTTTAAATAAATCCATGGCACAAGAATATGTATCGTAACAAGCACTTCAACTTAATTTCTCAGATATATGTAATAATAGCATGAAAGTGAATTAAGGAGAAGAAACTTCATTTCCTAAGAGATAATATGTACACTAATTCAAGGAATGAATACATTCATTCCTTCAACTGTAAAACAAAAGTATCTTTTCCAGGAAGAAAAACTAAAAATGTTATTATCTTTGAAAATTATTTGTTCAAACACTCAAATTTTTACTTACCACGTTGGGCAGCAAATGCCTGACTAGCTGAAAGGACTTTTGTTTGCTCTGGATTATACCTTGTACCTTCTGGAAAAATCACAAGATACATCTGTGGGACATAGAGCAAATTTGGTTTATTTTGTGTGAGCTTTGTTTTTGTTATTGTTAACCTAAAAAAGCTAAACCTACTAATGCTAACAGAGTATTTCCTACAGTAGGAGAAAATGTATATTTATTTACATGTGACCTTCGTTTCAAGAGGGGCAAACAAAATGCAACAATTAAATATGAACATAACGTGAACTATATTTTAAATGCAGTGCTACATTCATTGGTAGGTCAGCCATGAAGAATCTAAAAACATTTCTAATTATATGCTAATAATTCACTAATTAAAAATAGGCCATGAAACGCTGACTCATACAAAGCCTCAATGAGTTTTTGCCCTTTCAGATCCTGTAATACGTCATTTTTAGAAATACAAATTTTAGAAATCAGTATCGTTAAGTACCAACACTAAAAAGTACCTCATTTGATGAAAATCATATAGTAAATTCCCACCATGTGAAACGTTCTAAATGTTCACATTCAAAAGCTTCACACAGAATTCCTATTTCACACAGCTCCTTTAGTGCATTTTAAATTTTATTTATAAGAAACCTCATTTGTTATATAAACTGAAACTAAAATAATATAAAGAAGAATATCAAGCTGGACGTTTAATAAGTAATCAATTAGTCTAAGTTTTTACGCTTATCTGCTTAGGAAAGTAAAAACAGAAACATTAAAATTATACAGCAAAAACTCCTAGCTTGAGAACTGAGTTACAAAAACTACACTAATAACTTTGATTGACAGCCAAAAGACAAAAATAAGTTATGCACACCAAATCTTTTCAAATACAAACAGAATACAGGAAACAAGACAGGAGCTCATGGGAGAAAACTACGTTTATTGGATTCATTCTTGCCAGATCTCAGACAGTACTCAGACAACACTGTCTACCTCTGTACGTCTGGTACAGAAGCCTTCCTTCATCTGGATGACCTATGATCATACAGCTCCTACTTAAAAACCTATGTGGTACTGAATTTTTTCTTTAGATACTGGTATAATGGTATCTAAAAATTTCGTACTTTCAGCTTCCACGCAAATATGCAAGCTTTTTGTTCATTCATATAATAGTCTTCAGAACCCACACCTAACTTAGAAATTAACAGATAATATTATATGTATCTTTATATTTAATAATTTATATTATTTTTAATAATTAATATTATTATTAAACAATAATTTATATGTATAATTATATTTAATAATGAAGATTCACCAGATCTGTTAAGAAAATGTAGAAAAGTGGGTACAATTAGGAAAAACATACAAAATTCCTTATTATATTATAGCAACTAGAAGGAAAAACAGGAAGACAAACATTAAAGCTAGTTCCAAACACCACACATTCATTTTCATGAAAATGTGTTTTGTAACAGTAAGGTTTATATTCAAAGCCATGAAAGCAATTACTGTGGGCTATCAGCTTTCAACTCAGTCATTTATAAATAAAACGATTATTTCTCAGGTTAATAACTCATGTGGTATTATTTGCTGTCTTAGATGTTTAATTTAAAAGAACATTGACAGACAGCAGGAAGGCATGAATTCATTCACAGCTAATTCAGAAACTATTTCTTATATACTTATTATGTTCCAGGAACTGCACAAAGGATAACAACACATATGGTCCTTCCCTTCATGGACAAGTGAGGAAAAGAAATACATTAAACAGATAAATAAAAACATGTCGTTACATATCATGATATGATTGCAAAGAAAAAGAACAAGGTGTGATGAAGGAAAATGATGAGAAAAAATTTAGGAAGGGCAATGGGGCTAGGAACTAAAGAATGGATAAAAGAATGAGTGCTTTTCCCTAAAGATGAGGAATATGGAAAGGATTTCCCTCACACCAGTTCTAGTCAAGGCTGTACTAGGAGGTCTAGCCAGAAAATTTAGCAAGAAAAAGAAATAAAAGCCATCAAGATTAAAAAGGACAAAGTAAAACTGTTATTTCTATAACAATGACATGATTGTTTATGTAGGAAATCCTAAGGAATATATTTTGTAAGTTACTAGATGATAAATAAGTTTAGCAAGGTTAGTATATTAAAAAGTCAAATATATGCCTAGGTCAACAAACAAAAACTTGAAATTTTTTTAAATGTCATCTACAATAGTATCAAAAACTGAAATTCTTAGGGATATATCTGGCAAAAGATGTGCAAATCTGTACATTAAACTACAAAACACACTGAGATAAATAAAGAAGACCTAAGTAAACAAATGCAGGCTACGTTCATGAATCCAAAGATTCAATCCTGTTATATCAATTCTTCCCAAATTCATCTATATCTTCAATACAATCAAAATGAAAAGCCCACAAACTTTGGGTAGAAATTGTCGAGCTAATTCTATAATTCACACAGAAATGCAAAAAACCTAAAATAGCCAAAACAACTTTGAAAAGAAAGAACAAATTTAGAAGACAACTACACTATTTAAAAACTTACTGCAAAGCAAGCATTATTAAGACAGTATGGTATTGGCATAAGGATATATATATATAGATCAATATAACAGAACAAATGCTCCATTGATCTAGGGATAACAGACCCATCTATATTCAGTCTACTTATTTCAAACATTGGGGGGAAATAATCTTTTCTATAGTGATGGTTACCTATATTAAAAAAATATGAACTTCGATCTTACACCATATGAAAACATTAATTATAAATAAATCCTAGAACTAAATGTAAAAGCAAAACTCTAAAATTTCCAGAAGAAAACAAAGGAGAAAATCTTAGCAACCTTAAGTTTGGCAAGGACTTCTTAAATAGGATACAAAAAGTGGAAATTATGAGAGAAAAAAAATCAATAAATTAAGCTTAAAAGTATGTTCTTCAAAAGATACATATAAATGTATAAAAATAAAAAAACACACGTACTCAAAAAAGATACTATTCACAAATAGGAAAAGGTAAGTAACAGATGCAAAAAACTTGTACAGGAACATTCTTAGGAGTGACAGGCTCATCTCATTTTATCATGCTTCGCTTTACTGAGCTTCACGGAAATTGCATTTTTTTCCCATTGAAGGTTTATGACAACCCTGCATCGAGCAAGTCTATTGGTGCCATTTTTCCAACAGTATGTGCTCACCTCACGTCTCTGTGTCATATTTCGGTAATCTCACAATATTTCATATTATTATATCTGTTATTGTGATCTGTGATCTCTGATGTTACTATTGTAATTGTTTGGGGGTGCCATGAATTGCACCCATATAAGATGACAAATTTAATTGATAAATGTCGTGTGTGTTCTGACTGCTCCAATGATGGCCTGTTCTCCTGTCTCTCTTTCTCTCTACCGCCCCTTGGGTTTCCCTATTCCCTGAGACACAACAATATTGAAATTAGGCCAATTAATAACCCTACAATGGCTGCTAAGCGTTCCAGTGAAAGGAAGAGTTGCATGTCTCTCACTTTACATCAATAGCTAGAAATGGCTTAGTGAGGAAGGTATGTTGAAAGCCAAGGTAGGTCAAAAGCTAGGTCCTTTCCACTAAACAGCCAAGTTGCGGATGCAAAGGAAAAGTTCTTAAAGAGAATTAAAAGTGCTACTTCACTGAACACATGAATGATTAGAAAGCAAAACAGCCTTATTGCTGATATGGAGAAAGTTTGAGTGCTCTAGATAAAACATCAAACCAGCCACAACACTCCCTTAAAGCAAATCCTAATCCAGAGCAAGGCCCTAACTCCCTTTAATTCTCTGAAGGCTGAGAGAGGTAAAGAAGTGGCAGGAAAAAACTTAGAAGCTAGCAGAGGTTGGTTCGTGAGGTTTAAGGAAAGAAGCCGTCTCTCCATAACATAAAATTGAAGTGGCAAGTACTGATGTATAAGCTATAGCAAGTTATCCAGAAAATCTACCTGAAATAAAATAAAGATTAAACAGAAGATCTGGGATTTAAACCTGAATCTAATTTCAAAACCAATACTCTTATCCACCAGGCTGCCTCCTATCTGAAAAGGAACTTAAGTGAAAGCTGGAAGAAAAAGTGTTAAGTCTCCATGTTTGTGCCATAAGTTTTACTAGCTCATAGTCTAACAAAATGACTTCTATTAGTTATTTTTATCACAAATATGCTTCATTTGCATCCACAACCAATAAGTTCCTTAAGAAAATACTGTATTGTCCCAGCAATAATTATGGAGATGTATTTCTTCACAACTTATAATACAAATATATTTTTTGAAACAAAATTCTGCATTTCTTAAATACTAATACCGAATAAGAACTGATACAATCATGGAATAGATTCATGAGAACTAGTAAGCCACACGAAAGTTGACTTAACATATTCTACCATGTCACTTACTTAATTCACCTTCAGAAACAAAAGAATCATAAGAACCTGAGCAAGATGTATCCGCTCTCACAGGGCGTACATATTAAGAAATGAAACAACCATCCAGATTCTTAGAAACCCGACCTGGGACAGTGACCTTACAGTGAAAGCTGCTCAGCACGGCCTCTTGAACCTGCCAGTCTGTTATCCACACTGCGCTAGGAACATAAAAGGCTGGAATTTTGCCCACAAAAAACAGGGAGGCTATTCTCGTAGCCCATAACCAGACTAGGTTATTTGAATCAACCTTCCTACTGAAAACAACTTAAAAAGCTGGATATAACATTATTTTAAAAGTACCCAAGAGTTGGCAAGATGTTAAGACTGAAATTAAGCAAACACAGTAAAGCAGAAGTAAGCATAAAACAGAACTTTGATTTACAAGACTCATAAGATGAAGGGCACAGAAACCAAAACCCATGGACCTTCTAATAGAACTGTGAAGAGAGAATCAGACAAGTGAACGAAACACCAAAGGCTCTACTCTCAGGGTGAAAGTAAATGAGAGGTGAGCAGGTCTCACGTGCATCTGCAACCCTGGCTGCACTGCCTGAATGGCTCAGTTCACCTTCAACTCAGAATCTCGTTTGGGTGGGGCCCACGCTAGAGGAGCCTTAAGGGGCCCAGCTAAAACAGGTAGAAATGTTCTCCGGAGAAAGACACTCCCACCTGAGGCTTCAACTGATTTCCACAAATAACTTAACCAAACACAGCCAGCAGCAAAGGAAGATAACAAAGCAAACAAGGAAAGAAAGTACCATAAGCAAGAACAGCAGAAAACAAGTGACTCAGACAAGACTTTAGGCACTGAAATAACCCAACACACCTTTTAAATTATGCCTTTATCACTTAAAGAAACAAAGACAAGCTTGAAGATTAAAACCAAAATAACAGATTTGACAAAAACCACACAGCACTTCATATAATGAAAAACAATAATTTAAAACACTGAAGTTGAATGGATTTGTATCTATTCTGGATTGTATTTTAGAACAGAAAAAGGACATTAGTGGAAAACCTGGTAAAGTCTGAATAAAAATCTGTAGTACAATTAATAGTGTGGTACCAATGTTTATTTCTTAGTTTTGACAAATATATACCATGTTATGTAAGATGTCAACATTAGATGTTAAAGCTAGATGAAGAAGGCTGGGCGTGGTGGCTCACACCTATAATCCCAGCACTGTGGGGGGCCGAGGCGGGCGGATCAAGAGGTCAGGAGTTCGAGACCAGCCTGGCCAACATGGTGAAACCCTGTCTCTACTAAAAATACAAAAATTAGCCGGGCATGGCGGTGCACGCCTGTAATCCCAGCTACTCAGGAGGCTGAGGCAGGAGATTGCTTGAACCCGTGAGGCAGAGGTTGCAGTGAGCCAAGATCGTGCCACTGCACTCCAGCCTGGGTGACAGACCGAGACTCCAACTCAAAAAAAAAAAAAAAAAAAAAAAGGCTATATAAAGAATAAACAGGAACACTCTGTTCTTTCTGACGTTTTTGTAAATCTAACATTGTTCCAAGTTTTGAAATTTATTAACCAAAAATGGGAGGCGGCTTCCATTAAGTATGTAGAATGCTGAAGGAATACTACTGCCAACCCTACAACAACAACAACACTGACAAGCTGTAGATTCATGACTTTTCTTAGACCCTTCAGAGAGCTGCAAGGTTGCAAGGCAACCAACTAACCCAAAAGTCTAAGGAAACATGGAAAACTCAAAGGAGAAACAAGATGCAAGTGGTTGTTTAGTTGGGGGCCAATGTAACAGATACCAGTAAAAAGAATTTAGCTAAAAATTTTAACAATTTTGCAGAAAGCCAAGTATGAGCCAGTGGAACAGACGAACCCCTGGGCTACAGACACAAGGAGAATGCAGCACATTTCACAGGCTCGACCCACAGACCTCCTGTGTACTCACAAGACAAAGAAAAAGGAAAACACACTGCGGTCAGGGAAGACTGGATGTAGGCTTGTGGGAGGGAAAAGCAGCCCTGTGGGAAGGGCTCAGGGCCCAGCCCACATCCTTCTTTCTACCTTTCCTATGGAACAGCAGCCTGAAACTGATGAACAGGGGCAACAAAACCCTGCTACCCATGGGGCACGGATGAATACTCGATGAGGCTGGGTGAAGAGAACAGGGAAAAACTCTTAGTAAAGGCAGGAATACATACTGGGCACAGACTTACAGCCAGAAGCAAGGCAGGATCAGAGAAGGCTCCACCCCTGAGATTCTCCCTAAGAATGAAAAGACACTTCCCTTCCCTCTCCTTCTACCACCAAACTAGCGAGAGTTCAGTAACAAGTATCCAAGAAGTATAGTGGGGAAAGGCATAAAGAAGAGAGCCACTCCAAGGTGCTATGTGAAAACGCTGAGTGTGAAATAGACACTGAGGAAAAGCTCTAGCGGGAGGACATCCCCAACCTACAAACAAAGTAATGAGTTCTACAGAAACCTGAAGCTGTGAGAAAAAGCACATGAGCAAAACCCAAATGCAGTGCACCTCCTCAGTGGACTGACTCCACTCCTCAACACTAAAGGCCAAGCAGAAAGACAAGTCTATCCATTTCCAGGTATCAAGACAACTTGCCTCCATTTCTCCTGTCTTACAAAAAAGGCCCAGCGTTAGGCAAAATCTTAGGAAGTATGACAAAGGCAAGATAAAGCACAATCTGAAGAGATAAAGTAATCAAAATTTGCAGACTCAGATATGGCCCAGATGTTGGAATTATCAAGCAGGGAATTTAAGAGAACTGCAAGTATAATAAAATGATAAAGGTTCAACTGGAAAACGTGACTAAGCTTTATGATCAGATAGATACACTAGCACAGAGATGGAAACTATGAAACAGGGTCAAAGGGAAATGTGAGGAATGAAACACGCAGTAGCAGAGATGAAGAGTGCCTTAAACTGGCTCACCAGTAGACTCAACACAGCCAAAGGAAGAATCCATGAACTCAAAGGTGGGTCAACAGAAATTATCCAAAATGTAACACAAAAAGAAAAAAGGGAGGGGGCGTAAAAAAAAAAATTAAAAAAAAAACCAACAAAAAACGAATAATGCATCTAAGAACTAAAGAACAGCGAGAAATGAACCAACACAAACATAACTGGAGAAGAAAGACTGGGGTAGGAATAATATTTAAGGAAATAAGAGCAAAGAAATTTCCAAAATTAATAACAGACACCAAATCATAGATCCAAGCTCAGAGGACCAATCCAGGTAAAAATTTTTAAATGACACTCAGATATATGATACTTAAACTGCTGCAAACCAAAAACAAGAAGAAACTCACGAAGGCAGCCACATAAACAAGACACATGACAAGTGTAAAGAGCTGATTTTTTCAGCCCTAGCGCCACTGGCAGCTATATTCATGGGGGCAAAAAAGCAAGGGGCCACTGTGCATAGGATGCCAACATCACCCAAAAGGCAGCTATCTTCATTTGCTTCATATATACAATGCCCACAGCAGGACACAGAAGGAACTCCACAGCAGTCATCCATTGCTGGGGTGACTGGACAGCTGGGAGAGAAGTGGGATGGACATTTTAAGGTATAAATTCATGATTTTTAAATTTTTTTTGTAAAAAGTCGATAAACCATATTACCAACTTATTCTGTCTTTTGGAGACCTACATGCAATGACCACAATTCTGCCCAAATTCACCACACTGTTTCAGACTAAACAGACCCTTTGAAGACACCAAGCTTGGTTCTCAAGGGTTAGCTATAACAGGATAAAGGGTCACTGTTCATCTCATTCCATTCTGCTTCTGTCACCCAACACATGCCCAAAACAGATGCAATGTTCTAATGTAAAAACACCTAGAAGAGGCATGTGAATAAACAATGCTCACACCAGGCACTTCGCCAGCTGACCGTGAAGAATTCTTCCTTCACCATGAGCTCCAGCTGCTGCCCAGGACCCCTGGTGAGGGGAGGGCAGGAGGAGAGGAGGGAAGACAGAGGGAGGGAGCCAGAAAGGAAAGGGAAAGCCTGTGCACACGAGCTAAGCTTCTGAGCACATGTCATGTACTGAAAGAGAAAGCCCAAGTCGCCCCGGTGATCATGGTGCTTTGTCTCCGGAGGGAACCAGGGGAAAAGCCTTTGGCAGCAATCAGCATTCTATACAAAGCAGATTGAACTCTCCCCACTTTTGTGGAATAAAGTTTTATAAAATATTATTTACACTGAATGATTTAACATTTGTAGAGATTCATCCTTTTTTGGTTTTTCTGTACATGTAAGACATTCAAAATTTGCACTAACAGAAAACAGTTGCTGCTTCTAAAACCAAATCTGATACTAAAGAAGACAAGAAGTAAGATGAGCTTGTAAACTAGCTTAAATGTCAGGTTAAAATGCAGTTAGTTCTATTTATAGACTCTGAACGACACCAAATGCTCTTTTTATTCCTCTTTAAGGTCCACTGACCAGCAAAGGACCTAGTTGTTTACAGCAATCTTTCTGATGGCTGAAAAACCTGCCTACCTGTACATAGAGGGTTTCTGTTACCTCAGCATAACCCTGAATTAGTAATTACACATGGGAAAATACATTGTCAAAACAATTCTTAGATTTTAATTTAATTCTTAAATTTAGAAACTGAGAGCTGGTAAGAAAAATAAAAACGGGTAGGCTCTTACTGGAGTTCCTGCGTCCACGTAGCTCTGCAACTTGTTTCGCATCTCTTTCTCGTTAAATTTGGCACTGCGCTTTACATAGATTCCTCCATGCTGCCACAATCAAATCGGGAGAAAGAGCATTTACTTTTAAAATAACAATTGGCCAGAGTCATCAAAAAGGCAACTTCTCTTGCAAAAAGTACAGAATGAAAACTACATTTCAGAATTTAATCTATATTTAATATCTTCAAACATTAGCTTCTAAAGAACATTTAGCTGAAAATTGCCTTGTCTCAACATAATTCAAAAAAACTGCATGTGACACTGTATTGGAAAACACATGAAGTTTAGTTTTGTTGGCAGTTAAAATGAAAATGCTTTCTTTCTTAAATACACATTTTTAAAAATAAAAAACCTGATCCATCAGATGGATTTAACTCCCAATTCTTCCACCCACTTATTACAGAGTCACTAAAAAGCGTCCTTAACATGTCTCACGATCTTTAGGGATTTTAAAAAATCAATCCTGCTAAAGATATTTATGTGGCACTGTTACGGACAGAAGTGTGTTCCCCCAAATCAGTCTACTAAAGCCCTAATAGTTCCCACTGTGACTGTATTCAGAGAGAGGGACTTAGAGGTGGTAATTAAGGTTAAAAAAGGGCCTCAGAGTGGGACCTTAGCAGTCTCTGTAGAAGGATTAGTCATCCAGTGTAACTAGTCCTTCTAAGAAGAGGAAGCAGTGCCAGCGGTGCTTGGGCACAGGGAAAAAAACCACCTGAGGACACAGGAAGAAGGATGCTGTCTGCAAGCCTGGGAGAGAGGCCTTGGGAGAAACTAACCCTGTCAACACCTTGATCTTGGATGTCTAGCCTCCAGAACTGGAGAAAGTAAGTTTTATATATACAGTTTGCTTTTTTTTTTTAATATCATACAGATCACTAATTACTGTTATCAACAGTTTAATGTAATTGCCTATCAAATTCTATGCCTTTAAATTTCCTATTTGTTTGAACTTTGTACATTTGCATTTTTGCTCTTTCATTTTACTGCAGCTGGCCCTTCACATCCATGAGTTCCACATCTGCAGATTCAACAAATCACAGATCAAAAATATGTGAACAAATAAAAATTAAAAATAATATAACAATTAAAATAATACAAATAAAAAATAAAGTATAACAACCATTTACATGGCATTTATAATGTATTAGATATTATAAGTAATCTAGAGATGATTTAAAGTAGTGCACAGGTTATATGCAAATACTATCCCATTCTATATGAGGGTCTTGAACACCTTAGATTTTGGTATCTGTGGTGGTTCTAAAACCAATCCCCACAGATGCTGAAGGAAAACCGCATATGGATAATCAGACGTATATAAATACACACCACTAAAAATGCCAAACAAAATTACTTCAACTGAGAATAAACTATTAAACCCATTTTAAAAACCATACATTCACATGAAGTATATTGTTAAATTTTAAAATATAACATTTTTATAGGGTTGGGTATGGCAGTTCACACCTATAATCCAGCATTTTGGTAGGCTGAGACAGGCAGATTGCTTGAGTCCAAGACCAGCCTGGGCAACACAGCGAGACCCCCATCTCTACAAAAAATAGAAAATTTAGCCGGGCATGATGGTGGGCACCTACGGTCCCAACTACTTGGGAGGCAGAGGCAGGAGGTTCACTTGAGCCCCAGAGGTCAAGGCTGCAGTGAGCTGTGTTCACACCACTGCACTCAGCCTGAGCAATAAAGTGAGACTGTCTCCAAAAAAAAAAAAAAAAATTTATAAACTACATATATAGAGAGAAAAGCATGGAAACAAGTTACCTGAGCAAAGTAACACCCATACAATGGCAGCCATTTTAACCCTTCTTTCAGCACGTAGCGCACATGTCCTAGCGCATTCTGCCTGATGGCCAAGATGTCAGCAACAATCCAGTCAACTGCAGAGACAGGACCCAGTTAGCGCGTACATGAGGCTCTTCACAGGTTGTACTATGAATGGGCTTCAAAAGTACTATGATGGCCGGGCGCGGTGGCTCACGCCTGTAATCCCAGCACTTTGGGAGGCCGAGGCGGGCGGATCACGAGGTCAGGAGATCGAGACCATCCTGGCTAACACGGTGAAACCCCGTCTCTACTAAAAATACAAAAAATTAGCCGGGCGAGGTGGCGGGCGCCTGTAGTCCCAGCTACTCGGGAGGCTGAGGCAGGAGAATGGCGTGAACCCCAGGGGGCGGAGCCTGCAGTGAACCGAGATTGCGCCACTGCACTCCAGCCTGGGCGACAGCGAGACTCCGTCTCCAAAAAAAAAAAAAAAAAAAAAAAAAAAAAAGTCCTATGATTAGGATGTTTAAAATTTCTTTAAATCTATCTGAGATATTTAAAAAATATACATTTTCTGTTTTTTGAGCTTTTTTTTTTTGCATTTCTTGAAAGGCTTTTTATTTCAAAGATAAAATACAGTCACAAAATACCTAAATAATCCAACAGCAGCATGTGTATGGAACAAAATGAGCTTCTCTAAATCCTAAAGTCTAGAAAACAAAGTTTTTTTAATGAGAAAGGGGAAATTATAAACAAAAAATGGCCAAATGCAACTATGAATTGCCACTAAATATTCAGTGTGTATATATATGTTCAGCAAAAGGCAAGGACACTTCATCTTCTACTAATGAGTTTTTAGGACTCGGTACTAGGTTAGGACAGCAATCAAACAAAGGTCTCACATGCCTTACAATGATGCTGGGTAGATATATGTGCTCCTTATGTAACCAAGTAAAATGATCTCAGACTGCTAATAACTATAGTTAAATAAATATGTTATTAACAAAGGGTTGCAAAAACAAGGGTAAGATGGTATGAATTGATAACAGTAGCAATAAAAAACTTCCTAGAAGTTGTTAGTTGAGCTTTCAAAAAGAAAAAATTTCCAACACAGAGAGTGGCCCTTGCCAATTAAACAAACAGGAAGTGGCAAAGTGGGTGCAGAAGATGGGAAACAGAGGACATGGTTTAAAGAGGAAATGAAGTGAAATTCAGGAGACAAATGATACAGGTCTTAAGAACCGCAGAAACTTGGATTTGAAAGTAAATGGCTACAAACTATCTCCTGATGAGAAAGAAAACATAAAAATGAAATGTAAGGGAGACTTCTCTAGTTAATACACACATGAGCTCAACGATACTCGAAAAGAAAACTGTTAATCTGTGAAAAGAATAATTCTATCATCACCCATGTTCTCAGGCCATGAAAATGAGAACAAAAGGAGTGAGTCAGAGGAAGGAAATGTTAAAAAAAAAAAAAAGTCTGTAGAAAATAAAAGCTGAGGATTTAGAGGAATTACAATAAAGTTTTAGCCAAAGAGGACAGTTTTCCACAGATTACAAGATGATTAGCTCTCAGCTATGGGAAATCTATTAGACAATGCACCATACTAGTCAGAATATCCCAAAAAAGATTTAGCCATTTTAATACTAAAAATTAACCAAGAAAAATCTCTTATCCATTATTATACATCTCTCTTTTTAATCAGGGATTATCATTCACAAGTTAACTTTTTCTTGATGACTTAAGACTTATAATTATTATACATATGAAACTTTTGTTATGGCTCCCTATAAGTAGAATGTTGCTTGCAAAGATTCTCCCCTACAGTGTATGATCCCAGAGACAGACACAACCTGTGTTATTGGGTTGAGATATCTATACTATTGGGCTATCAATGATCACTTTTCTCTAAAGTATATAAATTCCTGTTGAAGCCCTCTCCCTAGCCCCTTCTAATTTAGATGGAAGAAATAATAACTGATAAACATATTTCTTTCTAGTCATGTCTTAGAAACCATATAATCGACCCTGTTATACCTGTACCAAATGCAAAAGTAAGCAGACAATAAATTCTGAGAACTAATTCTGTATGGTTCTGTATGGTTACCAGGCTACAGCACATCTTGGAAATATAGTTGGCGTACAAAGTTAAAAACCAGGTTTAGCATTTTTTCCTGCAATAATTTTTTTATTTGGAAGAATTTTAAAAATGGGTTTTATTTTAAAACAAATGGTTTTATGGTTATATTATGGCCTCACATGCCCCTCCCAAGAACTTTTAAGAGAAAGTGTAAGATTTCCAAAATACATCATGTTCATAATAAGCTGCCCTGGGCTATGCCCTTAAACTTGAATATTTTAGTGGAAACATTTAAGAACTAGCTTAACTAGTCAAAATATAAAAGCTTTGTGTCACCAATATTTGCTACTGAATTCTCTTTATTTCTTGTTTATTCTCAGCTACCTTTCAGATAGGACATCAGATTACAGACAGTTTCTGACTATCTCAGTTACAGCTGAGATTATATTACTTTGACAATAACTTCATATTTTGTGTTCTGGCATAATTTAACTAAGATAGCAATAAATTTGGCTGTGTGAGAATCTTCCATGGCAATCAAGCCAAAGCAGAGTCATAGTTCCCATTAACTTGGAGGAGAGGAGTGGAAGGCAGTGAGGGGCAGCAAGTCTAATTTCCTCATCCCTATCCTCATGAAACAGCAGTTCCTAATTCATGAGGGCCCTGTGTAGTCCAAGAGATACTGCATGTGCAGCGCTTCCCTGCCATGGATCCAGCGCTATGCTAATGGTGAGCTATGACTGTCATCACAACCACTTTTAAATGCCATCTATGAGCCAGGTACGCTACCAGGATTAGGAGACAGCCTCTGTAAGGTGCCTGAAAGGAGCTATCACTCACACCTTACCAATAAGGCTCTGAGAGATAAGTAATTTGCCCACTGACACACAGCCTATTGCAGAACAGCATTTCTGCAATGCCGAACAGGAACCTGGGTCTCTCTAACTCCAAAGTCCATCCCTTTTTATAACATTCTACTCACCACGCATGCTGTTCAACAAGAAAAGTGACACTTCAGCCAAGAAAAGAGAACATTTCATGAGATTAAAAAGGCAAATAGCAGGCAGGGCACAGTGGCTCACGCCTGTAATCCCTGCACTTTGGGAGGCCGAGGCAGGCAGATCACCTGAGGTCAGGAGTTCAAGACCAGCCTGACCAACATGGTGAAACCCCATCTCTACTGAAAATACAAAATTAGCCAGGCGTGGTGGTGCATGTCTGTAATCCCAGCTACTCGGGAGGCTGAGGCAGGAAAATGGCTTGAACCCGGGAGGCAAAGGTTGCAGTGAGCTGAGATTGCACCATTACACCCAGCCTGGGCAACAAGAGTGAAACTCCATCTCAAAAAAAAAAAGGCAAAGTGTTGTCAAAAGTAGATAGTTGAAGGATAAGGGGAAGAAATAACAGCCACTATATCCTGCTGACTCGAGAGAGAAATAAGCTAACAGAGACAGAGACAGAATGTAGAGACAAGGATGTGTCAAGCGAAAACAAGGGAAGAGAGAGACTAATTTAAATGTCAATTCTTTTGAGTATCAGGCCAGGAAACTCATTTATTCCGGCAAGCCTGGCAGAAGACAAACTAGAAAGTCTAAGCAGAACAACAGTCTTTGAAATATTCTTTCCGCTAATTACATTTTCAGAGATACTCTGTTGTGATTCCTAACATCTCAAAAGGGTTTTAGAAGGGTACCTAAACACAATCAGACAATGAACCACGTCTATGGATAGGCTTTAGGGGTCTCTGAAACCCTAAAACTACATGCAAATTTTTATATGCACATTTTTCTAGGAAAAGGCTCTGTCATATACTGACTAAAGCCTGTAATTCTAAAGAAATTTAAAATCATTCCCCTAGTATTTTCTCAACTTACAGAATTTTAAAAGGCTTTCAAAAAGCAGCCTTCCCAAATCCTGCTGGGATGAGGATGTGGTGCCAGAGCGGTGATACAAAGTCACAGGCACTCGGAGGTAGGGTGAAGGGAAGGGGAAGTGGTTCTCTAAACTGATAAATGAAATTCAGGTCAGTATGGTCTGAGTATGAAGATTATCCTTCCCATAGTACCTTCTAGTCCCAAATACATGCAGAATTGTTTTTTTTAATCTGTTTTTTCATGGATGTTTTCTAGAAGTCCTTAATCTGAAGGAATACATATAAAAGCCAACATGTAGTAAGCACACAAATTAACAGTACTAGTGATCAATATTATCACTATCAGCAACACTTCCAGAAATGTTCAGAGAACCCACTCCACAAGTCACTACTAGAGAGCTCTATTAATCGAGTGGAGTTCATACTGAAACCTGGACAAAGAAAAGCTGGCAGGTAAACTGAAGAAGGAATTTTAAGAGAATCCTGTTAAACAGACAACTCTACATGAAATTAACACTGGATCAAAATAAAGGAAATGCAGGAAAATCAAATCTATCAAGAGCCATTCCCTGTACTGGGCCCACAGATCCCTTTTGTTTGATATTTAAAACCTGGAAGAAACATCCATCAGCAGCAGGACAGGAAAAGCAGAATGGTATTAGAAGTAAAACAGCCAATATGTCTGCACAGGCCAGAGTTCTCAGCAGCATTGACCATTGGTTGACTGTTTTGCTATTTTTGCCAAGAGTGAAATGTAATTAGATAAAATAGTCTGAACCAGTCATGTAATAAAGTTGGGGAAAATACTCAGATACATCAAGATTCCTATCAACCCCTTGTAGCTTCAACCCTTGTCCTATAAATCTGAATGTAATCATTAATTCACTAAATTGAGAAAAATGCATTTTAACTTCTTTTACTTTCTATACCTCATCTATGGTATAAGCAGTAATAAAAACCACAAAATCATGAAGAGACAGCTGACAGGAAGAAAATTTAAAAAAAGCCACAGGCATAAGTGATTTCCCTAAGAGTACTATATTGATCAGGTTGTTTTTAGCTTAAGAGTACTATATTGATCAGGCTGTTTCCAGCTTTGAGCTTCTAGGTATTATATTTTTTAAAGTAATAAAAATGCAATTTAGGAAGTACGCATCAAAAGTAGCTACAGGTTTGAAAACATAAGAAGTGGGATTTTTTTGGAGGGCTGAATTATTTGGAGAATTAAAAAGTACCTTACCCAATGACAATTTCCTGATTCTGCTACTGTGCTACAGTTATATTAAGATGTCACCATTGGGAAAAATATTGCTGACAATGTACTCTTTTTGCAAATTCTTGGGACTCTAGAATTACCTCAAAATACAAAGGTTTTTAGAAGTATCTTCACCTAAAGTATATACTGCACTGTTTTGAAGACCAGTTCTCTGCAATTCCTCTGATGGAACAGTAGCAACTAGAATTAAACCAAACCCATTTGAAGAAGGAAAGGAAGAGCAGACACTAGAAATGACGAGCATAGTAAGGAAACGAGTACTTACATACCAATACAGCTTTTCTGCAGCTTAGCAATCAAAAATGTAAAATGTATACACACTTCGACCCACCAATGCTACTTCTAGAAACATCACTTACAAAAAGAATGAATACACTCTTTAAAGAGCTACACAAAGGAAAAACAAAGCAAGCAAGTAAGAAGATAGCTTACTTACATCCAACAGAGGGAGAAGGTAAGTTTAGGAAAATTCATAGCTTTCAAGTTTCTGACTTTCCAAAAAGTAAAATCACAAAAATACAAGAACAGGTGTAATATCTGCACAGAAAATTGCTGTTTTAAAAAACCCACTTCATTTAAATATAAGAACGGTATTTTGAATGCCCATGTGCCATCTGTAGAAAAACCTATGTTTCATGCAAATGAAATACAAACCTGTGCTTTGATGATTTGCTAAATATATTATATTTTCTTTATTTTTTGGCAAATCTCCATATAGCAATATCTAAAAGATAAAACAAAAAAACATTACTTTGATATTTTAAAACATCTGTAATATACAAAGGAAGACAATGTGAAGAAACTGACGAATGATGTTGTGAATATTTCCATCCATGATTAACAAAAATTAGATTTCTCACAGGAGCCTCAGAGATCATAAATAGCGCAGGTACAGAAAGCAGTTATGTATAGTACAGGTTAACGGTAATAAATTAAAATAGAATAATCAATATCCTCATGAGAAAAATATAGCAAGCATTCATTGATTGCTAACAATATATAAAACACTGTTCATAAGATATATCTTCCTTCAAAGAGCCCACAATCAATCTAGTAAAAGAGACAGACATGTCCACAGGAACTGTAATGAGACATAACGCAAATACTATGAAAATATGGTACCTTTTTAAGGTTTTAAATTTGTTTTTTCTTTTTTCAGGACACTAAAGGGTACACAACCTTTTTTAATTTTAAAGAACTGTAAACTGCAGAGCAGGAGTATTATTAGGTAGGATTCTGGCAGATGAGATGAAGGAAAATGTTCATGAGAATAAGAACGAATGGAAGCAGTAACCCTGGAGGCCTGTTGGGAACATGGGCAGTGTCGCGGCTGAGGAGCAAGGAGACCAGAAGGGTGGCTCTGAACTGGAATGGCAGAAGTCTTTTGAATTCCATGCTAAAGATTAAAACTTTATTCTGTAAGTATGAGAGAAACATCATTCCAGTTTATTTTTAAACTGGGCGGTAGGCACACAGGTGTTCGATGTACCTGTATTAGTCCTTCTGCTGTTTTGTGTGTCTTACATATTTTAGAATAAATTTTTCAAGAAACTGGGAGTATACTTGTAAAGACTTAAAAGGAAATGGCTGCTAATGGTGCTAAGTTTTTATTCTGGGCATTTTTGTTTCTGCATCTTGTCATCATGGATTATGCAAGATTATAAATTAGCTAAGGCTTTTTAGATCTATCTTGTCCATAAGGATTATCTTTTGGTCATGACACTATTTATTAATATCTTAAAAAGAGAAGAAAGAAAGGGGCAATTAACCCAACAACTTTGCAGACAAATGCACTTAGATAACATAAAGTTCTGGAAGCCAGGGATGTGACAAAGGTTTCCATTACTTTCCTTAGAAACTGCACAGTGCTATGTATGTAGTATGTTTAAACATTTGCACAATGAGTTTTTATTCATAAAGTTTATCGATGACATAAATGAGTAATACCAATAGCTTGATCTGTTCAGAGTTAAAAGTGACATCGTGGCTTGTGAGTAAATCCCCATTCTCTTACCAACAAGCCAGAATTGCATCAAGACCATTGAGTATGCACTGATTTAAAAGTTTTGCACAGCCCAGGCATAGTGGCCCATGCCTGCAATCCCAGTGCTTTGGGGAGGCTGAGGTGGAGTGGGCGGGCGGGGTCGGTAGGGGCAGGGAGGGAAGATCTCTTAAGCCCAGAAGTTCAAACCCAGCATGGGCAGCACAGCCAGACCCTGTCTCTACATAATTATAAAAAGATTAGCCAGGCATGGTGGTGCGCACCTGCCCACACTCCTTCAGGAGCATCCAGAACACACTGCACACCTAATGACAAGTCCCCAGCCCCTTAGGGACTATGAGCTCCTCAATGGCCTGATCAGTTTTCTACCCCAAGAGCCTAGCACCAAGCTGGTTTTTAACAGATGTTTACTGAATTATTTACACTTTTGTCACCAGTAGGCAAAGCTATACCTCATTTTCAAAATAAAGGTAGTTTCAGAATAAACATAAATAAAATAATTAAAGTGCACCAGTGACTTTTTAAAGGCTTCATTCTGTAAATCTAGTACTCATTTTTTAAATCACATTAGTTCCGTCTACAAATGTACCCTGCAAATAATTTGTCACTTCAAAATAAGGCACAAGAAAACATACGGCTTTTCTTTTTGTTTTTCATAACTCTTTAAGTAATTTTAAGTTCATTATGATTGCTTGTTCATGATAATTTCAGGTTCATCCACTTTTTAAGAACTCATCAGACATCCCCTACAGAAAAAAAAATTTCTCTTTTCATTTATTAATTCAGAGGTAGCCAATAAAAATGATTTCTGAATAACTATCTTCATCACAAAGGACAAACTAGTTATTCTGCTTTCGTCAAAAAAACTTATTTATCTTGCACACACTGGCTTTCAGGAGAAGGCCTGAATTAGATGCGGACCAGTTTCACCTCGCCTTCATCACATCTGTGTTGTTTTTAACTTGCTCCCATGACATATAAACTGCCTATTGATTCTTTTTTAATCTTAAAAACAGGTAGTCATACGGCATCTAAAGTAATCACATGCTTAACACCTTAGCCTCCATAACACAATGTCACAGAGACATAAATATACAGCATTCTTTGTTAAAAAATATATATTCTTCATTTATCTCAATCATGTCCATTTGTCTTCCACATGCAAATCTTGAAACATGATTTTTTAAAAAAAACTTTTGCTGTTGTTAAGTATAGATGATGCTGTTGAAAGAGATCAGAGAATATGCCACACCCAAATATGCTACTTTGGCATAAGGATTATTTTGAGCTGAAGGCACCTGAGACACAGCAGATACAGGAAGAATTCTCTGCCCTTCCCCTAACTGCCTAAGGCAGGACATAAATTTCCCTGTGGAAAGGTGATATGAATTTCCATCTGTAAAGGTGTTTCCCTGTCCCTTATTAGGAGACCAGAAACTGGCAAAATAAACCTGCATAGCAAACCTTATTACTATACATTTCCTAGTCATCTTCCCACAATTTACCACCCCTGGGAGCTGAAATCCTCTTCTCCTTTGACTAGTCACTTTTTCACAATTTATCAGCCTTTGTTAAAAATCACATACAAACCCCTTCTTTAGCCAAGCACAGAGGAGCACACCTATAGTCCCTGCTACTCAGGAATCTCAAGCAGAAGAATCGCTTGGCTTCAGGAGTTTGAGTCCAGCCCTGGCAACACAGCAAGACCCCTGTCTCTTTAAAATAAAGATAAAAATAAAAATAAAAATAAAACCCTCCTTCCCTGTGCATGTAAAAATACTAACGTCAAAAAAATGTGTATGCCTCTTCTCCTGTTAATCAGTCTCTTAATTCACAAGCCCTAGCTACCCTACAAGGGTAAAGGAACAGTCTGCTCTCCCTTATACTGTAACATAAGAGCCACTAAGAGGTAGGTTCTAAAGTAATGGACTTCAATTAAGACTTGAATTTGAATCCTCATCTGTCATTTTACGATGAGAACTTGGGCAAAACACCCAACCCCTCCAAACCTATTTCTTTGCCTGTAAAATGAGTGTAATAATAGTAACTACTCCTCCTGGGATTGTAGTGAAATCAGTGAAACTATGTAAACTACTTCATACAACACCTAGAACATAGTAACCAACTAAAATAGGTTAACCTGTCATTATTCTTATCCCATGAAATGGAACTTTTTATTCAAAACTCTGTTAAGTGATTAATGGATAAGAGAAAGAGCTAGCTAGTCTATCTCTCCCCAGTCTTTGATTACACAGAAGTACAGCTATAAAGAATTTCAATTTCAATATGATTACATATACAATTTACAATGTTTATAATTACTTGAACTTTTAAATGTATTTTTATGCCAACGAAATATATTACCAGTTAATCATTATAAGATTTCTGCTGTAAAGCATACAAAAACTAGTCTTTTTCTACCCCGTTTAAAACGTTTCATTGAATAGTAAAATTATTATGCCCTTCTGAAATAAGATCAAAATAGCAAACAGCTACTTGCCCAATAATCAATACAAACACAATTATCATGCAATAAATGGAACCTAACAGATGACAAAGTTCTTTTTTTCCTTTTGCTTTCTTCAGCAAAGCCTTCTTCATAAGCTTTCAAAATAGTACTTCACACGCAAAACTGTAATGACTAGGTGTTTGGACCATCACGGCTCACTGCTCTCTCATTGTTCTTACCATGTCTAGTGAATAAACTGGCTGACTGCATTCAATGAGATCAATGAGACACATGGCTGTTTCCATAGTATTAAGAACGCTGGTTCTTCCAACTCCAGCACTGCAAGAAACAACAAGGGGTTTTTCCTTGCTAGCCCTCTTATTTTGCATATGAAAAACAAAATCCAGAAAGTCACTGAATCATCAGGGTCTCCATGGTCAGGCCACCCTCTGTACTGGATCTGCGTGATTGATGACTCTCTAATTTTTCTCTTGGTTAAACAGCAGTGTGATCTTCCTGAAGATAAAGACAGTGCTTCCTTCTTCTCAGTGGCAGAAGGCTTGGTAGCATCCATAGGATGAACTTCCTGTGGGTTCTGGCCAATATTGGGGTCATTTAACTCTGCCACATTCAACTTGTGTGGTCAACATTACAAACATGGAGGAGCCTTGTTCCCAAGTCATCTGCCAAAAATCTGTTCAAGTGTGTGGTAACGCCCCTTGACAAGCACTGTTCTGACTTATGATGCTGGAATTACACTGATGTAGTTTTCATTACCTTTAAAAATAACCCATGTAACATCATAAGGAAAACTATCTCTATCTATTTTTGCAAAGGTTCTAAGGTAATCTGGCACCAGAAATTGTCATTCCAAGTTTTTTTTTTGATAAGTTGATCAAATTGTGTCCAGAATGTTCCAGCGATAAGCCCTCGGTTAGCTGGATCACTGACTCCCACAGCACATGGTCATCCTGGTGGACACTATCTAGTGGGGCTTTCTCCAGAATGTACTGGAAGTCTGTCTCATTTTCTAGCACTTCTTCCACTACATCATATGCAGCATAGGTAGAACTAGAAGCATGAGTTCCCCAGAATGTCTCTCACAGTTGGCTTTAAAAAGCAGGACAATCCAATCATGGGTGTGTTCTGTAAAGTCCCAACCACTGATCAATACAACTTGGTCTTCTCTTCAATCGAGAGTCACTGAGGTCAAAGGTGTTCCTGGTGCTTCTCAGGACACGATCACAGACATCTTCTGATCATATCCCCCTTTGCATTGACTCCAAACCTTCCATTTTCGTCAGGTTCACTCGGATTAGAACATGATTATCATGTAGAATACCACCATTAGGAGCAGATTTTTTAAGAGAAGATAGAACATCAACGTTTCATTAATATGATCTTCCAGATCTTGTTGAAAATGTAAATAATGAATTTGGTTCCAACAGTTTTTCTTAGCTTGTTTGGGTGGTAAAGCTGGAGGCTACCCATCTCCAGGGGTGTCCTGTAATAGTGATGATTCCCGAATGATGCTATTAGCTTGTGCTGATAATGGTGATGTCTGATTTGCAAATATTTGGAAGAAGTGTGAACCACATAATCTACCAAATGACCAACAGAAGATGGTCATAATCAGGTTCCCTCTTGTATGAATGCAGAATTTTGATGAGTAGGAATTCCTGTTCCGGGTGGGAATTGTGATGGAAGGCTTTATGTTTCTAATCTTTTCATCAGATATTGAATTCCTGCCTACTACTTCCCAAACTATTAATTTCCACGTCAATGGCTTACTTGAGGATCCTGCAAGTAGTCTGTCTTTATTTGCCTTTTCTTTGCCATACTGAACTAACTGAACTTCAGTTCTCCCACCATGCATTAGGAATTTTGAACCTAATGTAAAATAATGTGCAAAAAAATTCTTTCTAGTTGGAAGTGGTCTGTCCAAACAGAAGAATATGTGATGTTCTAAACTTGCTTTCCACAAATGTTTACATGCCATATAATTCACCATATTAAATCCTGATAATCTTTCTCCAGATTTATGCAAGTCATTTTCAAAGCTGAATAAAAAACTGTTTGCACTTAAAACAAATTTTTACAATCTTCGACCATGGAAAGGTACTCATTCATAGCCTGTTATAAATCAGAATTCCTCTTGACATCATTCCAATCATAATTTTATTGTTACTTGATCCCTTGCATAGTGCAATTCAACTCCACAGAGTTCTAAGGTACTTGCTGTGTTTAGGTAATTAACTGCTGCTTCTCAAGGACATAAGCCTATATGTTGCTGATGTAATTTTTACAATTTCTTTTTCAAAATTTTGAGGATGATCAGGAATGAAAGAATAACCTGAGAGGTGGCCTAGCAAGTTCTCTGACTGACTGTACTCTCCAAGTTTAGTCTGAACAGCAAATGAAGCTAAAAGGGCAGCAGTATCATAAGAACAGGGCAATCTTCCAGTAAGAATGTCTTGTGAAATTTGTAAAAATACTAGTAGTGGGCTATCCATGGAATCATCAGCCGCCTGTAAATCAACATAGTCTTGCCCAGTAAAATCAGGATGCTTGCAGACTACATCTAACAGAACTTGCCACTGATCATGTTTATTCGCACTGAAAGCTTACACAGTGTTTTCCAGAAGGATGTTACAAGCCTCTGTATGCTGTCTGTCTCACGTCAACTCTGGTGCTCGTACGTTGTAGACTGTGGGTTCTGCCAGCAGGAAATTGGAAATGTGAGGTCACGACTGTACACACAAGACCTTCATATCACAGCTGCGTCCTCTCAGCTGAAGAAAGCAAGCATCAAAGCCAGGCAGTGACGGGGAGCGGCATGTCTGCTCTACCACCCACAGCAACCACGTCATGCTGTGGAACTGCCATGGCCTGTGCCACCCAAGAAGGCCACAAAGTTCTTTCTCATACACTCAGCATGCATGTGTCTTTTGGTACTGCCCTTATTTTACATCCTGTCTTTTGGTACTGTTCTTATTTTAGAGGGTGTGTTTTTTCTGAGTATCTATGATGTACCATTCACTGAGCTAGGCAGTTTCACGTATTATCTCATTTTGTCTTCAAAATAGCATGACAAAAAGTATTCCATTTAAGGACGAGAATCTTGAGACTGAGAAGTTGACACTTAATCCAGATGACATACGGAATGGCAGAGAAATAGGAATTACACCTAGGTTTCTCACTGCAAGATCCCAAAATCTTTTGACTGTGACAAAACTACTCTCTGCAAAAATTCCAAATAAAAAATGTCAAGTGAGAAGACTTCTCATATATTAGAAGCTTATGTAATTTTTTTCACTTTGAATATCAACTACGGAATTACAAGGAGTAAAATTAAAAACCAACAAAAAATTTATTCCTATATGAACACAAATTAAGCCCGGAAGCAATGCAATATGTAAGTGCACCAAGAGCTGGCGTTAACTACGTTACATCCAACTTTTAGGTGAACCACCTGCTTACATATGCAACAGCTCCCACCCAGTTAAGTATTCATTTGGACACAGTTGTATTCCTCCTTTATTTCCTCAGTTCTTTGTTCATTTCTTTAATTTGTGAACTATCTCAGCATATATTCAAGTTTTCTTTTAAGTGACATCTTTCTGCACTGCTAAATTATGTGTTACTTTACGGTAGAGACTATGTATTTTGTCAGTCTAGAACATTACACCTTTTAACAGTAGGTGGTTAGCACTTAATATGTGGCTGGGACTTAACATGACTCTCCTTTCCAGGTACCATCACCCTCCTTTCTTTCCGCCCCTGGAATTCTCATGCCAAGCTGGAGGAGCGCAGTAAAGTCGTCTTCCAAATATTACTTACACTTATACACAAATAAGTACTCTAAAATCTTCAAGTAACACTTTCTTATTTGGGGTTTTGATTTCTGGTGCCTACAGAGAAACAGAAGAAACAACATAAAACCTTGGAGAATTGCATAGGCTCAAAAATTACAAAAAGTACTGGTTTTGATTCACAACTAAACCAAGGTTTCTCTGCACTGCTGGCTGCGTGAGAATTCTTTTTTAACTTCTCTGACTTTGCTCATTCTGCCTTACTCTTGAGGGTGGAGTCATGTTTCTTCCTCCTTCATCTATTTAAGGAAAGAATGAATCGGACTCACTAGACTTGGGTACCCTGTTAGAGCAAAACTTATCAACTAGTTATGCCATTCAAAAATCTCCATCCCTTAAAAGTGAGATTCATATACATTTCCACAGAAACACAGACTAGAATTCCCTAGAGTACTCTGCCTTTTCTCTCTGTTTTGTTTTGTTTGTTTGTTTGTTTTGAGACGGAATTTCGCTCTTGTTGCCCAGTCTGGAGTGCAATGGTGCCATCTTGGCTTACCACAACCTCTGTCTCCTGGGCTCAAGTGATTCTCCTGCCTCAGCCTCCCATGTAGCTGAGATTACAGGCAGGCACCACCACGCCCGGCTAATTTTGTATTTTTAGTAGAGAAGGGGTTTCTCCATGTTGGTCAGGCTGATCTCGAACTCCCGACCTCAGGTGATCCATTGCCTCAGCCTCCCAAAGTGCTTGGATTACCAGCGTGAGCCTCCGCACCTGGCCCTTTTACCTTTTTTTTCTTTTGAGACAGGGTCTCACTCTGTCGCCCAAGCTGGAGCCTCTACCTCCCATGTTCAAGTGATTCTCCCACCTCAGCCTCCTGAGTAGCTAGGACTACAGGCACACACCACCATGCCCAGTAAGTGTTTGTATTTTTTTGGTAGAGATGGGGTTTCACAATGTTGGCCAGACTGGTCTCGAATGCCTGACCTCAAGTGATCCACCCTCCTTGGCCTCCCAAAATGCTGGGATTACAGGCATGAGCCACACCGTGCCCAGACTACTCCACCATTTTTGTTAAAAGAAAAAGTAAAATCAAGTCATTCTTCCCATTATTGCCATCTCCAAGAGGTTACAATGTTGCAGAGGAGATGATCCATACATTAAAATATGCTAATGTTATATCAGTATTATATATGTTAATATTACATAAAAGTTACCCTGACAATGAGATGGGGTAACATCATGACAGATGGAGAAAAGCAAGGGCTTGAGTTGGAATTCCAGAGAGGAGCGGTCTAATGTGGGGAGGGGCGGCCCAGAAGGAAAAGCTAGACTAGAATGAAACCAACGAATGGAAAAGTTAACCGGGGCAGAATTTAGAAAACCTTGAATGCCATGCTTCAAACTCCTCATGTTTATTATGTTATCAATTGAAAACCTCTTTTCCCTAAACATTCCATGTTAATTACGCATGTTCAAAGTAAAAACTCCAAGTAATTTTTATAGCCTTCTCCACTAACCCAAGCAAAGAGTTACTTTAAAGAGTTACTTTACCTCTGTATGGCAAAGTTAATAAACACGTCTCTAATTTCAGTGTTATCCTATATTGTAATTGGCAGTTCATGTCTTTCCTAGATGAATACCTTGAAAGTAGGGGGTCTCATTTCAACCAATATAACCACATTGCCAGGCAGAGCATCTTCAGAAAATAAGTGCCTGAAACTCCTGGCTAGGCTACTACAGATGTGAACCATGGGTGTTCCCTTTTCCTTGTCTGTAAAAGAGGAAGAATGGTGCCTACTTTGTAAAGATGGAATTATTTACATAATAGAACAATACTTGCACACAGCAGCACTCACTAACTGCGACTGAGTGTGTTACTAACCCACCCTCTTCTTTTTCCTCCACATTCAATCACAAAGCCCTATCAGCTACCACTAAAATAGATTTGGAATTCTTTTCAATCTTAACATCCACTCTTTCCACTCCCCTAACCATCATTTCTCACCTGGATGACTACATTACCTTCCAAGCTGGCCCTTTTACAGAGCTCCACACAAATGTCACTTGCTCAGTAAGATTTTCCAAACCCCTACCTCTCACCCACCAGGCTAAACAACCTGGCATGGCACAGTAAATTTTCATTTTCTTGTTATTGTTTGTCTTCCCACACTAGAATGTGACCTCCATAATGGCAGGTACATTGTCTATCAAACATTGTACCCCTTGGTACCCAGGACAGCACCTGGAACAATGTACACACGGGAATATTGCAGGAATTAAGGGATCTGGGTTCTAGAGATCCCTTACTGAAAAGTCATTACTTACTATTGAATGGTCCAACCACTAACATCAACCTCTAGTTAAGAAACCATAATAAAATGAGAAAATAGTAAAGGAAAAGTTAACTTCTGATTCCACTTGAGAAGCATCAGCTCCACAAAATCAGACAAATATACAAAAGAGGGAAAGTAAACTAGGTATATACGGAGTGCTGTTTTCCCGTGCCTTCCATCGTAATGGCACAGAGGTATCCCCATAGGTATGCAGGTATATTTCGTGCTACTGTACTAAAAAACTGATCTGTAAGAAGTTCATTTAACTAAAGAACCTTCCCACAATTCAAACACTTACTCAAAAGCTCTTGGAAGAAATCTAAAGTTACACACCAAACTGGGATGTACCTAGGAAAGGTGTACGCAGTGTAGGAGTAGGGGAAACTTTAACTTTCTCAAAGTATTGTGGCAGTGTTTGAATGTATAATTGCATCTGTGATTTTAAAATAGAAAAATCAGGCATTAAAAAACTATACACAAATGCAACCTGAAATAACTGGTTTGTTCACAGAGGTTTATATTTATAAAGTGTAAAAATAGAGTTCTAGTTACATTTTTTTAGTATTTTCCTATAAGTCTAGTAAGTTAAGCAGTTCCCTAACCAGAATTTAATTGTGTTAGACTGGAATTGTATTTGATTGGGAAATGTTTAATTTCCTATAGTAAAAGTTTTTATTATCCTGCTTAAATAAGCAAATGCAGAAACACACCCACACCTACACAGTCCTGTCACTCTCAGCTAAAGTGAAGGAAGCAATTTAAGATCTATTTAAGGTCTTCACATGAATGGCAAATAAGCAGAGAAGAGTAAAATTAAGGATACAAGGTATGATTCATATTCTTGTTAGGACTATAGGTATCAGAGACGACGCTGGGCAACATTTTGGCAGAAGTGCAGAAAGAATGTAGAAGTGTCATAAAAGGGAGTAGACTAGATGACTTATAAGCTCCCTTCTCCAATTCTAAGTAAACATGTTTCATTCTAATGAATGGCTGCTTTTACAGCAAGATTCAGAATATAAATTTAACTCATTAGGAGTTTAGGATTAGTTTGATGAATCAGTGCTACACAAAGAAAGATCCAGTTATAAATGTTCTCTAGATAAAAAGCCTTGACTGTTTCTGAGAAACTTGGAACAATGTTTCAGTTAAGAGTATGAATCAGCTAAGCATGGTGGATCAAGGACGGATCACTTGAGCCCAGGAGCTCAAAACCAGACTGGGCAATATGGCAAAATCTCGTCTCTACCCCCACTAAAAAATACCAAAAAAAAAATTAGCTGGGCATGGTGCTGTGTACCTGTAGTCCCAGCTACTCAGGAGGCTGAGGTGGGAGGACCGCTTGAGCCCGGGGGCAGAGGTTGCAGTGAGTGGAGACTGCACCACTGCACCTCTGGTTTGGGCAACAGTGTGAGATTCTGTCTTACAAAAAAAAGTATGAATCCTTGGAGAAGTTAAGGGCATATTAGAGAAATGTCAAAATCTTAAATTCTTTATCTTCTTTCTTGTGTTTTTCACACTATTTTACACTTAAAGCAGGTCAACTGAAAACCTGTTTATTTTATATAAACTTAAGAACTGTGCATTTTATTGTTATATTACATTAGCATTTGGAGAAGGGGGAATTAGCAGTCAGAGCCACTAATGTAAAATATATTCTGAAGTAAATTCCAAGTGTTACCAACTGATTTAAGCAAGATAAATCGGTAATTAGAATATTTATTAGGGGCTAGGCATGGTGGCTCACACCTGTAATCCCAGCACTTTGGGAGGCCAAGGCAGAAGGATCACCTGAGGCCAGGAATTCAAGACCAGCCTGGGCAACACAGAAAGACCCCATTTCTACAAAAACTTTTAAAAATTAGCTAGAAATAATGGCACGGCAGCTACTCCGGAGGATCACTTGAACCCAGGCATTCAAGGCTGCAATGAGCAATGATGGTGCCACCGCACCAGAGCCTGGGTGACAGAAGAAGACCCTGACTCAAAAAAACCCAAACCCCAATCTATTACGTGTTGATTAATTTTTTGGCCTACAAATTTCAATGATCAGTTTTCAGTGTATTGCATAGGAATGGGGGAAAAGAAATTTTTTAAAAAAGAAGCAAAGAAAAAAGAATTCTGACATTTGAAGACATCCTATTAACATTTATCAGCTTCACAGAACATGCTAAAAAGATTTGTCATTATTTATCATAACGATTACAGTTATTGTTTATGCAGCTATCTCAACATTTAGGATATATCTAGATTCCTAGGATAGAATTCTAGGCTATAAACTAACATAAATCTAGTTTCACGTTAACTCACGATGATAGAATTTAAGGTAACTTCATTCCTTTTTCATGAGTCCTACCCAATCCTCTGTCAGTACTCCAACTTTCCTTTTAATTTCCCATAAGTTTTCCTTAAACTCCAGCTCAAGGATATATATACGGCCTCTTACTCTGAGTCTCTAAGCATTCCACATTCAAGTTACTTCCTATCCTATAGATAGGGCTTTTAAGTGGCAAACAAACCAAACACCAGTATATTCACCACATCATACATAATTAATTGTCTTAGAAGTTATATCACCTTTAATTTATCAGGATTTCAGTTATTTCCATATATATATATATATAATCACAAGATGGTAATTTCAGAATCAGATAAGAATTAAAAGAATACCGAAATATGAATAAGTTGGTTATTATACAGAATGCAGATTTGTTCCGAAAATAAAACAGTTAATCAAATGTTCTACTTAAGGGATATGTGAAGGTAAATCTGTAAATAAGAAACTAAAAGATTATGGGAAAGTAAGTAAACTTATTACAGAAAACCAGGTTCTCTGTTAAAGAAAGCAGAGACCAAAATGCTTTAATACGTAAATACCTAAAGAAATAAGGCAAGTTAAACTACGAAATAACTACAAAATACTGAATAGGCAGAACTATGGAGTTCATTGTTGTGGGGGAATGAAGGGCAGCCCCTCAAAAAATGTGTCCACATCCTAAGCCCTGGAACCTGTGAATGTTTTCTTATTTGGAAAAAGGCTCTTTGCAGTTATAATTAAGGATCTTGAGATGAAGAGATCATCCCGGAATATCCAGGTGGGCTCTAAACCCAATGACAAGCATCCTTCTAAGAGAAAGGGAGAGTGAGATGTGAGACAGAAGAGGTGGCAGCAAGGACTGTAAGGCAGAGGTTAAAGTGATGGGGCCCCAAGCCAAGGAATGCCACCAGTCACCAGAAGTTGAAACCCACAAGAACGGATTCCCCCTAGGGCCTCCAGAGGGAGTAAAATTGAGCCTACACCTTGATTTCAAAGTGCTGGCCTCCAGAATCACGAGAACTTAAGTTCTATTATTTTAAGCCGCTTAGTTTGAGGTGATCTGTTTTGGCAGCACAGGAAAGTAACACAGGTACTTGAATCAATGCCTCTCAACACAGTAGAGAGACTTAACTGGATTTTCAATAGTCTCAAATTACGTGAAATATAAAAAAGCTTATAAAATTCTTATTACTTATTCTAAAGAAATAAATGGTGAAGAAAGTACCCATTTGAGTTTCAGTACCAATGAGAGATTCTGGAAGGACCTAAAAGGATAAACGAGTTATAAGGAACAATTTTAGCAGCACTGACTGAAATATTTCTCTATCTCAGAGATACATATGAAAATAAAGTAGTGAAATTGGGGAAGAAAAAGGTATTTACCCAGAATCCAAGAAAAATCCAACTAAATTTGTTGGAAGCAGGTTTACCTGCCAAGCACAGATCATAAATCTCATGGACCTACTACTACTTCTCTTCAGCTTAAAAATTCTATGTAAAAGAAAATATTCTTCTGCAAGAACTACTGTGAACCACTTATTTTTTAAACCTAGAGTTGAAAGGTGTAAAAATGTCATTTAAAAAAAATTTTATTTTAAAATGCCTCTTTAATATATATAAATTAATAAACCTTTTATTTAAAAACTTATAACCTCTTAAATTACTAAAACTCCCTTCAGAAATGAGTCAACAATACTTTATACAGAACAAGAGAATCATCACTAGCCTTGCAAACGAAAGCTGATAAAAACAATTCAAGAAAAAAAGAGTGTCCTAACAAAACAAGAAAAGCAAGCTAAAAATTTTAATCAAAACATCTCAGTGACAAAGTTAATGGTACAAAGTCACAGGTAAAAAATAAGGTGACAGAACATCACTATAAATCTTTTTCCTTTGGGTCTTATGTTTGAAGATAGCTATTTATTCCTCTATTGATTTAATCTTAACAGAAACAATAAAAAATATTGAAAGGTAGCTTTGTGTACACAGGAAACCCAGATTGCAGAAAAAGACCCTAATAAATTCAAAATACCCTGCTCTGTTACTAAACAGAAAATAATTATTTGTCCCCTCCATACAATAAAAATAAAAATGCAGGAACAAGAAACTCTTGGTTTTAAATTTTTATTAAATGTTCATAACTTGCATTTGATGATCAGTGGGCAATCAGTTCGTTCTACGACTCCTAAAGAACTTCATCAAGGAACACACATTAAACAAAATTTTGAATTATACTTAAGGGTCCTCAGGCATCCTTTCATAAATGCATGAAAATTAGTGCTGGATGCCACTTCCTTTGATTTGAACAGACGGTGGGGGGAATGATTAGATTAAATGTTTTCAAAATCACTTGCTGGGAAATCAAGAAGTAAATCGGATCTCTGAACATCAGGTAAGGTATGCAATTT